>NC_000006.12:118707153-119010183 GCF_000001405.40 Homo sapiens
CCTCCTGGGTTTCCTTCTCATATTCCTCCTCATCTGCTTTTTTTTTTTTTTTCTTTTTTGAGACAGGCTCTTACTCTGTCACCCAGACTGAGCTCATTGGAGCCTCAGCTCATTGCAGCCTCAACTTCCCAGGCTCAGATGATCCTCTCACCACCTCAGCCTCCCCAGTAGCTGGGACTACAGGTGTGTGCCACCATGCCCAGCTAATTTTTGTATTTTTTGTAGAGATAAAATTTTGCCATGTTGCCCAGGATGGAATGAAACTCCTGGGCTCAAGCAATCCTCCCGCCTCGGCCTCCCAAAGTGCTGGGATTATAGCCATGAGCCACTGCACCTGGCCTTACCTCATTCTTTTTAGCTCCTCATTCAATTCTACAGTGAGGAAGCACCAACACTTACTAAACTACTTCCTTTTTATTAAACTTCATTTTCTGTTATTACAAAGAATGTGCTAATGAGATGCTTATGCATTTATTTTTGTTTATATATCTAAGTATTTCTGTAGGATACATAGAAATTTTTAGGTAAAGTGGCTTGAAATTTTTAGGTATAGGAGTTTTATACTTTTTGCTTGTAAATATATTTAAACATGTGCAAACTTTTATGTATTAAAATAGGCAAAATACGTAAAACCTTAATTCACGGAACAGCAAATCTGAACCAATGAACATATATAAAGATACTCAAGCTCACTTATAGCCAGGAAAATAAAAATTAAACATTGCAATATCACTTTATAGCTACTAAACTGTCAAAAATCTAAAAGACCAATACAACCTATTACTGGTAGAAATATGGGAGAAAGAGTTGCTTTTTTGGGGGGGGGACGGGGGGGAAACAATCTGGCAGCATCTACTAAAATTTAAAAAACATATATAGACTTCAACCGACAAACCTACTAACTCTTAGAGTTCAATCCTATAAAATAGAAGGCCAAAAGGTCGGAATATATAGACAAAGATATCTTTGGGAATATTCATTTCTTCCTGCAAATATTTATTAAGTTCGGACTATATTGCCATCACTTCACAGATGAACAAGGCACAGGCCCTGCCCTTAAGTTACTCACAGCCTGTCTGGAGACAGATGAGTACACAAGCAACTGGAGTTCATGAGCGAGGTGTCTAGAAGCAATCTGGGCCTGGGATGGAAGGCTGCAAAGACTTCACTGAAAAGCAAATTTGCAAGACTGTAAAATACAACATGCTTCCAAGGCCTTGGATTAAGTTGTGTGGTCCAGGATAGCTGAACAGAGTAAAGATACCTGGATATAGGGAAAAGATAACCCATAAACTTTTCACGAAACAAAATTGTGTTAATAAAAGTCACAGGTACTCTAGTTACTCTAGTGGCAGTGGAGACAGAATATGAGATACACAATGAAAAAAGAACTTACTTTTTAGGAAGAGAATTAAAAGAGTCTATTATTAAATGGTAGCCAAAATGCTGTTTTTCTCGTATACCTGGCACAGAACCTACTCTTGAAAGCTATGTGTTGAATCAATAAAGTATGACATGGGAACAGCATATAAAAAGGTTTAGCTCAGATAAACTTGAATTCAGTCAATAATCTCACCTATTTAAGATTTTTCCTTGAATAGACTTTTTTCCTTCCTTCCTTCCTCCCTCCCTTTTCCCTACCATTTTTCAGGCGAAAGAAAGACTGGTCAAATAGGGGTTCTAAATCCTGTTAACCTCACTTTAACCCTGTTATTTCACCATTTAATGACAAGGCAAAACCATCAGCTCTTAAATCATGAACTTTAAATGCCAAAAACAGTGTTGAGAAATTTTTAAAATATGAGTGTTATATAGAAAAAGAATGACTAACACTAAAAGCAAACAAAACAGGCAGTTCATTAGAAACCGGTAATATAGAATAGCCCCGATTTTGTACCTAACAGATCTCGGAAAGGGACTGACAGCCCACAGAGAAACAAGAGCAGCACATCAAGACGAAGGCACATTTTCTTCCCAACTGCTGTCATTTAAGGAAAACCCATGAGCGTGAGTTCTCTTATGGGAGGGTAGCGACCTCCATGAAATCATGAGAACATTCCCCCAGTCTAAGTGCTGCCTGGCTTTACTCCCACATCAACAGCAAAACAACTGCATAGCAACCTACATTTGCCCATTTCCTCACTCATTAATGTTTGTCCAGAGGAAACACCCCTGCCAGTCCCTGTCTGCTTTGTAAAGTATGTCAAACAGGAGTTGAGTGTGTACGCCAGATTGGGAAGTGACACATGCTGGCATTTCTCAGCGCATGCGGCTCCCCACTCGGCTTTCTGGAGCTCTGCCTTTTGGCGACAGAGCAGCTAGAGCTCCTCTCCCCTCCCCCATTTCCTCTCATAAAGATAACCAGTAACAACAATTGGCGTGTGTGTGTGTGTGTGTGTGTGTGAGAGAGAGAGAGAGAGAGAGAGAGAGCGCTCCCAGTTGGCCAAGTACCCTTTACATCCAGTGACCTGTTTTACGAATAATAGGAAAGACTTTCCAGCTTATTTTCTGCATTCTCAGGAGTACGCAGAGTTCACAGTAAATGCAGAGTAACAGTCATTTCTAAAACAAAGATAAAACACTCCAAATGCTGCTCTGCAAAGACCATTTGCCATCTGTTCCTTTCCCCCTGACAGGGCTGCTTATCAGGACTCCAGCAAGGACACCATCATAGCAATCTAGATCCGAGTACTTTTCCTCTGTTGCAGGGGGTGTTTCCTTGAACTTTCCCATCTGCTTCTAAGCAAGAGGTATAAAATATTATCTATAAAATAAGACTAGCAAATGACTCACAGTGAATAAAAATAAATCAGGGTGTAGTTTGTCATCATCTTTAAGAGAAAAAAAAAGGAAAATGCTCCACAATTGGAGAAACAACTCACTTTTTCAAACCTCCTCAAGGAACGTCTTCAAATGATAGGCAGGAAATGGGTATGTGGGGGTTAAGTTAAGCTCAAGTAAACTCAAGTGGCAAGAGCATGATCCAGCCCCATCATACATATTCATAAGAGGCAACCTGAGCTTCCGTGTAAAACCACAGTGTGACTGTATTTCCTGCACACACTTTGCATCCCACACAGCCCGGACACACTGCAGCACTGGAGGGGCACAATGCCTTGCTTTAAAACATGGCTCAGAAGAACCATAATTGTTCATTGACAACTTAACCTACACATTGACTGGATGTTCTCCATAGGCCTTATGACAGCTCAAGAAGTATCTGTCAGGATGCAGTTTGAAAGACATCATTGTGCAAGTGTGAATCTCAAGGCTTCGGCTGCTAAGAAGCAAAAATGGAATATGGTTATTTGTTTTCAATAAAGCATTGGGCATTTATTACTAATACTCTAATGGAGAAACAGGTCAGTCTAACCAACATGGGAAGATGATAACACTCTATATACTGCTTCTCTTCTCAACAGACTTTCTACAACAAAATACCCATAGTTTCAGCTGCCAGAAAATATAAACCAAAGGCCTTGTTTCAGTGGGATTTGGGGTGGCATCGATAGTATAGTGGTAAACATAACTGCTTTTCAGTAGAATTTGGGAAGGCATGTACTGGGTTTTTCTTCATTCACTCAACAAATATTTATTAAGTGCCACGATGTGCCAAGTACTGCCCTGGGCACTTGGAAAAACCACAATGAACAAAACACAAAAGTCCCTGCATCATGAAGGCTATGATCGCGGAGTGTTTCAGACTGCCATGCTCCTCCAGAGAGAAAGAACACCTTATCATGTGCCTGTCATTAAAGGGCCTGGACCTTTTTCTTCAATTTCTTTCAAATGCCCTCGATGACTCTGTCAATGAAGTTTGTATGTGTGCCCATATGTGCTGTTTGAAAGAAGGAAGAGAGAGGGAAAGAAAGCAACACTGAAACACGATTCAAAAAGTGATAGAAAGATTTACCTTTATGATTGGGAAAGCCACAAAGACATGAGTACTGGGAAACACAAAAGAACACTAGTGCAGATGGAAAAATCTATTTGTTTTATTAGGAAGATGGAAAATATTATCAAGATGTCAACTCTTGGCCAGGCACAGTGGTTCACACCTGTAATCCAGCACTTTGGGAGCCCAAGGCAGATGTATCATCTGAGGTCAGGAGTTCGAGACCAGCCTGACCAACATGGTGAAACCCTGTCTCTACTAAAAAAAAAATACAAAAAAATTAGCGGGGGGGTTTGGTGGCACATGCCTGTAATCACAGCTACTTGGGAGGCTGAGGCAGGAGAATCACTTGAACCTGGGAGGCAGAGGTTGCTGTGAGCTGAGATCGCGCCATTGCACTCCAGCCTGGGCAACGAGGGCGAAACTCTGTTTCAAAAATGAAAAAAGATGTCAACTCTCATGATTTAAGCTATAAATTTGATATATGACAAAAAAATTCATAATGGTCTTGTGAACTAAGTTGATTCAAAGCACAAAGAAAAATCTGAGGGGGAAAAGTCTAATGAGGGAGGAACTAGCTCTACCAGATGCTGAAATATAAAGCTTTGATAACTGAAAGTGTATGCTAACTCATAAATAGACAAAACGGTGGAACTGAATGAAACACCGGGAAATAATTCCAAATCCATTTGGGAATTAAATATCTGATCAACATGCCACATTGCCCATAGGTCTGTTGACCTCAGCAGCATTGTCAGTCATGCAGTGTGGTCCTTCACCTCCTTCTCATTAGGAGGCTTGGAGCTAACCAGAGGTTGTGGGTTCAGGAGTAAGAAAGAACACTGGGCTTAGATGGCTAGACACCAGAGCACCAATCTTGCTCTACCACCTGTAACTTGGTGACCTTGTGTTGAGCTTTGGTTTCATTGTCTATAATATGAGGATAATGAAATCCATTGCCAAGCTTTATTGTGGGGATAAGTTTATATAATATATGAATCTACCTAACAAATATCAACTATTTAACAAAATAAACATATTCTAATTGAATAGCTTAACGGGCATCTTAACTCCAGGTTGACAGTTTCACAATTTGTCTGTCTGCAGACAGAAATTGCTTTTTAAAAATCTCAAATCCTTTTTTTTTTTTTTTTGCCATTCAACATGTAAATAAGATTTAGAAAAAAGAATTATTTTAAAGCTCAGATTTAGAGTCAATGATTTCCTTACAGAGGAAAGTCTTTATAAATAAGATCAAGTTGTTGAGTGGGTGGATGAAATCCAGCAAGAGAAGTTTCAGTTACATAGCACAGGAAAGGATCTTCTTTTTTTTTTTTTTTTTTGAGACGGAGTCTCACTCTGTTGCCCGGGCTGGAGTGCAGTGGCATGGTCTCAGCTCACTGCAAGCTCCGCCTCCCGGGTTCACGCCATTCTCCTGCCTCAGCCTCCCGAGTAGCTGAGACTACAGGCGCCTGCCACCACGCCCAGCTAATTTTTTTGTGTTTTTAGTAGAGATGGGGTTTCACCATGTTAGCCAGGATGGTCTCGATCTCCTGACCTCGTGATCCGCCCGCCTCGGCCTCCCAAAGTGTTGGGATTACAGGCGTGAGCCACCGCGCCCAGCCCAGGAAAGGATCTTTTAACTTCTGTGTTTTAAAGGAAGATGTGGAGCTTTTTAAAGATGACGCTGCACTAAGCATGAGCTGATGGAAACCTGTCCTGTGTGTAGAGAGCACCCAAGGTTCGGGTGTTGTGCCAAAATGGAGACCTTACTCTTGGACAAAAGAAGCTTGAACAATTTATGGTGAGGGTAGAAGTACAAACAAAATTCCATGTAATTTTTTAATTTCCACCTTTGGTTATATTGTACAATTCAGTGCCTAAGGGATCAAAGGATGTTGAAGAGAGTTTTGGGAAATCACATATACTCTTGGGAAACTTCATGACAAAGGGCAATCTTGGGCAGTGTTGGAAAGGGACGAAGTGGATCACTTGGTGGAAAGTGGCAGGCAGAAGAGTATGTGGATGCCTCAGAAGTGGATGTGGTTAAAGGATGGAACAATGAAGGGTTTGATGGCTGCAATAAGGCGTACAAGACAATGAGATGAGTAATAAGCTGACAGAATGCTTGCTGAATAATCCTGATTTAAATTTGTCAGGCAAGTGATGAAAAGAATGTTTGCTGCTGGCCAGGATGGTCTGACCGAGAAAGCTAGACACAAGAGACAAATAAGGCTATTTCCATTGTCTAACTAACAATGCTTAGGTCCAAGCTGGTCTGAACCTGTGAGAACAGAGACAGTGCACAGCTTTGAAAATCCTGTAGGACAAGGAATCATGGAATTGGTGATTTTTCTGGACAAAATGATAGAGGAAAAGGTTTAACAAGGTTAGGATCATAGAAAGCTGACAGGAGGATGGAGCCATTGTCAACAAAGAGAACTTCAGACCTGCTAAGCGTTTGTAAGGAGCACAAGGAGAGAAAATAAACCCAATTTTGGCTGCATTTGGCTGTGGATGACAACCAGCATAACAACCCAATCTCCATCAGAAACGGAATCAAGACTTTAAATATAATAAATTCAGAATTCTTAGCAAAAAGAATATTGTGCTGTTTCTTTTGTTATGGGGCTAAAATTGTTCCCATTTATGATAGGCACAAAATATACTTATGAAAGTCATGCTTATCACTGACCTACATCTTCTGTAAGGAAAATGTATGTTACAGACACCAAGAAGAAGATCTCACCTCCCACCTTCTCTGTGATAGAGAAAATAGCAGAGGAGCACATTTTTGACAATCTTGCTAACAAGGGGAAACATTTCATGCAGTATCATCAGCTCCACAATCTGTCTTACTCCCAAGTCCACCAGCTGCTAAAATAATGAATTTTCTTTAGGTCATCATTTTGGTCTTTTCTTGGATACTGGTCATTGAAAAGGTGAGATGTTATTAGGTCATTGTGTGGGCTCCCAGATGGATGTCAGAGATGGGGCCATAGCTAATTGTGATATGAATATAGGATTTACATAATCAATGCCTATGTCACAATGTCCCGTAAGAAAATCAACATCATTATTTTATCATTCACACCTCATTTTTTATAAATGGATTAATTATTCACCCAATTCACCAGGTTTGGCTTTGAACAATCCTCAGGTTTCCCTTTCCCCCAGGACATGTCCTTAAATAAATTGAAGCATTTTTGTCACAATGTATTATAGTTTTAAACATATTTAGCAGCAGAACTTTTATTTTTCTAATGAGAACCTCAAGTTATTAAACAGTCAATATTCATTAAGGTCTTTCTCACCTTATTTGAATTTTCAGGGATTGATGGAAATTATGTCATTCTTTGTGAACTTCTGAAAAGCCTATGGAAATGAAGGCAAGTCCAAAAGAGATCCCAGCATCTTCTGAGCACCCACAGAAGAGTAGAGCTGCCCAATGTGACTACATATAAGAGCCAATGTTATATGCTGTTTGATATGCTTTTAGAAACATTAACCACACCTTGTATTACATAAAAGCAAAGGCTTTAGAGTCGGACAGGCCTGGGTCTGAATCTTGCTGTATGATCTTCAGCAGGTTACTTAGCCTCTCCAAGACTCAGTTGAAACTTCTGTGAAATCGATATAATAATACAGATCTTAAAATGTTGTTATGAGGGGAAAACGATGTGATATGTGTAAAGAACTAGCACAATGTCTAATGTATAGTAAGTGCTCAAAAATGGTAGGTAATAATTATACTATTGGAAATAATAATAATTACCTTACCTTATAGGGTGTAATCACCAGAGTGTGTAAGACAGAACTGCAGAGTTAGTAATGACTAACTGCTAGTTTAGTTAATGAGCTAACGGCCAGTTCATACCTGGCTAGCGTGCCACGAAATGGAATTTCTAACTCTTCTATCATAAATAGCATCAGCAAGTAAGACACTGAGGAGTCAAAATGCCACCTGGGTATGTATTAGTCCATTCTCACACTACTATAAAGAACTGCCAGAGACTGGATAATCTATAAAGGAAATAGGTTTAATTGACTCACAATTCCACCTGGCTTGGGAGGCCTCAGGAAACTTACAATCATGGCAGAAGGTGAAGGGGAAGCAAGTACTTTCTTCACATGGTGCCAGGAGAGAGAACTAGCAAGAGCAGGGAAAACTGCCTTATAAAACCGTCAAATCTCATGAAAACTCACTCACTATCATGAGAACAGCATGGGGGAACTGCCCGCACCCTCCCCCACCCCGCCCCATGATTCAATTACCTCCCACCAGGTCCCTCCCTCTTTATGTGGGGATTATAGGGATTACAATTCAAAATGAGATTTGGGTGGGGACACAGCCAAACCATATGAGGATATAAGGCTCTTCAACGCATACTTTTAGCAGAGTATCTATGATTTTAGTGAGTAGACCTTGACAGCTAAATAAAGCTATCTTCCTTCTGTCAGGATCCTGGGAACTTCTTCTATAGATACTCATTGTCTTATTTTAAGAACTGCCAGAGAAACAGATTCCACAACTTCCCTTAATAACCTATTTCTGTGCTTAGTAATTGTTCCTCTTAGTAAATCTTCTGAGCTAATCTGAATCCTTTGTGCTCTAATTTAAGGCCAGTCATCTCACATTTAATTCAGATCTTATTGATACCTGTATCACTATTGAACCAAATTACAACTAGAAATATTGACAAATGTGTTATCACGGAGATTTCAGCATGAGCATATGCATTTGACAATCAACTGTGATGAGTTAACATGCCAGAGAGTGGTATTGTTCATGTAATCAGAGACACATTAGCAGTGTTCTCTTAAAGGCACAGCCCCAGTTCATCTTTGACAATTGTCACACACTGACTTGTGTGACATGAATCAGAAATAAGCAGTATTTTAAAAGCCAGCAAAATGAAAGGAACAACATCTAAGTTGTTTTCGGCAGAGTTTTCTGCTGCTCTGGCCAAGATGCATCCCAGAGATTTGGTTTTCAGGGTGTTGGCTCATTCTCGTTATTTATTTTATTTTATTTTATTTTACTTTACTTTACATTTTATTTTATTTTATTTTATTTTATTTTATTTTATTTTATTTTATTTTATTTTATTTATTTTGGAGCAGAGTCTCACTCTGTCACCCAGGCTGGAGTACAGTGGTGTGAGCTCGGCTCACTGCAACCTCTGCCTCCCAGGTTCAAGTGATTCTCCTGCCTTAGCCTCCCGAGTAGCTGGGATTACAGGTGCCTGCCACTACGCCCGGCTAATTTTTGTATTTTTAGTAGAGATGGGGTTTCACCATATTGGCCAGGCTGGTCTCCAACTCCCGACCTCAGGTGATCCTCTCACCTTGGCCTCCCGAAGTGCTGGGATTGCAGGTGTGAGCCACCACGCCCAGCCAAGCTCATTCTCTTTAAAAGGTACCACTTCCTGGTCTGGTTTTTGGGATGGTTCGGCTTTTTAAGTCATGTCCAGAATTAATCAATAGCAAAAAAACCCAGCCGGGAGCGGTGGCTCACGCCTGTAATCCCAGCACTTTGGGAGGCCAAGGTGGGTGGATCACAAGGTCAGGAGATTGAGACCATCCTGGCTTACACGGTGAAACCCCATCTCTACTAAAAATAAAAAAAAATTAGCCGGGTGTGGTGGCACATGCTTGTAGTCCCAGCTACTCGGGAGGCTGAGGCAGGAAAATAGCTTGAACCCGGGAGGCGGAGATTGCAGTGAGCCGAGATCGTGCCACTGCGCTCCAGCCTGGGCAACAGAGCTGACTTGAAGAAAAACAGAAAACAACAACAATAACAAAAAACAATAAATCAGCCGGGCGCAGTGGCTCGATCCTGTAATCCCATCACCCTGGGAGTCCGAGGCGGGTGGATCATGAGGTCAGGAGATCGAGACCATCCTGGCCAACATGGTGAAACCTCGTCTCTACTAAAAATACAAAAATTAGCTGGGTGTGATGGCATGCAGCTGTAATTCCAGCTACTTGGGAGGCAGAGGCAGGAGAATCGCTTGAACCCGGGAGGCAGAGATTGCAGTGAGCCGAGATCACGCCACTGCACTCCAGCCTGGTGACAGAATGAGACTGTCTATAAATAAATAAATAAATAAATAAATAAATCCCTTGAAGCCCACATCCAGGTGAAAGTGACGTTTCTTTCTTTATCTTCATGTGTCAGAGAAGTACCAGTCCAAATACCACTGCGTTCAGGAGATTTGAAAAGCAGTGCTAAAAAGGGACTCAAGCGGAGCCATCGCAGGTGCCCGGCCATCTGCCCAGCAAAGCCAGGCGTGCCGCCAAAGACCCTGCAGCCTTTCTGTGTAGACTAGGTCGGAGTTCCAGAAGTGTTTTTTGAACATGATCCCTTGGGTACTGTCGCCCACCACAAAGAAAAAGTGGTTAAAACAAAATGTTCAGAGGCCGGGCGCGGTGGCTCACGCCTGAAATCCCAGCACTTTGGGAGGCTGAGGCGGGTGGATCACGAGGTCAGGAGATTGAGACCTTCCTGGCTAACAGTGAAACCCCGTCTTTACTAAATAAAATACAAAAAATTAGCCAGGCGTGGTGGCAGGCGCCTGTAGTCCCAGCTACTCAGGAGGCTGAGGCAGGAGAATGGCGTGAACCCGGGAGGCGGAGCTTGCAGTGAGCCAAGATCGCGCCACTGCACTCCAGCCTGGGAGACAGAGCGAGACTCCGTCTCAAAAAAAAAAAAAAAAGTTCAGAAAACATAGTATACAGAGGTGGACTGACCATAAACTGAGGAGGTATAAGATTTATTCATATAGGTCCCATTCAAAGACTTACACCTAAGGTATATTCATGATTTGTGTTCTCAGAATCACATATTCCCGGACCGCTCTGAAACCCACTTTCCTCTTCTGTAGAACAGCACTGAATATACCTCGCCTGCACCTAGTGTTCCTTATCTTAAAAGGGCCACCAATCCCAGCACTTTGGGAGGCAGAGGTGGGAGGATCATTTGAGCCCAGGAATTTAAGACCAGCCTGGGCAACATGGCAAGACCTCATCTCATTTTTTTAAAAAAGGGAGAGGGCACCAAAATCAGCTTCGGGACCCCCAAATCTGGATCCCACACCTGACTTTGGGAGTTTGCTTATTAATCTCATTATGTCCTAAAGTAAAGACTTCTGCCTAATTTCATGTAACCTAATGTTTCCTCTTGAGTGGTAGTAGGATAGCACTCTCTCTTTCCTAGTGAGCAGTCTGTCACACAGGAGGAAGATGACAGGTGACAGAGGTCACAGTAGTCCTCATATCACCCAGCTTCTCCCAGCCCCCACATGTCCGCGTGCCTTTCCCCCAGCCCCTGCCTCTCTAGATATTCTCTTCTTAAGGACATTTCATCTGGCAGGTGAGCAGGTCTCAAAGTTCCCGTTTCAGTTCCCCAGACATCCTTTGGAAGTGAGTGTCCTTTCCAGAGCTTTTATGTCACCTCCTTGTCACTCTCAATTAGAATCTGCTGGGCATTGCCTGAGCTCCCAGAAAGAACTGGGTCCTTTAGGACATAAAGAGAAATGGAAAAGGAAACTAGGAAGAAGAGCAGAGGTGGGTAAGCGACATTGTATTTATGCCAAGGGAACACAAAATGGGTGTGAGTATAACACAGAACCAGGTGTTCATAAATTTTTGTATGGGAGTGAATTGGCATTTTTTTCTTAGCATTCAAGTTTTAGGAGAAGAAAGGAGACCCTAAGCTTCTTGTGAAGAAAGGACTGCCTTCTACCCGCCAGGCCTGTTTTGGATTCCTGAAAGAGAAGAAAGGTTGCAGGGTTGGACCTGGTTAGTACTTGGATGGGAGAGAGTAGAAAGGCTTGTTCTTGGGCTTCCCACCTCCCACCAAATGTATCCTACGTACCTCACCTCTACGGAGTGACCGTCCAAACCTTAGAGTAGGGACTTGGCGAGAGGTGGGGGCATAGAAGCCTGTGGCATAAATGGCAAGTACGGTCTCTCTGTGTGATCAGCATGGGTCAGTCTCCTCCAAACATATGCTTTGGAAGTCCCTGTTGTGGTGAAAAGAGCCCTGCATGGAGTTCAGAGGGCATCTTGAGTCACAGTCCTGTCACTTACTGATTCAAAACATGTGATGGCTGTGCCATGATATTTTCTATTCCACGTACTTTTATTTCTTTTTTTTCTTACTGATCCTGGCCATTTCCTGGACTCCTCTGAGACCCAGTTTCTCCCTGTTCATAACAGGATCGTGACACCTGTTCATTCCCTGTGCTCAATTGTTGTTGCAGCTGAGTTCGTGATGAGTTGAGAGTCTGGGTCAAGGACATGGGGTGTTCAGCAGGCATTAAACATGAACCTCCCAGGGGGGCTGAGCATTGTCAGTCCACCTCCCCGCCCATCGCTCAGACCAGGTCTTGTCACATTTGCTTCCTTCAGCTCTGATTTCACAGCTCAGGGTAGCTGGAGGTCACAAGGCCCCTAGGCACCCACAAGCCTCTGATGTCCAGCGTGGTTCATGTGTGCTTTTGCCACAAGTGCCTGCAGCGGCATGAGGCAGCTGGAGGTTTGGCTCAGTGGATGCAAGAAGGAACACGAAAGCAGGGTTGTTTTGGTTTGGGGTTTAGATTTTCTCCCCTTTGTTCTTTCACTCAAGAAAGCATTTGAGTCTGGGCCTATCTTCCTGGCTGATTTCTTGTCAGAGTCTACTATTTTTGTTCTTGTCTCACATGACTAATGTTCTTAATTTCATTTCACTTTAATTTTTTCCTTTTGAACTCTCATCTCTTCCTCTTCTGATCTGATCTCCTTGCTCCACATTCCCATCCTTTCCCCCTTTTCAGTCCCCTCAAGTCCTTTTGAAAGCTTCCACACAGATAAGCAGATTCATCTTTCTCAATACAGATTAGGGGCAGCTCCTCTGAGGGGGGGAACCCCTCCATGCAAACATCTGCAGTTGCCCTGTGGGCCCCTCTGGCTCAGACTGTCTTACTATAAAAATACATCTTATACCATAAGCCAATGCACACGGGTGTAGGTAGAATTGCAACAATATTTAGCCTCAAAACATGTGATGGCTGTGTCACAATATTTTCTATTCCATATACTTTTATTTCTTTTTTCTTTATTCTTTTCCTCCCTCTCTCCCTTCCTTCCCTCCTTCCTTCCTTTTTCCCTCCTTTTCTTCTTTCTTTTCCTCCTCTTCTTCCTTTCTTCTTCTTCCTCTCTCTCTCTCTTTCTCTCTCCCTCACCCACTAAACTCATCTCAGGACTCATTAGAGTCATTAGTGGATTGTGACTTGTACTTTGAAAACCACTAATTTAGGAGCACTGTCTACCTGCCCTGGGGAAAAGGCCCTTTGCTTTGTTTTCTGAAACACATATTATCTGTATATAATGAGAATCCACTCCCCACCAAACAGATGAAATTTAAATACTCCTGGGGTGAACTGAGAGGTAAGGACAAAATGACAACAGGTCTCCAAATTGTGGAGTCATCTTGGGGTTCAGGAAGTTGGGATGATTGCTCTGATGCTTTGAGCTTCCCTAGTTCCTCTTATTATGATGCCCCGGTATTTTCTAGCTACCTCTCTCTTCTCCCCGAATCCCTGCAAAGAAAGTTCTAAGGAAGGAACTTGTGGTAAGCAGAATAATGGCCCCCAAAGATGTCCATGCCATAGTCCCCAAAACCTGTGAATATGTTTGAGATGTTAATGGCAAGAAGAAATTAAGGCCGAAGATAGAATTAGCATTGCTAGTCAGCTGATCATGTAATGGCAAGAATATCCTGGTTTATCTAGTTAGGACCAATGTAATCACAAGGGTCCTTATAAGTGAAGGAGGGAGGCAGAACAGTCAAGGTCAGAGTGATGTGATATGAAACTCCAGCAGCCATTGCTGACTTTGAAGATGGAAGGGGCCACAAACCAAAGAACGTGGGCAGCCTTTAGAACCTGGAAAAAGTGAGAAAATGGATTCTCCCCTACGGCCTCCAGAATGGACAGCAAGACTGCCATTACCTTGACTTTAGCCCAGTGAGACTCATGTCAGACTCCTGACCTCCATAAATGCAATACATTTGCATTTTTTGTTTTGTGTTGTTTTGTTTTGTTTTGTTTTGTTTTTGAGGGAGTCTCGCCTTGTCGCCCAGGCTGGAATGCAGTGGTGCAATCTCGGCTCACTGCAACCTCTGCTCCCGGGTTCAAGTGATTCTTGTGCCTCAGCCTCCCGAGGAGCTGGGACTGACTACAGGTGCATGCCACCACACCTGGCTAATTTTTGTATTTTTGGTAGAGATGGGGTTTCATCATGTTGGCCAGGCTGGTCTTGAGCTACTGACTTCAAGTGATCTGCCCTCCTCAGCCTCCCAAAGTACTGGGATTACTGGCATGAGCCACCGCACCTCACATTTGTGTTGTTTTAAGCCACCAAGTTTGTGGCAGTATGTTTCAGCAACAATAGGAAACTAACACAGATGTGTTATTGGTCAATTACAACGCACTATGAATTAGAGCATTTCTGAGTCCAGGGGCATTTTTCTTTAAAATACCTGATTTTTATCTTCCAAGGCTGGTTCGTGGTATTGTCCTCAGTCTGGGAAAGGAAGAGAGGTCGGAGGTCTGGCCTCCTGAACAGTTATGCAGCCTGCCAACCTGCTGAACTACCAAGACTCAGGCAGCTGACCAAACGCTGGAGAACAGGGTGGGTAGCTGATGCTGAGGAAAGTAGGGTTTCCTGTAGGGTGGTTCTGCTTCCTACTACGCAGCAAACATCACAAAACTGTCCACCTGCATATTGTAATTTTACCTAATGGTTTTTTTGTTTGTTTTTTGTTTTTGAGACGGAGTCTCACTCTGTCGCCCAGGCTGGAGTGCAGTGGCACGATCTCGGCTCACTGCAAGCTCCGCCTCCCAAGTTCATGCCATTCTCCTGCCTCAGCCTCCCAAGTAGCTGGGACTACAGGCGCCCACGACCACACCCGGCTAATTTCTTTGTATTTTTAGTAGAGACAGAGTTTCACCGTGTTAACCAGGATGGTCTCGATCTCCTGACTTCGTGATCTGCCCACCTCGGCCTCCCAAAGTGCTGGTATAACAGGCGTGAGCCACTGTACCGGGCCCTGATTTTTTTTAATTAAAGGACAAAGGCAGTCACTGTATCTCAAGGGCTAGGCTGGCTCATCTAAAGGACCCCACAACTGCATTCTGGAGCAGAGGTTTCCTAGAGCTGACAGTTGTGAGGACAGCTTCATGGGACATAATGATGGGTGCTGTGGTGAGCCCCACCCAGACGGACCGGAGTCGGTTCATTCTCCTTTAACCTCATCATGGTCAGATCCTATTCAATGGCCATCAGGACTGCCATTGCCTGAGCAATTGGTCTTGAGAAAAGAACTTCAGCTCCCTGGACTTCGTTTCCTCCTCAATAAAATGCCATCACTACCCAGTTCAGAGGCTCTGACAACAGCATCCACAGCAGATACTTCCCCAAAGTTCCTGAAGGAGAAGCTCTTTCTTTGCAGGTGTTTCAGATTCTCTCTCTCTCTGTGGTGAAGCCCAAGGTTTTGCGCACCCTCCCCTCTGGACTCGAAGTGTATGCCATATAAAATTACATCATATTTCATAAACAGAGCACTGTTTTGATTTTGGGTCTCCTCCCTAGGGTCAATGGCTTCTCTCTACTCAGGCTCCTTCTCTCTGGGAGTCCAAGTAGAAGCACACAACGTTTGTTGATTACACCAAAGAAATATTAGAGATGGGTGTTTTGCCAAGATTTTTCCTTCCAGACCAGAGCACGAAGTGCTTCCACCTCAAAATAGCCTTTGTGTTGTGGGTTTATAAATTCTAACATGCATTGTGGTCTTTAGGGTGCTAGATTCTTTACTACTAACAGTCTTGTTATATTTGAGAAGCTGCTTGTAATACAAACAAGCCTGAAGTTCAGTGTCTCTAGAATGGATGACTATTTTATTGTGAGTCATGGTTAACTAGTTGATGAGCCTATGGTCCTCACCGCCCTAAGCCATGCCCTATGCAACCTTGAGCCAATCCTGACTTTATGCAGGAGGGGTGTAAACTTTAGCCCCACATTCTAGAAGTCAGGCTCAGTCAGCCTAGCCAGACTACCTCTGTGGAAAGATCTAATAACCAGCATTCTGAGTGCTAAGAATGTTGCTTTTGAACCTGCCAAATTTCCCAGTCACTTGAGGCTCAGGGCCTTGCCTTGCTCTTGCTAATCTCCCCTCTGGGGATGACCATCCTAACCATAAACTGCAAACAACCTTCCCCAATAACTTCTGCCGGCCTAAGTCCTTGTTGTATCACAGAATATCAACACCCACCAGAATTCCGTGTTGGAACACCCTGCAACCTTGCGATGAACCACACAGTGCTCCGTGCTGACTTGTGGGTTAGCCCTGCCCTGCTACCTGTTCTGAGGATTGCATATTCTCTTGGAATTTATTCCCTGATGCCCATTTCCCCAGCTCTTCCAAGGCTGCCTGTCCCACTGTACGTATGCCTGGCCATCTCCCAAGATATGTCAACAACTGATAGATCAACACTTTAGGAGCCAGAACGTCTTATTAGAGTGAAATGTTAATTAGGATAGGAACTGTTGGAATGTAGCAGCAAGCAGAGCCATCAGGTTTTGGGCGGTGGAGACTGTGTAAGCATCACATTAGGGAATTACTCTCTGAGCAAAACACAAAATGAGATGCCTCAAACTGAAGAGAAAAGAAATGGTTGCTGATTTTACAAAGCCTGGAAATTTTTAAATTTATTTCTGCTGTTGTTTTTGTCACTATATATTTTTAAATTATTTTTATTGTGACAAAATAAACATAAAATTTACCATCTTAACCATTTTTAAGGGTACAGTTCAGTGGTGTCAAGTCCGTATAGTCACAGTGTTGTGCAATGTCACCACCATCCATCTCTAGAACTCTTTTTATCTTGGAAAACTGAAACTCTGTATCTATTAAAGAATAAATCTCTATTTCTCTTCTTCCCCCAGCCCCTGGTAACCACAGTTCTACTTTCTGTCTCTCTGAATCTGACTACTCTAGGTACCTCATGTAAATGGAATCATATAGTATTTGCCGTTTTGTGATTGGTTTATTTCACTTAATGTTCTTAAGGTTTATCCACATTGTAGCATGTCAGAATTTTCTTCCTTTTTAAGGCTGAATAATTTTTTATATTTATATATCTTTATATAGAGATATATAGAGAAAAATTATTCAGCCTAATATGAATATGTGTGTGTATATATATCTCTCAAATTTTGTTTATCCATTCCTCTGTATATGAACGCTTGAGTTGCTTCTACCTTTTGGATATTGTGACTAATGCTGCTATGTCTGCACATATGCAAATATCTGTTCTAATCTTTACTTTCAGTTCTTTTGAGTATGTGCCAGAAGTGGGATTGCTAAGTAATACGGTAGTTCTATGTTTAGCTTTTTGAGGAGCTGCCATGCCATTTTCCATAGCAGTGGCACAAGGGTTCCAATTTCTCCACATCCTCTTCAACAGTTGTTATTTTCTGGGTTTAATTTTTTAATAGTAGCCTTCCTAACGGGTGTGAGGTGGTATCTTTTTGGTTTTTTCATAAATCTTCTGTAAGTTTCCATCCTCTGAAAATATCTGCCAGGGAAGATCTTGTCATCCCCCCTTCCCATAGATGAGTATTGTTCAAGTTAAAGGATATCACCTCTTTGTCCTCACTAATTTGTAGCTTGATAATATTTTTAACAATAAACTTTTCCATCTATCTATATCTAGAGTTTAGTAAAGGCCTTATCAATAGCTAAAATTAACTAAAGGTTTCAATATGAGTATTTGATGTTATTTATTTTCATGGTTTTATTTATATGAAAGTAGAAACAAATTTGTCTTGTTGTGCCTTCCTTCAGAATCCCAGAAAATTTATTTTCAAATGTGATGACATATTCCATAGGGATTCAAAAAACAAACAAACATTTTAAGGTTTCTGAGGGCTTTTAAGGAAATAACTAAGTCCTTAGAAATGTGACAGAGATCATAATTATTAACAATAATAATTACTTACATTATTCCACTAGAAAGCATTTTAACAAATAAAGACATATTCAAAAAATTACTAGTGAAACATACCTAAATCATTTTATATAATCTAGTAAGAACATAGTGATTAAAAATATTTCATGTAATTTATTTCAACTATTAATTTAAAACATCGATATTAATTCTATGTTATGCAAACAATTTATTTTTTAAAACCATGTGATTGTGGTTTTTAAAAAAGGTCCTAAATTACATAGGAGTAAAATAAATTATTTTTATTTTATATATATATATATATATATTTTTTTTTTAAGAGATTTGGTCTTGCTCTGTCACCCAGGCTGGAGTGCAGTGGCACAGTCGTGGCCACTAGAACTTCTGGGCTCAAGGGATCCTCCCACTTCAGCCTCCCAAGTAGCTGGAACTACAGGCAAGCACCATCATGCCCAGCTACTTAAAACAATTTTTTTTATAGAGACAGAGTCTCATTCTGTTGAACAGGTTGGTCTCAAACTCCTGGCCTCAAGTGATTTTCCCACCCCCCAGCAAATATATTATATTCATGAAGTGATTTTACCATTCTTTTATTTCTGATGCCTTTCTGGTTTCACGTGAAACAAATTCTATTCCTTAGGCTTAGAATATTTTTCCTTCTAAAATTATTTAAATTCTACTCATCTTTCAAGGCCTTGCTCAGGCCTTCCTCCACTAGAAGGTAATCTTCAGGAGGGCAGGGATTCTTGTCGGTTTTGTTTAAGGTTCTATGATCACTACATAGAAGAGTACCCAGCACTAGGAGGTGCTTTATATATGTACATTGAATACAAGAACAAATGAATGAGTGAATAAATGAATGAATATCCCAGATCTTATGGCTTACTCCCTCCTCTAAACTTCTACAGTATGTGGACTATCTATATAATTCTTTTGACTCTTAACATGTACATTTTGTGGCAGGCATTTGTGTTGTCCCAGCATATGATAGAATCACACTTTCCCACTCATTTGACGTTAGATGTGGTTATGCACTTGCTTTAGATAATGACAACTGAGCAGAAGCAACAAGTGTAACATCTAGGAAGAAGCTGTAAGAACAACTGGGTGACTCATGACCTTCCTTTTTTCCTCCTTCGATGATTGTAGAAGCTAGTGTCAGTAGGGCGCCCCCACTAGCTTGGCTTCCGGAGTGACTACAATGACTAAAACCCCCGTGCCAACCTGAGATGGTCATGTAGTAAGAGTGCAAAAAAACCTTTCTGTTACAATCCTCTGAAATGTAGTGATTATTTATTTCTGGAGCATAACCTGGCTGTTCCTGACTAGTACACACTTTTAAGCTGTATTTATCTGTTAATTTGTGTCTCCAACTGGATCCCAAATCCTGTTGAAAAAGTAACTATATCTTACAGTCTTTTGGTTTTCCTTTTTCCAGTCCAATGCCTTAAACCTTATAGATTCTTTATAAATGTTTACTGACCATCGCCACCACCAATGGTAGTGATGATGATGACGACGAAGATGACAATAACATGAGGTCATTATCAGGTGTACCTAGATTTGAAGCAACCACTTTGGTCTCTGTGTTCTTTATTTTATTTATTTATTTATTTTGAGATGGAGTCTCACTCTGTCACCCAGGCTGGAGTGCAGTGGCACGATCTCCACCCACTGCAGCCTCCACCTCCCATTTTCAAGCGATTCTCCTGCCTCAGCCTCCCAAGTAGCTGAGATTACAGGCGCCAGCCACCACACTCAGCTAATTGTCTTGTATTTTTAGTAGAGATGGGGTTTTACCATGTTGACCAGGCTGGTTTTGAACTCCTGACCTCAAGTGATCCACTCGCCTCAGCTTCCCAAAGTGCTAGGACTACGGGTGTGAGCCACCATGCCCAGACTGATTTAAAAAAAAAAATGCTCAGTTAGAAACAGAAACAGACTCAAATGTGCCATGGTTTGGGGACTCATAAAATATGTACGTTTTGATCATACTTCCTTTGTACCCTCAGAAGTTCAAACAGAAACTTATATGTAAATAATACTGAGATTCTAGTCATCTTAATTTTTATGTTAAATTTGATCATTAGATACAAATCATCATTTGAGAGCACGATTAAGAAGGCACCTCTTGCTTAAACATGCTTTTAATCTGTCATACCCCTGCTTTAAAACATATTTCCTTCTTTATCTTGCTTTACAATGCCCAGCATAGTCTGGGATATTTTGCGACCTTTAGGGTAACTTTGTCAAGACTGTCTCTGTTCCATTTTCAGAAAAGGAAACATCCTTTTAGCAAATAAAAAACAAAAGCCATCCTTCAAGTTTGGATTTGAGTGACCCTACATGGCTTGCAACTGACATGGATGGTGATTCCCCTGGAAATGAAGTAGGAATTTTTTTTTTTTTTTTTTGAGACAGAGGGTTGCTCTGTTGCCCAGGCTGGAGTGCAATGGCGCGATCTTGGCTCACTGCAACTTCCGCCTCCCGGGTTCAAGCAATTCTCTGCCTCAGCCTCCCGAGTAGCTGGGATTACAGGCGCTTGCCACCACGCCTGGCTAATTTTTTGTATTTTTAATAGAGACAGGGTTTCACCATCTTGGCCAGGCTGGCCTTGAACTCCTGACCTCCTGATCCACCCACCTCAGCCTCCCAAAGTGCTGAGATTATAGGCATGAACCACCGCGCCCGGCCAGGATTTTCTATATCAAGTCATTTGTGTGTCTTTGGACAAAGATTTTAATAATATTTGCCATATTTTTCTATAAGAACAACTGGGCTAAATCTAATTTACAATTGAAAGGCATGATAATTTTACTGGGGCTACTTCCTCAAGATTACTTAATCCTAGCAATTTACAGGACACCTAGAGATGGCACCACTTAAGAGTGAAGGAGAAGCAAGGTCAGTCCTTGTGTTTGCTCTTCCCCGGCGTGAGCTGTCACCACCCCTCCTGGCCTCTGGTTCACTTAACAGTCATTGACACTTTTCACCCTCCGCTCTTTCTCTACAACTGCTCTATTTTCACTCTTTCTCACAGTCCCAGGCCTGATATTTCTCCTTCCTTCTGACCTTGAGGAACCTCTCATCCTTTCTCAAATTACAATGCATATCTCAACATTGATTCCATATCCCTGTTCTCACTTTCCCTTTCCCTGATTGCTTTTGAGAGAAGATAATTGAGGTACGCCACTCAGATATCGCTATCTTCTGCTGACACTGAACATCTCTTCAAAAGGATCAATGGGCAAAGTAATTGTTCAGAATAAAGACCGGAAGACGTGGCAAAGATCACATAGAGGAGAGACTGAAGGCTGAGTTCATTCTGTAGAATCTGACTGGTGAAGGCTGACATGAAATTAATTACCATCATGCAAAGAGGTGGTCTTACGAAGCTCACGAGTGAAGAAAGTACAAGTCCCACTTCCTACCCAACCTCCAGATCTCTGCACGTGATTTTCTAATTCCTATGCCAATTCCCTTTCCTTTTATATTCCTCACCCTTAATTCTCTCTTTCTCTCGTTCACAATGCATGAGCACATCCAAGCTCTCTACTTTGGAAATACACTTTAGAAAAATACACTTTTCAGCACCTCCACCATTCCCACCCTAGTCCAAACAGCCATAATATCTGACCTGAACTATGCGATAACCTCCAAACTAGTCTCTTTGCTTCTCTACATTTGTCTCCTTGTTCTATTCTCAACACAACAGCCAGAATGGTCTTTTAAAAACAGAAGTCACATAATGTCACTCCTTTGCTCAAACAGTACATTTACAGCTCCCAAGAACGAAATCTCAAGCCCTAATGGAGGTTCCAAGGCTTTCCATTCTCTGTCCTCTGATGCTTTTCTGATCTCATCTCCTACTACTCCATTCCAGCCTCACTGACCTCCTTGCTGCTCCTTGAGCATTTCATGTAAGCTCCTGTTTTAAGCCTTTGCGGGCACTATTTCCTCTGCTTAGAAAGGTGCTTCGCTAGATACCCACACAAATTGTTGTCCAAATTAGCTAAGCAACTGTAACAAAATACAGTGATTAAATTCAAGACCAGAATTTTATTTCTCTCTCATGTAAAGGTGGAGATGGCAGGTCAGCTCTGCCGTCCTCAGTATGTGGTAGCCTAGATTGATCCAGTTATCACCATATCCCAGTTAGCAGGAAGAAGACATGTGCCTTTAAGGAGATGACCTAAAAGTTGCACACCACTTTTGTTCACATTCAAATTGGTTCAAACTTAGTCTGCAGCACACGTAGCTGCAAGGAGAGCTGGGAAATGTAGTCAGGAGCTGTCATTCATTTGCTTAGTAAAAACTCTGAAGGCTCTATCAATAAAAACAATAAGAGGAAAAAGGATGCTGGAGGGTAGTGGCAGTCTCTGCTGTAGCCCTTCCCTAATTCAGGACGCTGCTCAGATAATATTCTTATCAGAAAAACCTCCCCTTTTCGCCTTTCTGAAAATATCCTTTCACTGTAACTCTCTATCCCTTTACTCTGGTTTTTATTTGTTCCTGGTAATTGATAAAGCATAGCATTTTTTGTGCATTCACTGCTTCCCCTCACAAGAATGTAGACACCAGACACCTTGAAGGCAGGGATTTCACTTCATTCACTGCTGTATCCCCAAGTGTCTGCAGCAGTGCTTGATACAGTAGGCATTTAAAAATATTTGTTGAATGGGCTGGGCATGGTGGCTCACGCCTGTAGTCCCAGCACATTGGGAAGCCAAGGTGGGCAGATCATTTGAGGTCAGGAGTTCAAGACCAGCTTGGCCAATATGGTGAAACGCTGTTTCTACTAAAAATACCAAAAAAAAAAAAAAAAAAAATTAACTGGGCGTGGTGGCATGCGCCTGTAGTCCCAGCTACTCAGTAGGCTGAAGCAGGAGAATTGCTTGAACCTGGGAGACAGAGGTTGCAGTGAGCCAAGATCGTGCCACTGCACTCCAGCCTGAGCAACACAATGAGACTCTGTCTTAAAAATAAATAAATGAAAATAAATAAAATAAAAATATTTGTTGAATGAATACATAAATATGTGTTGGATCACATTTGGGGTTCAATAAGTATGAAATGGAGTATGGAGGAGACAGGATTTTAATTTATTCTCAAAAGCTGGAGGAATACCAGTTAAAGATTTCTGTCTCTAATACATTTCCTTTCATTGGAAATAATTAATGGGCCCTTTATTTCTTACAAATATGGAGCAAAAATGCACACATTGTTTTGGGAAAAATATAAAATCATCATTGAACTAAGGCTATTGCAACCTGACTTATTAAAAGTTCTGCACAGTAATAAAAACTAAGTGTACATTTCATGAGACTTTGCTCTCATCAAGTTAAAGAGGGGTGTTAGGAAATGTTGGGCTTAAATTGGACTGTCCTTGAAGATTCCTGTTGTTTCCTGAAGTTATTTGCATGTCCTGGTTCCAAATATGTCCCACAGGAGGTATGCGACCTGGGCCACGGCAGGAGGGAGCAGTGCCTGCCATGCCGTCACCCTAAGCTTCACCTAAAGCTGAGGAAGGCCATGTGGGGTGGGCCAGGCCTGGACCAGGGCTCTCCAGATTTCACAACAATGTCCCCCACAAGGTGATATTTAAGTCTGGGAAACATATAACCAACCATTTTAGTGCCTTGTCTGGGCCATGAAGGAAGCCTATCCAAGCATGCGGGTTAAGTCTACTCAAGAGAAATGTCAACCAACCTAGTGTGAGAACTTCTCGTCCTGGGACTGGACTCCAAGGGAGGTAGATACCTGGCCATGGTTTTCAGTGGGGGTTGACCTGGCCTCGCCATGTGGAAGCCTGATGGAAGTTTCCTCTCAAATCCCTTTGCTCTGAGACTGGATCTGGGTGCATGACCCCAGAAGCTCCCTTCCGGCAGCAGTGCATGCTGCTTCTTATGCTGGAGGTCTGTTTGTCCCACCACAGCCTGGTCTTGGCTGAGTTGTGAGGACTAAAGGGAGTAACCAGAGTTCCTGCTCAGAGCAACAGGTACAGGGGTACAGGCAGCCTGACAAGCCAGATGCAGGATGGACTGGAGGATTTGTGGAGCTCCAGAAAGCTGGGGTTCTATAGATACACCTTCCTCCAGGATGCCCAAAAACCACCTGAGAGGTGAGACCGGTAGGAAAATTGGCTTTCTGTGGCCTATGAAAGGGAGCTTTATTGTAACTTAAATACTAAAAGGAGAATGCTGTTGTTTATAAGTCACAAGCTGGTGAGATCTAAGGATCTGTCAATCACATCTAATTGGGAATATTGAGAGAAGGAGTTGTAGCTCTTGTTTATGACATCACAACATTTTCCTAATTATCTTAAGCAGCATCACAGCTTTCTTAAACGTTTCTCAGAAAAAAAGATTCTAAAAGCTAACGTCATACTGTACCTATTAGGAGAAAGGAGACCGATAAACAAACTAGAGCATACAGCTTGCTCCATCAGAAACAAATTAGTCTTCCTTGGATACGACTTTCACTGTTTCACCTTTCTGTGCCAAAACAGTCAATGGCCCCCTGCTCCCTCTAATATCTGGCTGATATTCCACTGTTTGATTTTTCCTTTGCAGAGAAACCTTTCCTAAACACTGAACTTACTTCTACTTTCTCCCATCATAAGCTGTCCACCCAAGGGTCTGCCAGGCTCCCCATTCATCCTGGCCCCTGCTTTTGCTCATTCATTCACTTCACTTAGAACCGCATGCTGAACAATTTATCCCCAATCTAGCCACTGTCTTGAATTGTGTGCTGTTTTACATCTGCAGTCATGTGCCACAAAACATCTCAGTCAATGACAGAGCATATGTATGATAATGGTCCCATAACATTATAATACCATATTTTTACTATACATTTTCTATAGTCAGATATATAAATACTTACCATTGTGTTACAGTTGCCTACAGTATTTAGTACAGTAACATCATGTGTAGGTTTGTAGCCTAGGCGCAATGGGTTATACCATATGGCCTACGTGTATAGTAGGCTCTACCACCTAGGTTCGTCTAAGTATATACTCTATGATCTTAGTATAATCACAAAATTGCCCAATGACGCATTTCCCAGAATGCACCCCCATCATTAAGTGATGCATGACTGTTTTGTTTTGATTCTTCAACTAGATGACAAACCCCTCTAGGAGGTAATTTCTTTTATGTTTCTCACTGCACCTAGCACCATTCCAGGCACCTCATGGGACTCAATTAACACATTTTTATTAAACGCTTGAAGAAAAGGCTGGGAATCACTGACCTATAGATAATTCTTATAATCAAGTGTCCTTCTTCCCAATTACATGAAGAGTCTGTGTTGGTCTCCTAATGCCACTGTAACAAATTCTCACAAACTTGGCGGCTTAAAAGCAACAGAAATGTATTCTCTCATAGTCCTAGAGGCAGAAATCCGAGATCAGTTTCACAGGGCTGAAATAAAGGTGTCAAGAGCCTCCCTCCCTCCGGAGGCTCTAGAGGAGAATTCACTCCTTGCCTCTCCCAGTTTCTAGCTGCTGTCGGCATCCCCTGGCTTGGGGCTGCATCTTACTGATCTCTGCTTTCGTGGTCCTGTTGTCTTCTCCTCGTCAGTGTGTCGTCTCCCTCTACCTCTATATTATAAGGACACTTGTGATTAAATTTAAGGCCCTCCTGGATAATCCAAGATAATCTCCCCACCTCAAAATCCTTTATTTAATCACATCTGCCAAGACCTTTTTGCCTCCAGGTAAGGCAACGTTTACAGGTTCCAGAGATTAGAACTTGATATCTTATTCAGTCTACTACAAGTTATAATTTAAATAACATCCTTAATATTTGTTCAAATAAACATAATACCAATAGAAAAGGATAATGTAGACCTAGAAATGAAGAAATGCAGTTCTTGGCTGGGCATGGTGGCTCATGCCTGTAATTCTAGCACTTTGGGAGGTCGAGGTGGGCGGATCACTTGAGGTCAGGAGTTCAAAACCAGCCTGGCCAACATGGTGAAACCCCATCTCTACTAAAAATACAACAAATTTGCCGGGCGTGGTGGTGCAGGCTTGTAATCCCAGCTACTCAGGAGGCTGAGGCAGGAGAATCGCTTGAACCCGGGAGATGGAGGTTAAAGTGAGCCAAGATCGCACTACTGCACTCCAGCCTGGGAGATGGAGTGAGATTCTGTCTCAAAAAAAAAAGAAAGAAAAAAGAAATGCAGTTCTCAATGAAGTGATGACCAGTCTACACACACACACACACACACACACACCAACATATATACACCTGTATGTCCATGCATACGCAAATTTGTGTATCAGCAAAAGTAGTTCCTATTGCATAGACCTATTGCATAGTTTTACTATGGACCAAGGTCTTATTTGTAAAAAAAAAAAAAAAAAAAAAGCAAAACAGAATTAAAAGGCGTATCTCTGGGCATTCAATTGAGACTACCAAAATGACAAAAAGAAAGGCTAGATTCTATAGAAAGGGAGATTTGTTTACAACTAAAGTATTTCAAAAGTTTACCAAATAAAAATAGTAACTTTTAAGGTTAATATGGGTTAAAGAATTATTGGGACAAGTAGCCTGAGTGATAAGACATAATTTAATTTGCAAATGTTTCTATCAAATAATGATCTCACTCCACTACTTCCTTCTAAATCACAGGAGGAATTAAGAAACAATGTGAGATCTAATTACAATGCCCAATATTTGTATAACAGTTTATGGTTTACAAAGTTCTTTTTCTTTTCTTTTTTTTTTTTTTTTTGAGATGGCGTCTCACTCTATCGCCCAGGGTGGAGTTCAGTGGTGTGATCTCGGCTCACTTCCACCTCTGTCGCCCAGGTTCAAGCAATTCCCCTGCCTCAGCCTCCCGAGTAGCTGGGATTACAGGCACCTGGCACTGCACCCAGCTGATTTTTGTATCTTTAGTAGAGACGGGGTTTCACCATCTTGGCTAGGCTGGTCTTGAACTACTGACCTCGTGATCCACCCGCCTCGTCCTCCCAAAGTGCTGGGATTACAGGCATGAGCCACCGTGCCCAGCGATTTACAAAGCTCTTGACATACCTGTTCTCATTTGATTCTTACCACAATTTGGTGAAATAGGCAGAGTGTGTATTCTTACTCCCAGTTTGCAGATGAACAAATTGATTTAGAGAGAGTCAATGACTTTCTCAAGAAAACCTAGCTAATAATTGTCAGGTGTTAACAACAACTCAGGCTTCCTACTTCTCAATTCAGTACACTCTCAAGATAAGAATAACCGTAATGCATTTAATTGTTAATTGAGAAATTAGTAAATTGACATCTAAGAGAGACAGCTCTGGCTTATGAGCTGCTTGTCCTGCTGAAGCCCTGGCAGCCACTGACTCTACCAATCTGGCTCCTCCATGTTTGTCTGTTCTACCTCTGAACTGGCGCTAAACTTAATCCAGATCTGAGGATATTCCTGACATATAAAAATACTGGCAGCAAGGTCAACAATCTGGTTCTTATTTTGGTTCTGTAGCTTGGTTTAATGAGCAAATCTTGGAAACTAACCTTCAATTAATCAAACAGTATTATTGATCCCAAAATATGTGTAAGACATTGTGTCAGAAAAGCATTCATCATCCACTCACCCATCTACCTGTCCATCCATCCATCCATTTATCCTGTTATTATTAACTGATTATCTACTACAGCCAGGCACTCGAATCAAAGATGAACAAAATGCAGTTGCTGTTACTAAGTTTCTCACAGTTCAGTGAGGGGGAGACACATATTAGATCAGTAAAAATAAGATAAATTAAATCCAACATTGGAGTTATATTCAGAGTATTACTGAGGTTGGGAAAGCATTCCTGGAAGTATATCTAAAATGCACCCTTTAAGAACAAATGAAGTTAGCAGGGGGAGGAAGAGTAAGTGGTAGGGAGGAGGGTGGAGCAGAAGACACAGAAACAAAGGCTCAGAGCCAAGAGACAGCACGGTGTGCATTAGCTGTGCGTCTGGATCAAGATACCTAAAACCTAGAAGCCTATCTTTCATCCTACTTCCACTGCAGGCTCCCCAGTGAGTGCCACAGTCTCAGGAGGTACACTGGGCAAGGCCATTTTATTAGTGGCAGGGTCTACTACAGTAGTGCTTTAGGCTGATAAGCTGTGCGGAACCATGCATGCGAGTTTGCAGCCCTGCTTTAAGTGGAGGGAAGGAAAGGGAGAATCTGGTTTCTCATATTCCAGGGTGGAATGTGAGCCCAGGTTGGAATATGAGCCTCAGGGTGAGCGAGTGATTCAAGAGCATCAACAAAAACCCAAAGGAAGAATCCATGGCTAAGGGGAAGATCCAGAAAAATCCTTCAGGAGGGCACAAGAATTTTTAATGTGCAACCTTTCACCCTCTAACTCAGCACTCTAGTTGCTCGTCCTGGACCCTTCTCAGCGTTCCTTTCCTCTCCCTGGTGGGATGAGGCTGTGGATGGAGGAGAGTATGACCCCTAGTGGCTGGAGTGCAACTCTAATTGATATGGGGGGTCTGGGCTTTGGGGGACAGGACCTGACTGTATTTACAGAGCCTAGAATGGGAAGCAGGGTGTGGTAAGCAGTGAGCCTGGAGCAGGAGGGAGTGGTGAGATCAGGGCCTTTAATACCATTTTAAGTAGTCTAGAGCAGTGCTTCCCCAAAGAAATAGAATGCAAGCCACACATGTGCTTTACAATTTTGCAACAGAGATATTTAAAAAACAGCAAATTACCAAAAAGGTAAAATAAATTTTAATAATGTATTTTAATAAACCATATATGTCCCAAAGTTTACCTGTTCAACACATAATATGTATTAAAAATAATTGGTGATAGGTTTTACAAACTTTTATTATACTAAGTGTTCTAAATCTGAGTATTTTACCCTTACAGCACATCTCAGTTCTGACTGGCCACATTTCAAGTACTCAATAGTCACATGCAGCTAGTGGCTACCCTATTGGACAGCGTAGATCTAGAACTTTTCCTGAATGTACATGGGGTTGTGGAAGGGTTTTAGGCATGGCCGTGGAAGACCAGATGTGTATTCCACACACATCACTATGGTGGATTTGAGGAAGGTAGACTTCCTGGAGGCAGGAAGATGAGGTAGGAAATGATGATATGAAAGTGTAGGTGAGGGGGCTGGGCGCGGTGGCTCACGCCTGTAATCCCAGCACTTTGGGAGGCAGACGCAGGCAGATCACAAGGTTAGGAGATCGAGACCATCCTGGCTAACACGGTGAAACCCCGTCTCTACTAAAAATACAAAAAATTAGCCGGGCGTGGTGGCGGGCGCCTGTAGTCCCAGCTACTCGGGAGGCTGAGGCAGGAGAATGGCGTAAACCCGGGAGGCGGAGCTTGCAGTGAGCCGAGGTGGCGCCAGTGCAGTCCAGCCTGGGGGACAGAGGGAAACTCTGTGTCAAAAAAAAAAAAAAGAAGAAAAGAAAGTGTAGGTGAGGGGTGCCCAGGGTCTGAATCAGGAGGTAGGGAGGTGATAGTGAGTGTAAGAGGGGAATGTAAGTTAGAAAAACGGAAACCACCCTGGGTGTTTCAAAGAGAGGAAAATTAATGTGGTGAATTGCTCATCTAGTGATGAAACTGATGAAAAGCCAAAGAGAGAGAAATACAGCAATTTGGAGGATAGCAAAAGCAGGAAGCACTGCTGTCCCTAAGCTGGAAGGAAAAGGGAAGAGGTAGAGTCACTGGAGCCAGAGGCTGGGGCTGGCTGGTATGAGCTACAACTATGGTGGGGCCGGCTGGCACGAGGAAAGAAGAGCAGTCCTGGGGAAGACGCCATCAGAGGCAGAGAAGGGAAGGAGAAATACCCTGGCCTTCCCCCTCTTCCCACCTTCCAGCCTTCCAACAGTGCTTCCCATTGCCAAACCTACCTGGAAGGCAGTTGACAAGGGAAACGTACCTTCCTACAATGCAGGGGGAATCGCTCTGAGGGCAAACAGGCAAGCAACAAGTACAAGGCAAGCAACAAGGGTACGGAGACAAATGTTTAAAACTTTTAAGAGGCAAGCTGGCATAAGTCAAAGACTGATGGTAACAAAGAAAGGAGTCAAAGTGACCACTGGCCTTCCCAGACACAGCATTTCCAAGACAGCCTTATCTGTCCATCCATTCCTCCCTTAGGGTGGGTCCTTTCCCAGGAGGACTTGCAATCCCTTGTGTGAACAAGGTTTGGAAGCTCACCAGATTCAAGACATGTCTAACGCCCAGCAGGCGCTCACATTAGACATCCCACTACGCTGGCTTTGTTGACAAGGTGGATGGGGATGCTGCAGATAAGAGACCCAGAGGAGGAGCAGATCTGGGGATAAGACTGAGGGTTTAGTGTTAGAAATGTTGAACTGAGGCACTTATAGAACACCAAGGAAAGATGGCCAGCAGATATTTGGATATTTGAGCTGAAATTCCAGGGAGAGGTCATGGCTGAATAGATAATTTAGGAGTCCTCAGCACCCAGGAGTATCCAAAACATAAATTTGATGAGATTACTCAGAGAGAACATGTAGAATGAGAAGAGACGCTAATGAGGAAGAAACCCTAAGAAGAGCAAAACACAAGAGTGCTGAGAGCAGAGGTGTTTCTGGCCAAGAGGGGTGGAGAGAGAAAGAGGAGAACTAGGAGGGTGCCAGGCTCTCTGAAGCCCAGGAGTGGACTCTTTAGTGAGTCTTAAAAAAGAACTCCCTCATTTATTCATTCAACCAATACTCTGGACACAGCAGTAAAAAACACAAAAATCCCTGCTCAGATATGATTTACATGTTCATGTCACTGCAGCAAAGAGGTCCATATAAACAAAGAAGGAATAGGGTTTATATGATTGAAAATCAGAACAGCTTTGGTGAAAAACGAGTGCAATTCCAACAGTGATAAGCTCAGAAAACAGATCACTGTGTGCTGAGCAAATGATGGGCAAAGGAGTAGAGATGCTAGGTGCAAACAAATCTTTTGAGAAGTTGTATAAAAAGGAAGGAGCAACAGAGCATATGATAGAAGTAGCGGAGGTTCAAATGAATGTTCATTTTCTTTAGCTAAGACAGCCTTGCTAGTACTCTTGCATGTATATATGGGCTAGCTGCTAGGCAAAAGGAGTCAGGAAAGATGAGGAAGCTGAAGATTTGAAGAGAACATACTTGATGGAGCCAGATTCTGATGCAAATAGGAGGTGAGGTCCTCAAAAGGTCTTGTAAATTAAGAACAGCTGTCCAGGTGTGGTGGCTCGGCACTTTGGGAGGCTGAGGGGAGCGGATCCCTTGAGCCCAGGAGTTCAAGACCAGCCTGGGCAACATGGCGAAACCCCGTCTCTACTGAAAATACAAATAATTAGCTGGGTGTGGTGGTGCAAGCCTGTAGTTCCAGCTACTTGGGAAGCTGATGTGGGAGAATCACCTGAGCCCAGGGGATAGAGGCTGCAGTGGGGCATGATTGTGTCACTACACTCCAGCCTGGCAGACAAGAATGAGACCCTGTCTCAAAAAAAAAAAAAAAAAAAAAAAAAAAAAAAAAAAAGAATAGCTGAATGGGTATGCATTTAGGAGAAAATTTTTTTTACTGTTCTTTTTTTTTTTTTTTCTAGCAACCACCAAAATAACAAACAAATTCAAAACCAACCTAAGGGTAGGATATGTGCTTCACTCAGGGTGTTCTATAAGGGGACAAAGAGAGAAGCCTTTCCCCCTCCTCCTCCACTCCTGCACTCTCTACCTGGTCTTGCCTCCATAATATCTTAGTAGCTAAAACAGGACCCAGCATGACTTTCCCAGCCCATTCAGCACCATGACTCTCCAGAGGCCCTGATATGCAAAATTTCCCAGGCAGCAGAAGTGCTCGGGATTCTGGAAACAGCCAGTCCTGGGGATCCCAGTGTACAGCTGGGGATGTGGGGGACCAGTTAGCATCTGGCCACCACTGAGTGTAGAAGGGGAGGCACTCCTATGAGTGTCCCACCCTGGGCTGCTCACGGGGCTGCGGACAAAGCCAATTCCCAGGTTCTAGGACATCCTTCCCTAAAGGAGAGACCTCAGGCTAGTGTGGGAAGATGTATAGGGAACACAAAGAAGGTGCAGGCTAATCTCCCATTCCAGCTCCTCTGCCTACTCTGCTCCACTGTCTCACCACACCTTTCTACGTGAAGATAGAACTGATTTTAAAGAACGGATGTAGGGTGAGTTTATCTTCAGTGACCGCACTGAAAGCCCTTCCAAGCCAGGCCCAGCCTGGCCCATGCCCTAGGTCCTCCCTAATTGGACCACAGGGCAGAGAGACAGTGGAGGGAGCCTCCCTTGCTGGCTTTTCTGGGACCAACACAGCGGTGTGTGCTCGCTCCATGCAAGGTCATTGTCACACATGCTCAGTGAGTTCTCCAGGACACATCTATGCAATGATTTCCTTCCTGAGAGAGTCGTCAAAACAAATCCCATCTTCCTGTGATGTCAGCTTCTTCCCACACACCTGCAGTCACAGGCCAAGTCCCAAAATGATGACTGTCTAAAAGAATATACAGAAGTAATAACAATAAAAAAATCTCTAAAGGGCCAATCAAGGAGAAAGGCTAGTGGTGCATGCATGCATATGTATATATCTGCGTCTATGTTTGTATATATGCATATATGTATACACAGATATTCTCACAAACATATACATTCTAAACAATAAATGTGCACCAATAATAATTAATTTCATTCAGAAATTATTTCAGAAAATAATTCCATTCAACTGCTTACCTACATAAAACAGAATAGAAGATGGTAGTTTGGGCTTTAAAAAATTACTTCTAATGCAGTTTGTTTACAATTATAAAATAACCAGATGGAAAGCAGTCTGGGGAAAAAATCTGTTTCATCACTGGAGTGAACAAACACAATTAGAATGCTAAAAACAATAAGTCTCATGAAAATGAACAGAGCAAGGACTTTTTTCTTGAATAGTGTTTGGATGAATTACGGCCACCTAAACTCCAGTAATCTCTTGAGACTCAGTAACCCCTATGGCACCAGCTGCAGGCAAAAGAAAAAGAGCTGGCTAATTTGAAATCGACCATTAACATTCATTTTTTTCTCTTGCTACCATTGTAGCAACTGTGGTCTGTCATCTTTGCCTTCCATGTGGCATTGCATTTCATGTGAAGAAAGCAAGATTGGCAAGCTTCCATCTCCTTCCCTCACTCATTCATTTTCTGCTTAGAAGAAAAAAAAAAACAACAAGTTATCTTCAAGTGACTTTGAGTAACCTGAGCTAAGACAATTAGAAATCCATTTATTATTAATGTGCATTTTTTCTTTTTTTTTTGGCATGTGAAGATTTTAAGTAAAAGAGCACGTTTTATTGTTTGTGCTACAAGTACTGAGAGTATCTAAAAAGAAAACCATAGAATAATTTGTGCCATCAATTTCATTGAAAATATCTAGACATACTGCACACAGGAAAAATGTTGACCAAAAATGTAGTCATTGTCTGTTATAATACAGTAGTAGAGGACAGAAAGTAAATTTCCATGTTGTTCCTTATCACAACAGCACGTGGTAAACTACTTAGTCATGTTGCTGCTCTAAGAATGGAAAGACAGGTTACAGGATATAAAAGTGAAGTATTTATTAAGAGCATTTTAAAGCCAAGGGGCAAACCACATTTGATTATTTCATTACCTTGTTTTTTTTTTCTCCTTACCAACTTCCACTTAAAATATTTGAACATTTTTTCTTTTTTAACCGAATCATATTTTTATTAATATAACCAAGTTCGCTTTTTTTTTTTTTTTGAGATGGAGTCTCACTCTGTCACCCAGGCTGGAGTGAAGTGGCACAATCTCGGCTCACTGCAACCTCCACTTCCCTGGTTCAAGTGATTCTCCTGTCTCAGCCTCCTGAGTAGCTGGAATTGCAGGTGTCCACTACCACACCTGGCTAATTTTTGTATTTTTTTTTTTTTTTTTTAGTGGAGACAGCGTTTTGCCATGTTGGCCAGGCTGGTCCTGAACTCCTGGCCTAATGTGATCCACCCAACTCAGCCTTCCAAAGTGCTGGGATTACAGGCGTGAGCCATGACACCCAGCCCAAGTTCACTTTTAATAAATGTATTTTTAATGGAAAAATATCCACTATCTTGACATATTCACATAATCATATTAAACATTTTTATTTTTTCACATTATTTTTTCATTTGAATAGATTTCTACTGGTTGTTACTAAAATATATTATTTTTATTCTTTTTTAATACTTGATGTTAGCTTACTGATATTTGTTTTATGTTTCCATATAGTATTCTTAATAATTATTTTAAATGACCATATAATATGCTGTCTAGTATATATATATATGTATATGTACTTATATATAATTTTTTTAACTATAACCATTTTGTTACGTATTTAGATTGTCTTCAGGTTTTTTTCTACTATAAATAATGCTATGACAAACATCTACAATCTACTTTTTTCATATTTCTGATTTCCTATTATTTTATTTCCATATATTTAGACTACCAGAATTAGAATTATAGAGTTACATTGAATAAATCTTTATTGTAATTGACACTATTTTATTTTATTTTATTTTATTTTATTTTATTTTTTTATTTTATTTTATTTTATTTTATTTTATTTGAGGAGTCTCTCTCTGTTGACCAGGCTGGAGTGTAGTGGCATGATCTTGGCTCACTGCAATCTCCATCTCCTGGATTCAAGTGATTCTCCTGCCTCAGCCTCCCGAGTAGCTGGGATTACAGGTGCCCACCACCACACCTGGCTGATTTTTGTATTTTTAGTAGAGACAGGGTTTCACCATATTGACCAGGCTGGTCTCCAACTCTCGACCTCAGGTGATCCCCCCCACCTTGGCCTCCCAAAGTGCTGGGATAACAGGAGTGAGCCACCGCACCCGGCCGATACATTTTACTTTAATCATTTTCTCTACTAGGCATTATTTCTTTTCTTTCTTTTTTTTTTTTTTTGAGACGGAGTTTCACTCTTGTTGCCCAGGCTGGAGTGCAATGGCGTCATCTTGGCTCACTGCAACTTCCGCCTCCCGGGTTCAAGCGATTCTCCTGCCTCAGTCTCCCGAGTAGATGGGATTACAGGCACACACCACCACTCCCGGCTAATTTTTTGTATTTTTAGTAGAGACGGGGTTTCACCATGGCCAGGCTGGTCTTGAATTTCTGACCTCAGGTGATCCGCCCGCCTCGGCCTCCCAGAGTGCTGGGATTACAGGCGTGAGCCACCGCGCCCGGCTACTAGGCATTATTTCTAACTGGAAGCATCTGTGGGCCCACTGCAAAGCCTTTTAACTGATTTCTCTTCTCCTTTCTTTCATCTTAAATCACCAACCAACACATCATAATCTGTGTAAAACACAACTTTCATTCGGTTTTTCCTGACAGTAGCACCAGAATTTCTCTTTTAAAATGCAAAACTCATGCAGTCAATTCTTATAGTTCGTGGATTTTATATTTGTGAATTTGCTTACTCACTAAAATTTATTTGTAACTCAATATCAATACTCATCGCACTTTAATGGTCACTCTCAGATGTGTAGAGAGGTGAAAATTTCAAGTCACCTGATATGCATGTCTTCCACTGAGATTCAACAAGGTGAAACCCTCCTTCTTGTTTCATGCTTTCTCATACTATAAATAAGTGTTCTTTGCATAGTCTACTTAATATCACGTTTTTTGCTTTTTTCAGCATAGGACTGAAGTAACTTCTAGTGTTCCTAGTGCAAGAAAGCTATAATGGGCCTTACAGAGAAAATTATCTGTTAGATAAGCTGCTTTCAAGTGTCAGTTGCAGTGCTGTTGGTCCTGGGTTCAATGTTAATGAATCAACAATGTATATTAAATAAAGTATCTTCAAATAGAAATACGCTTAACACAAGATTGCATATTGATCGATTGTTGAAAATGTTGGCTGGCACAGTGGCTCATGCCTGTAATCCCAGCACTTTGAAAGCCCGAGGTGGGAGAATTGCTTCACCCAGGAGTTCAAGACCATCCCAGGCAACATAGCGAAATGCCACCTCTACAAAAAAATTTGTTTTAAATTAGCCGGCTGTGGTGGTGCAAGCCTGTAGTCCCAACTACTCTGGAGGCTGAGGTGGAAGAAGTGCTTGAGCCTGGGAGGTTAAGGCTGTAGTGAGCCATGGTCACAGCACTGCACTCTAGCCTGGGAGACAGAGTGAGACCTTTTTTTAAAAAAAAATATATATATGCATATAATATATATATATTATATATATTATATGTATATATTATATATATATTATATGTATATATTATGTATATATTATATGTATATATTATATGTATATATTATACATATATTATATGTATATTATATTATATAATATATTATATGTATATATTTTCTATATATATATTTGTGATCAGAGGCTCTAGGAATCTTACCATGAATAAGAATCAACTGTATTTGCATGCTTTGCTTAAAAGCATTTTAAAACCGCTCATTAACAGAGCAAAGTTTATATTCCAAAGGCTGCCATTCAAGGTCTACACCTTTATGCCCTGAACTAATTTTCTGACCTTATCTTTGACTAATCCCCAGTGTAGACTTTTGTTGCTAAGAAAAATTCATATATGATTATACAAGAAATAATCACCTTTGGTTCTGCCAAGAAAAGCCTATCTGGTGGGACAAACAAATTCCGCTTCAAGATAAAATTCTACAGCAAAAAGGCCCCCATTTCTCAGACACCTAGAAAAGGGTGTTTGTCATTTTACTTCTCTTGGCAGCATGCTCTCAGGATCCACTGTTTCTAGAAAACTGTTTTGTTGTTACCATGTTACTGACTTCATCCATAGACTTATAGCCAAGTCAAGCTATATTTATTCCAATCAATGTGAGCTCCTGGCTCCTGAGAGCATGCTGATGTTAACTCTGACATTCTCTTAAAGCATGCTCAGTTCTGCAGCCAACAGCTGTTCCAGAAAGCATAAACAAATAATGATAGCACAGAGCAGAGCTATTATGGGTAGGCACAAACATTTTTAATCAGTTGCAGGAGTTTTTGGCAATAAGAATTTCAGATCATTGGATTGGACCTGGGTTCAATTTCCGGTATATTTCTTGCTATAACAAAGGCCTTCTCCATCACTCCAAACCATCCAGAGTCCAATATTTCTTTATAGCCTGTGTGACAGCCTTATGGGAAATAAAAAGGGTATAGCCCCCAAATTCACCTTTCTGCCAAGGGCAACGCAGAGGTAGCATAGTGGAGTAGCTTAGTGGTCAGTGACCAACAGCAATGGCAGCTCCAGGAGGAATGTGAGTGGCAAGAGACACAACCACAATGTGGAACAGGCTCAGGAGGCAAGAATTTCCCCAAATACTCTTTCAAAGGAGTCTGAGATCTGGGTGGCATACCATGTATGGACATGTTACTCCAATAGATTCCCCCCTGCTTATGGGATTAATTCCAAATTCTTCAACTTCAAAAAACAAATTGATGCCAAACCCCCTTGCCACATCATCTCCTCCCACCCCACCCCAACCATATGCTCCCTGTGACCCAACCTCTTTCTGCTCTCCAGGCACATCACTTCCTTGCCAGCCTCAGCTCCCCTCCCCGCACTGTGCAGGCTGCCCTCTTTTTTTCTGAATGGATTGAGCCTTCTCACCTATCATCTCCTCTGAGCAGTGCTTCCAGCCTGCTCAAGCCAATGTGGAGTTGCTCCCTCCTTCCTCTATGCTCCAGTGCACTCCAAATCTACTCGTATTGGAGGATAATGATTCATTGTTGGCTGCCTCCTCAACTGGGCTACAGAACTTACAGCAAAGACTGAGTCTTTCTCCTATTTGTGTCTCGGACGTCAGACCGGTGCCTGCCATGTGTAGGTGCACAGTGAGTCCTGATGGCTACATGAATGAATACAGGGATACATTTTTGAAATGTTAATTCATGTACTTTGTTTCTAAAAACTCCCTGGCTCTTGGTTGTCCCATAGCTTCTGCTTAACAGCTAAGCTTGGTTGGCTCAGATGGTGAGTTCCTTCCGAAGTTGAAAGAGATAACTAGGTGGCATGACTTGCTGTTCTGGGGAAAAAGAACCAGACAGAAGAGAAGGTGCGAGCAGACACTGAGAGAAAGTGGAAGGCCCATCCCCACCCAGCCCAGGGCAGAGGGGGAAGGAGAAAAAAGATGGAGGTCAGGGAAGCAAACGGGCAAATAGGTTTTGACTTCCCCAAAAAGGTGGGTGCTACGAGGTGCGGGGAAGCTGGAAGACAGGGACCTTGTGCTGCACTCCCTGGTTAGAACTCTGGAAGGAGACATATGGGGTAGTCCCAAGCAAAAAATATGGGGAAGTCCCAAGCAGCCACCTGCACTGAGAGAAAGTCGCACTGGTGCCTCGGAAGACCCTCTTGTCTTCTGTGGTATGGAAAGGCCCCAGAAAGACTTACAAGCTTCTTAGGTGTGCAGCAGGTAGCTGAAGGGAACTGCTGTGATGATTGTAGAAGAAACCGTGAGGGAACTGCTGCGTCAAGGCTGTGGTTTGGACAATTCAAGCCAAAGGCCAGATGCAGAACTTGGCTAGGACTTCGAGGGGTTCACAGCTCCAGTAAGAGCAGGGGCCCTGTGTACAAGGGAGGACCAAGAGAACAGGTCTCAAACCACCAGCCTCAGGCTTCAGTTGCAGATACTGGCAGAGTCCCCCCGTGACCAGGAGAAGAAGGGAACTATCTGTGGGGACCAGAGGACCATGAGATCTCTGTGGTCCTCTTATAGACAGGACCCCCTACAAAGTCATAACAATATCCATATCCATACCCATAGTTACTATCTTGGGAAGAACAAGGCTTGAAGGAGAAATCTAAAAGACGCAGAATTTACATTGTAAAAGAACAGGTCAAATCAAAAGCAACCAGGACATAGATTGAACTGGCCAGTTAGGGGTTCCCATCTCACCCTTATCCAAGGAAGAGAGAACTTCAGAGGGAGATTTGTCCAGCTAAACAGAGAACTACATTTTGAGAGGTATATGAATTGCCCTATGTTAATTTTTCAACTCTATTAAAAATGCAAGAAAAAAGACAAAAGAGAAAGGGCCAGGTCAATACATATTTCATGAAAAGAAACACCCTGCAGGGATACAGTGATGGTGGCCTGGGGACTCCTGTGCCATTTTGCCCAGTAATCTGCCTCACGTCTACATTTTCAGACCTTCCTCTTTTGTCAGAGGGCTGTGCTTCCTCAAAACCCTAGGAAGAGAAGAAACCGAGCCACACACACCCTGAGTCTGGGCTTCAAAAGTCAGCTGCTGCTCCAGCTGCTGTTGCTGCGCCTGTCAGATAGGATTTGCCTCTTGGCCACCTCTTGCTGAAAGGCTTAGAAACGTGTGTGTGTGTGTGTGTGTGTGTGTGTGTGTTTGTGTGTGTGTGTTTCTGTTTTATTCATCTTTGAGTCTAGGGGCCTTAGGGCATCACAGTTTGACACTCACAACCTGCCCACAGTCACCCGCCTTGTTGCTAGTGGATGGGGACTGAACTATCCTCCTGACTGACACCATGAGCTCTTGGGTCTAGCAGGTTAGGCTGTTTCCTGGTGCATACCTTTGCCTCTGCTAGCCTCCCTGGCAGAAACTCTGGATGGGTGCAAAAACCCAAGCCCGTCACTCTTTCAGTTTCCTACTGTGGCTTCTCTGCCTGAATTCTGAGTCTAGCTCTAATAGACCTTGAAATCTGTGTTAGAAACTCCAGCACTAGCTTCTCCACAGTAAGGAAGAATACTGGCTACTTCATTTGCCTACAAAGCCTCCCAGCTGCTTACCTGGTAACTGGTGACTCCCCTCTATCCACCCCCAGCCTACCCCCACCCTGCCCCCACCAATCACCCCAGCTTCCTCCACATCTCCCTGGCCCTGCTTGGCCTCATTCAGTAAGTGGCTTCCCATGTGTTCCTCTCAACCATTTTTATTCTTGCAACATTCTGAAAATTCACATGGTGATATATTTAGCTATAGCTAGTTACCACATATTCATATATTCAGTCACTGTGAAGGGTGTAACATGCATTAATTCATTTAATCCTTCAAGAACCCTAAGATGAAACAAATGGGAAAACTCATGGGTAGAAGGGCTAAGAGTTTTGCCCAAAGCCACAACTCAAAGGAGAACTCAAAGTACCAGGGATATACAGGCAATCAGAAATGCTGAAATGAATTTACACATAAGTGTAAAACTGGTCAAGATCAACAGGGCAATAAGCAATGGCATTCCACTGGACACGGTTCATTTGCATTTCTATGGATAATGATCATTTGCATTATTGCCAATTTTCTGCATTTACAGTATAAAATAACTCAAGGCTGGAGCCAGGGCTCACAACTGTAATCCCACTGTTGTGGGAGGCCGAGGCGGGAGGATCACTTGCGGCTCAGCACTCCAGCCTGAGCAACAGATCAAGGTCCTGTCTCTAAAAATAATAAAATAATAATATAAAATAATTCAAAGACAATGAAAAGTAGAGATAAACTGGAAGGTTGTGCTACACAAGATATCCAGAAGTTATTTTTATCCATTTTAAGGTCTTTTACAATTTTTTTGACATCGTGAACATAACATTTTATTGCACAAATATATCTTAACGCAAACACTCTCCACCCATACACACACAGAAACTGGTCTAGATTCAAGTTCTGGATAGACATTCCCTCTTCAGAATGAATATAATAGAAATGCCTGGACACTCTCTAAGAGGCACCTGTTAGGGATAAGTATTCCACAACCATGTATTATTCCCAAAGGACTCACCCAATATCATAGGTTATTACAATTTTCTTTCAAAATCATGTTATGGACAGGTTGTATTGGAATAGTCACCTCTTAGCTTTAATGCCTGTCAGAGCTCATAGGAAGTCTTAAAACCCTTATTAAATATTTTGACTAGAAACCTACCTTCCTTTGCTCTAACAGAACAAAACAAATGTTTACCAAAAGTACTTCCTAAAAGAGGATATGATTCTGTCTTTAAGAAACCACCAATTTCTTTCTTCCCTAAACACCTGTTTCCTGCCTTGAGGATTTAGCCTCTTTGGTCACTCAGAATTTAGTGTAGTTTTTGGCTCATCCTAATTTCAGATTTATGTTGTACTTTACCTTCTTTCTTCTCATTTGACTGTTTCCATGAATGAGAACCTGGTGTGTATGGAGCAGGATTTCATTATACCAGGAATTGCTGCAATTCTTAGTTTCAGGAGTATGTTGCATTTAAATGTGGGGACAATGTGTGCGTATTGTAATTGAACTCCTAACCACTGGCTTCCTGTTCTCTGAGAGTCCTTCATTTCCCAGTTATTATCTCTCCTTGTCATGTATCTTTTATAGCACCCAGCACTCTCTACACCTGATTGTTCATTGTTTGTTTCCTGCTACTTTTCTGACTCCCATGTAAGTCTCGTGAAAGCAGATGCCAGAATGAGGAGATCAAATTAACATTTGTTAAGTGAATGACTCACTAAAGCGAGGACCTTAAGGGTTTTTTCTAGGACAGAGCATAGAGGTATTAGTTTGGATTGATCCAGCGGCATCTGTCGCTTGGTTTCTGGTGTGACAAAGACAAGCTCTGGGGTGGTGACTGGCTAGGGGCAGCATGAAATCATTAGGCAGAACTGAAATCACCATCTTGGCTGCATTGGCATAGCTCAGACCAGCACAGAGTCCCTGCTTGGAGAAGGAAAGCTGCCTAGGGGCCATCAGGCAGGACTAACAGGGTAGGAACATAGGAGGTGGGCAGAGAGCAGCAGGGAGATGTCCAGCAGGAAGCGCCCATCCTGGCAAGGGGCAGAGAGCTCCCCTCTGAACAGAGTGGGCCGGCCCAGGGCGGGTGGGGAGGGCTCTGAATCAGGGAGAGAATTCACCACAGCCACATGGCTGACAGCAGCCACCCCACCGCCACCCGCACTGAGCATGCCAAAGCTTTCCCAAGGCCAAAACAAACAGCTGTGGAAAATGATTCTCCAGCAGATCTGGAATTAACTGCACTTCTAGAGACACTTATGGAGGTCTCGCTCATTGTCGTGCCGAGAATCAGCATGTACACGTCCCTGTATTCTGGTCTTCCTTTCATTTCTGATTTTGCAAATTCACATTGGATATGACTTTCTGTTTTTTAGAATTTTTAAGAAGGTAGAATTAAATAAGCATAACTTCAATATTTTTCATCCTGACTTCCCTGTACCCAAACAGCAAACCTAGCAACATGTTAGAGGAAAATATTGAATAGCACTCACCATTTATGTCATTCATGAAAGCTATCCTTTGGAGAAGCTGGATGAATGAGAATAACTTGCCATGGGAAATGTGCTTATAAAAACTTGAGATTGCTGTTAATGGGCTAAATACCTTTGAATTTGAGGACAGTGTAGGCAGAGGCCGATTATATTCAAGTGTGAGGACAGTGTGACATTGAGTTTCAGAAAGACAGGGCAACTGTTGGTTAGGCTTCAAACTCATAAAAACAGCACACTCACTGACATGGTCTCATGGCTATGGATGTATGGAGAATAAACGAACTAATGTGACACATTAGGAAAAAAAGATGTTTATTAGATGTTTTGGTGTGATGGAATAGCTAAATTGTAAGAGGAGATACGTTCTCAAGAGAGGAAATATCCAGATGTGCAAGGCCCTGGATCAGGATGTGAAGAATGTTTCACATTTACACATTGACTGAATAAAAGGAAGTCTCAGGGCAAATTATTTAAATAAAGTGATAGTAAACAATTTCCTAAAATTATTGAGAATTCTTTCTCTTTCTTTAGCAAATGCCCACCTATAAATTCTCTTTGCTCACTTTCTATGCACATTATTCTTTTTTTGTTTTTTTTTAATTTTTTTTGAGACGGAGTCTCTCTCTGCTGTCCAGGCTGGAGTGCAGTGGCACAATCTCTGCTCACCGCAACCTCCTCCTCCTGGGTTCAAGCCATTCTCCTGCCTCAGGCTCCCAAGCATCTGGGATTACAGGCACGTGCCACCACACCTGGCTAATTTTTGTATTTTTAGTAGAGGGATTGGCCTGACCTCAGGTGATTCACCTGCCTTGGCCTCCCAAAGTGCTGGGATTACAGGCGTGAGCCACCACCCCCAGCCTACATTATTATTTCTATTCAAACTGATACTAATGACATATTCTAAGATAATGTTCTCTTAGTTAACTATAAAGCTTCAGAACAAGGGCCTCTCATTCAACCTCAGAAAACCCCACGGTTTCTAACCATGCCCTCAGTTATTACGGCAAGGAAAGAGATTGGTTCCAAAATCACATAAAGGTGACAGCTGCTCTGAACTCCCTAGTTTCACAGTGTTCTCAGATCCAAGGCAGCCACTCCACTTCAGCCCTTTTTAAGCATGACCACATCTGTCTTATCTACTCAGATCTCTAATCTGACCACAGCTCTCCATCCTGTACATTCCCCTATTCACTCATTATTACCATATCTGCATTATATCACCCTCATTGGGAAATGTATTTGTTCATTTAACAACGATGTATCGAGAGCCTACTCTGTGCCTGACACTCTTCTTATAATACACTAGTGAACAAAACAGACAAAAGTCCCTGGGGCTATGGTGGGCAAGGAGGGATATAATAAACAATAGACATAACATGTTAGGTGAGAAGGTGATATGTGCTCTGGAAAAATAGAGCACACTAAGAGGGGTCCGGGAGCTGGGGGTGGGTTGCAGTCAGTGGCGTGCAGCAGCTGGCTGACTGATTGTGGCATCTCTTCCCAACTCCATGTTCAGAACACTCATTGAATGGCATCACCTTGGTAGCTTGAAATCACTGAATATTTACAACACAGAAATTGGCGAATGCACGTGGGCATGGTGGCTCACACCTGTAATCCCAGCACTTTGGGAGGCTGAGGCCGGCGGATCGCTTGAGCTTAGGAGTTGGAGACCAGCCTGAGCAACATGGTGAAACCCCGTCTCTACCAAAAATACATAAAAATTAGCCGGGTGTGGTGGGCCTGTAGTCCCAGCTACTCAGGAGGCTAAGGTGGGAGGATCTCTTGAGCCTAGGAGGCGGAGGTTGCAGTGAGCCGAGATTGTGCCACTGCACTCTAGCCTTGGTAACAGAGTGACTGTCTCAAAAAAAAAAAAAAAGAAAGAAATTGGCAAATGCTACAAAGTTCAGCTTGTTTTTTCTCTAGACAGGCAGCTGATAATCATTTACCAGTATGCTACTGGTATGATTTTAAATCAAACACTGACACTTAAGCAAAGACATGAATGAGGTGACAGTTGGCCTTGTGGAGTCTAGGAGAAGAGCATTTGCAGCCATGGAACAAACACTGCAAAGGCCCTAAATCGAGAGCAGGCCCAGTATGTCCTAGGAATGGCAAACAGTCCAGTGGGCAGAAACAGAGAAACAGAGACAGAGGCATGGTAAAGACCAGCTTGGTGGGATAACTTGAGAGCAGATTGTGGAGACGTTTGTAAGCCATTGGAAGGACTTTAGCTTTTACTCTGAAAGTGACAGGAAACTATTGGAGGTTTTAGAAGAGACAACCTCAGGATTTGTGTGTGTGTGTGTGTGTGTGTGTGTGTGTGACAGAGTTTCACTCTTGTCACCCAGGCTGGAGTGCAGTGGCGCAATCTCAGCTCATGGCAACCTCCGCCTCCTGGGTTCAAGAGATTCTCTTGCCTCAGCCTCCCAAGTAGCTGGGATTACAGGTGCACGCCACCAGCCTGGCTAATTTTTTGTATTTTTAGTAGAGATGGGGTTTCACCATGTTGCCAGGCTGGTCTCAAACTCCTGACCTCAGGTTATCCACCACCTTGGCCTCCCAAAGTGCTGGAGTTACAGGCATGAGCCACTGCACCTGGCAGGATCTAATTTTTTTTTTTAAAGGGTCACTTTGACTGCCATATTGAGAATAGGCTGAGTTGGAGGAGTTGATGGGATGTGGAAAGGTATAAGCAGGGAGGCCTGTTACAAAACTATTCGGGCCATTCTACTCATCATCTGGATGAAATATGATGGGTCAGAGTGAAGGCAATGGATATGGTGAGAAATGGTGGGATTCTAGATCTATTTTGAAAGTACCAACAGAAGGTGCCAATTGATTGGATCTGGAGTATCTGAGAAAGAAGTAAAAGCTGACACTGAGGCTTTTGGCTTGGACAAATGGAAGGATGGAGTTGCCATTAACTGAAAAATAGAAGACTACGGGTAGAGCAGATGCGGGAGCAGGGCAGGGTAGGAAGCCACAAGTTTTGTTTTGGATAAATTGAATTTGGGATATCTATTATGTTGAGCAGGAGATGGTTGTATGAGTCTGACTTTCAGGAGAGAGGTCTTGCCTGGTGTTATACATTTGGGAAGCATAGATGCCATTTAAAGCCATGGGACTGGATAGTAACACCAAGGAGTGAGTATAGATAGTGAAGAGAAAAGGAACAAGGATTTAGCCTTACAATACTCCAAGTTTAACAGATCAGGGAGAAAAGGAACCAGCAAAGAAATGCCAGAAAGGTAGGAGAAAAACCCAGCCAGAGTATGGCACCATAGAGGCCAAGTGAAGAAACTGTATTAAGTATGAGGAGGTACCCAACAGTATCTAATGCTGCTGATAAACCTGGTAAAATGAGAACTGAGAATTGACCACTGTATTTAGCAAACTGGATGTCACTGGTGGCCCTGACCAAAGTATTTTCAGTGGAGTATCAGTGGAGAGAAGGCTCATTGGAGTGAGTTTAGGAGAGAATGGGAGGAGGGGAGTTTGAGACAGTGAGTATAGGAAACTTCCAAGGACATTCACTGCAAAGCAGAGCAGAGGAATGGGGCGGTAGCTGGCAAGGGAATTAAGGTCAAGAGAAGGGTTTTGTTTTCTTTTATTTTGCTTGAAGATGAGAGAAATAACCATGAATTTGTATGGTGATGGGAATGAGCCAGTAAAGAGAGAAACTTCAATAGAGAGGAACTTTATTCCCTCAATCCTTCTTTTCTCTCTCAGGCTGGCTTCATTTCCCTCTTTAGCCAGCCTGCGCCTATGACTGGCTACTTCTATTATGCTTTTACTAACCCCTTAGAATGCCTCCTTTTGTCATTCCTTCCTTCCCAAGTCCACCATTTTATTTTTTCTCTAAAACTCGTGTCTTGCCAATTGGCTTTACTACAATAGATTCATGCTACCTAACCTCAGTTGAACCCACAAGGCTACACAACCACTCTTGTATTCTTACATGGTTTACTTCCTAGCAAATGACCAACAATATTTATTTCAATTTTTAAAATTCTTATTCATTGTTCATTCAAAGCAAATTTATTGAGCAACAATCACGTTTCAGACACTGGAGCCTGACATCCAGCCTCCCACTGCTTCCTGGAGTCTAAAAAAGACAGGGTTTCTTTTTTTCTTTTTTTGAGACAGGGTCTCGCTCTGTCACCCAGGCTGGAGTCCAGTGGCATAATCATGGCTCACTGCACTCTTGACCTCCTGGGCTCAAAGCGATCCTCTCGCCTCAGCCTCCCAAGGAGCTGGGACCACAGGTGCACGCCACTGCACTCAGGGAATTTTTGTATTTTTTTGTAGAGATGGGGTCTCTCTGTGTTGCCCAGGCTGTTGTTGAACTTCTGGACTCAAGCAATCTTCCCACCTTGGCCTTCCAAACTGTTGGGATTACAGGTATGAGCCATCATGCCCAGCCCACCCCAAATTCTTAGCAGATGAACTTTATTCCACTTTACTGAAATGATGGATATGAATTCCTTTCATTTGCTCCCTTTCTTCCTTTCTTTCTTTTTTTTTTTTTTTTTTTTTTTTGAGAGAGGGTCCCACTCTGTCCACCAGGCTGGAGTCCATGGCTCACTGCAGGAGACGTCCCAGGCTCAAGTGATCCTCCTACCTCAGCCTCCCAAGTAGCTGGGACTACAGATGCATGCCACCGTGCCCAGCTAATTTTTGTATCTTTAGTAGAGACAAGGATTCGCCATGTTGCCCAGGCTGTTCTCAAATTCATAGGCTCAAACAATCTGCCTGCCTCAGTTTCGCAAAGTGCTGGGATTACAGGCGTGAGCCACCTGCTGGGCTCATTTTCTCCCTCTAATTTTTAAAGACATCCTTTCCATCATTGTTTTTTAAAAGATAAAGTCTCCCTACTTATTTCAAAGATTAACTCTTCCACTTGTGCCTTGATTCTATTATCTATTACATTTAATGTCTTGTCCAGCCAATCAATCTCCCCAAACCCACTGCATTTTTTTTTTTTTTTTTTTTTGAGACGGAGACTTACTCTGTCACCCAGGCTGGAGTGCAGTGGTGTGATCTGGGCTTACTGCAACCTCCACCTCCCGGATTCAAGCAATTCTCCCTACCTCAGCCTCCCAAGTAGCTGGGATTACAGGTGCCCATCACCATGCCCAGCTAATTTTGTATATTTAGTAGAGACGGGGTTTCGCCATGTTGGCCAGGCTGGTCTTGAACTCCTGATCTCAGGTGATCTGCCCACCTCGGCCTCCCAAAGTATTGCAATTACAGGCGTGAGCCACAGTGCCCAGCCTGCATCTTTTATTTTTATTTTATTTATTTAATTTTGAGACGGAGTCTCGCTCTGTCACCCAAGCTGGAGTACAGTGGCTCAATCTTGGCTCACTGCAACCTCCACCTCCCGGGTTCCAGTTATTCTGTGGCCTCAGCCCCCTCGAGTAGCTGGGACTGCAGGTGTGACCACCACTACTGGCTAATTTTTTTTTTTTGTACTTTTAGTAGAGAAGTACTTTTGTACTTTTAGTCTCGAACTCCTGACCTCAGGTGATCCTCCCACCTCGGCCTCCCAAAGTACTGGGATTACAGGCATGAACCACTGCGCCTGGCCCACTGCATCTTTAGCATTGCCCCTCCCCGTTGCAGACCCTCCCTTCTTCCCAGAGGTAGCCACTATACAGACTTCTGAACTAATCATCCTTTTGCTTTTCAATATAAATTTTTCATATATACAGATACACACATAAGTGTGTCCTGGAAGCATGGATTGGGGCATCTGGCAGGACAGTGGTTGGGGGTGGTCAGCTCTTCTACGCTCACTGAAGCTCATCTCCACATTAGCCTGCCTGAATCTCTTATCATGTCACTGTCTTCACAGCATCTTCAGTTTCTCCTGTGGCCCCCGACTAGACTAAATCCCAAACTATGTAGATAGTGTCACGTGGTCTCACTACCTTTAAAGCAGTGTCTTCCATTGTTCCTCTTTTTGCTCCTTGTGCCAAACGCAGCTACTGGCACCATGACACTGAATGCAAGCAGGACTCAGGGCACAATCAGAAGACAGTGTGGTTCCTTCCCTTCACAGCCCCTTCAATCTTCTCTGAGGCACTTTTTGTTCTCCATGATGTTATAGCAGGTCACACAGTTTATATGCTCACTCATGGATGATAAAAGTCCTCTAGAGCCTACTAGTTCTAAGAATAGCTTCATTTCTGTACCTGAACTGTCTAATCATGTATAATAGTCAGGACTTCAGATTCCACACAGGCCTTCCTTCCCCAGTGCAGGCTGCTCCAGGCTGACACAGGGAAACAGGATGGTATCGTCAGCTTCACGGTTTACTGCGTCTGAGCTTCCAGCCATGCTTCTATCTCTCCTCTGCACGATGGTCTGCCCCGGGGTCCTCATAGAGAGGGACACCAGGAGAGGAAAGGGTAGGAGCAGGAAAGGTCCTACCTTGACTGGCAGCAGTGTGACCCAGCACTGGTTTCCTACCAGTGGAACAAGTTTAAAGCTGATATTTCTCTGGGAGTGTATTTGTGGGTCCATGGAGGCCCCGCCTGGAAGAAATACCTGCATTTCCCCTGATGCAGAGAATGCGTTTTGCTCTGTTCAGTGTCATCTCCACTCTGGGGCTTTGGGGGAACCTACTCCTGTCAGGGTCACAGCCCACTCCAGGCAAGGCTCTTGGGCAGGCCTGCTCTCTCTCCACCTCTGGCCTGTGGAAAAAGCACTCAAGCATCCTTAGTTCCCCAAACCTCCATTCCTTATGTAATTGTCCAGTTACAGACTCTTGATTTTAGAATTTTCTAGTCATGCATCCAGCAGCAGCCTCTTGTCCCCACAAAATCCCATGGGCACAGGTCCACCTCTCTGGGGGGTGTACTCAAGCCCATTTCAGTTGGCTTGAGGTGAAAGGAAAATACCTCCAAAGGGGAGGAGGGAAACTGCCGCAGCACTCACACAGCTTTTTCCAGGAAATTATCTGTCAGATTTCTAATTTCTTGCATACAATAAGCCCTTGTCTATAAATTCTAATCTTTTGTATATCCTCCAATTATGTGAGGTGCCAAGGGTTGCAAACTGGTATTTGGTAACCTTTTGAAGTCCTACGTGGGCGGTCTAGAACTTCACTTTTGAACAAACAGGTTTGTCGTCAACTCCTTTGATTTTAACTTTCGGGGGCTGCAGCTAACCTGAGACAGAGCTTGTCCCATGATGCTCTTTTCTGCTTAAAGGCTCTGGGCTTTCCTCTGGGCCCCATTCATGTTATTTCCTTTGCTTGGCTGTCCTCTCCTATCTCATGCGTAAGGGCTCAGCTCATAGCCCATTCCCTGCACAAAGCTGTCTCAAATTCCCTCAGCTACAAGCGACCTCTCCTTCCCTTCTGCCATTTTCATCCCTCTTGGAGAGCAGTTACACACTCCTGCCCCTGCATTGTAATTACTCCTGTTTCCTTACTGAATACAAAACCCTTCAGAGTGGAGAATATGCCTATATTAGTTTGCCAGGGCTACTATAACAAGTACCACAGACTGGGTGACTTAAACACCAGGAATTTATCTCCTCATGGTTCTGGAGGCTAGAAGTCCAAGATGAAGGTATGGACAAGGTTGGTTTCTTCTGAGGGCCTCTCTCTCTGGCTTACAGATGGCTTTATTCCCTCTGCATTTTCATATGATCTTCCCTCTCTGTGTAACTGTGTCCTCATCTCCTCTCCTTATAAGAATACCAGTCGGCCAGTCATGGTGGCCCACGCCTATAATCCCAGCACTTTGGGAGGCCGAGACTGGCAGATCATGAGGTCAAGAGATCGAGACCATCCTGGCCAACATGGTGAAACCCTGTCCCTACTAAAAATACAAAAATTAGCTGGGCATAGTGGTGTGTGCCTGTAGTCCCAGCTACTCGGGAGGCTGAGGCAGGGGAATCGCTTGAATCTGGGAGGCAGAGGTTGCAGTGAGCCGAGATCACACCACTGCACTCCAGCCTGGTGACAGAGCGAGACTCCGTCTTAAAAAGAAAAAAAAAAAAGAATACCAGACATACTGGATTAAGACCCACCTCATTGATGTCACTTAACCGTGATCACCTCTTTAAAGACCCTGTCTCCAAATACAGTCACACTCTGAGGTACTGGAGGTTAGGACTTGAATATGTGAATTTGTGGGGACCACACTTCAGCCCATAATAATGCCTACTCATCCTTGTAACTCCACCTGTCTTCCACATAGTGCTTATTTAACACATGCTTGAGGTCCTCAATTGAACTCCTTGAAGACCTGATGCCAAAAGCCCTGAGAAGAGACTATGAACTATGATATAGAGGTAAGAGCGTCTGTAGAGAGGGGAGTCTGAACTGAAAGAGGAGAGCTTCTATTGCCAGATTCAGGAATGTGATGGTTAATTTTATGCATCAAGTTGACTGGGCTTGGCTGGGCACGGTGGCTCAACTTGTAATCCCAGCACTTTGTGGGACCAAGGTGGGTGGATCACAAGAGGCCAGGAGATTGAGACTCAGCCTAGGCAACCTGGTGAAACCCCATCTCTACTAAAAATACAAAAATTAGCCAGGTGTGGTGGCAGGCGCCTGTAGTCCCAGTTACTCAAGAGGCTGAGGCACGAGAATTGCTTGAACCCTGGAGGTGGAGGTTGCAGTGAGCCGAGATCACACCACTGCACTCCAGCCTGGGCAACACAACTTCGTCTCAAAAAAAAAAAAAAAAAAAAAAAAAAGACTGTGCTAAAGGATGCCCAGAGAGCTGGAAACATTATTTCCAGGTGTGTCAGTGAGAGTGTGTCTAGAAGAGATTAGCCTTTGAATCAGTAGATTGAGTAAAGAAGGCACCAGTGTAGCTGGGCATCATCCAGTCCATGCAGAGCCCAGATAGAACAAAAAGGGACAGAAAGGACAAATTCTCTCCTTCTCTTCTTGAGCTGAGACATCCATCTTCTCTGCCTTTGCATATTGGAGCTCCTGGTTCTCAAGCCTTTGGACTCTGAGACTTACACCAGTGCCCCTTCAGCCCCTCTGGTTCTCAGGCCTTCTGCCTCAGATTGGGAATTACACCATCAGCTCCCCTGGTGCTCAAGTCTTTATTTAGACTTGCACTAAATTCTACCACTGATGACTTCCTGATTCTCCAGCTTTCACATGCCATACTGTGGGACTTACTGGCCTCCACAACCATATGAGCCAATTATCATAATAAATCTCTCTCTCTTTCTCAATCTCTCTCTCTCGTGTGTGTGTGTGTGTGTGTGTGTGTGTGTGTGTGTGTGTCTGTGTGTATCTATCTATCTCTATCTATTCTATACTATTGGTTCTGTTTCTCTGGAAAACCTTGCCTAAGACAAAAGGGTTGAAATTAATGAGTCAATTCATTCTTTTTTCATAACTGAGGTTTAAAGTCTAAAGAAACTACTGACTATATAGGACAAAAGGTGAAGGTGGTGCTGACAAACACTCCAGTAATGGAAAATGTAGCCACAGAAGTATTCCAGGGACACAAATACTGAGGCACCCTGGCAGACACTTTTCCCTCCTGTGTGGTGTACTGCCTGGCAGGGACACCAAAGTGCATGGCAGGAAACTCTGTCCGCTCTTAACATCGGCAACCTCAAAGGAAAGTTCGCCTCCCAGCAATCCCAGTGCCTAGGTTGGGATCTATTATCTGTGAATTTATTTAAAGTTTTTTTTTCCCCAACATAGGGCTTAATTTCTTTTGTGATTTTAAAAATAATACATGACCAGAGTAAGAAAATACACACATAAAAAGCAGAATTACATAAGTTAGGAAGTGAAACTCATTCCCTTAAGAAACATACAGCTTCAGATGCCCACACTAGAATAAAAGACAGAAAATTAATGAGTTAAACTTCCAGTTAAAGAAGTTGGAGGAAGAGCAACAAAACTATACCCTAAGAAAACAAGAGGGAGTAACTAACAAAAATATGAACAGAAACTAACAGAACAGGAAGCAAAGATATGGCAAAGACAGTAAATAAAACCAAAGTTATTTCTTTGAAAAGACTAATACATAGACAAATCACTGGCAATGCTGATCATGGAAAAAGAGAGAACGCAGAGTTTGTAACAAAAAAGGAAACAGATGTAGCAGGTAAAAAAATGAAGATACTATGATAACTTCATGCTAAGTATTCAAACTTAGATGGAATATACAAATTCTCAGAAAAACATAATTTACCAAATAATATATACCATATATATAGTCTATATATAACATATTACACACAAACATTTTATATGTGTGTATAATTTATGACATATACAATATATCTCGAAAAGAAACACCGGGTCCAAATACTTTTAAACACATGTCTTACCCAAATATTCAAGAAAGAGATAATCCCAATCTTAAACAGGCACACTCACACTAATGGAAACAGAGATACTGCTCTCGATTCAATTCATGAGGCTGGAATAACTAACCTACCTAACAACACTAGAAAAAGAGAATATAAGAAAGGAGAATTATAGAACAGCCTCACTTAAAAGCATAAATGCAAAAATCTAAGTAAAATATTGGCCACTCTGATATCATTAGCCACATTAAAAAGATTAAAGAAGAAAAATCATATGATCATCTGAAGAGAAGTAGAAAGATCATTTAATAAAATTAAACATCAGTTTATATAAAACATTTAGCCTTGGAAGAAAAGAAACTTTCTCATCCAAGTTGAAGTGTATCTACCAAAAACTACAGTAAACATCTTATTTAATAAAGAAACTTCAGAAGCATTCTTTTTAAACCCAACAAGACAAAGATGCCAACAATCTCCACTTCTATCCCAAAAAGTACTGGAAGTACTAGATAGTAAAGTAGGACAAGAAAAAGTGACAAAACTTTCAGATTTAATCAATGATTTTCATACGTTAACACTTTTAAAATTAAGATCCTTCTATCAAAATATCTTAAATTTGATGAAATACAGTAAAAGAATTAGAAAGGAATGCAAAGCTCTCCGATAGGAGACCCAACAGACAAATTAACAGAATAAATTTTCTTAGACTTCATCAGCAACAAACAGAAAATTTATTTTTAAAAAGATGCCATTTATAATACCAGCAAAAATATAAGATACACAGGAATAAATCTAAGACAATACATGTAAGAGCCTTATGAAGAAAGTTATAGAGCTGTATTAAAAAACATTAAGGAAGACCCAAATAAATGGACAGATGAATAAAGTTCAAGGACTGAAAGATCCAGTATTATAAAGTTGGCAATTTTTTCCCAATTAACCTAAATATTCAATGCAACTCCAACAAGAATCTCAAGAGGATTCTTTGACAAGCTCACTTAAAATTCCCGTGGAAAAACAAAGAACCAAGAATAGCCAGTGTACTTGTGAAAAAGAAGAACAAGGTAGAGAGACTTGTTCTCCTGGATGTCAAGATTGTCAAGATTGTCACAAGTCTCTATTTATGCACTTGTGTGATAATGGGCACAAATAGACAAACAGATCGATGGAGCAGAATAAAGTACCCAGAAATGAATCCCCACCCCACCCCCCTCCCTGTGGAAACTTGACTTATGACAGGGGCCAGGTTTGTGCTGCAAAACACTAAAGGTGCTGGGACAATTGGTCACTCTGTGGGAGGGGGAAGGATAAATTGAATCCTGACCTCATGCCACAGATAAAAATAAATTCCAAGTGGACTTATAACCCATCTTGACAAAATGCTCAAAACCCTAATTACCATTTAATACCTATCATTTTTTTTTTGAGATGGAGTCTCCCTCTGTTGCCAGGCTGGAGTGCAGTGGCACGATCTTGGCTCACTGCAACCTCTGCCTCCTGAGTTCAAGTGATTCTCCTGCCTTAGCCTCTCGAGTAGCTGGGACTACGGGTGCGTGCCAACACACCCAGCTAATTTTTGTATTTTTAGTAGAGATGGGGTTTCGCCATGTTGGCCAGGATATTCTTGATCTCTTGACCTCCTGATCTGCCTGCCTCAGCCTCCCAAACTGCTGGGATTACAGGCGTGGGCCACTGCACCCGGCTTTTTTTTTTTTTTTTTTTTTTCAAGACGGAGTCTTGCTCTGTCATTCAGGCTGGAGGGCAGCAGAGCAATCTCAGCTCACTGTAACCTCTGTCTCCTGGGTTCAAGTGATTATCTTGCTTCAGCCTCCCAAGTAGCTGGGATTACAGGTGTGTGCCACCACACCCAGCTAACTTTTGTATTATTAGTGGAGATGGATTTTCAGCATGTTGTCCAGGCTGGTCTCGAACTCCTGACCTCAAGTGATCCGCTCTCTTTGGCCTCCCAAAGTGCTGGGATTACAGGCTTGAGCCACCGCACCTGGCTAATACCTATCATTTTGGCAAAAACCAAAAAAGCCTGATAAGACCAGGCTTTGGCAAGGATATGGCTGAACAGGACTATGCAGACACTGATCTTGAGAATTGAAACTGGCATAATCTTTCTGGAAAGCATGGAAATCAGGGCTAATTGCCAAAGATTAGACATTCCTCTCTTCTCCCTTGTTTACCAAGGCTCAGTTTATAAATCATGTCTGGTTTAAGCAAGTCATATCCATCCCATTCTCTCTTACCAGATATTTGCTTTCTCATTTCCTTGACACCAAGGCATGACAATGCAATCTCATCCTAACCAATGAGGCATTAAGGGAAATCTGAGTAGAACTTCTGGTTGTTAAGACATGAAAGGCTCCGAGGGAGAGGTGGAGGGAACCTCTCTATTCTTCAGCCACATCCTTATCCTAGGTCAGAAGTGGCCTATCCTTGAAGCATAGGAAGGGTTTTCCCTCCTGAAAAGAAAGAAAACTCATTCCGCCCCCCTCCTTTTTTTTTTTAAATAATTTCAACTTTTATTTTAGATTCAGAGGTACATCTGCAGGTTTGTTACATAGGTATACTGCAAGATGTTGAGGTTTGGGGTACAAATGATCCCATCACCAAGGTACTGAGCGTGGTACTCAAAGGGCAGTTTTCAGCCCTTGTCCCCTCCCTCCATCCAGCCTCTAGTAGTCCCCAGTGTCTGTTGTTCTCATCTTTATGTCCATGTGTACTCATAGCTCCCACTTGTGAGTTAGAACATGTGGTATTTGGTTTTCTGTTCCTGTATGAATTCACTTAGGATATCAGGCTCCTGTTGCATCTATGTTGCTGCATAGGACATGATTTCATTCTTTTTTTGTTTTTGAGACGGAATTTCACTCTTTTTGCCCAGGCTGGAGTGCAATGGTGCAATCTCGGCTCACTGCAACCTCCGCTTCCCGGGTTCAAGCAATTCTCCTGCCTCAGCCTCCCAAGTAGCTGGGATTACAGGCGCCTGCCACTACACCTGGCTAATTTTTGTATTTTTAGTAGAGACAAGGTTTCACCATGTTGGCCAGGATGGTCTCGATCTCTTGACCTTGTGATCCACCCGCCTGGGCCTCCCAAAGTGCTGGGATTACAGGCGTGAGACACCGCGCCTGGCCAATTTCATTCTTTTTATGGCTGCATAGCATTCCATGTGTATATGTGCCACATTTTCTTTATCCAATCCATTGTTGATGGGCACCTAGGCTGATTCTATGCCTTTGCTACTGTGAATAGTGCTGCGATGAACATACGAGTGCATGTGTCTTGGAAACTCCTTTTTCATACATCTTTTCTTTTGTTTGGGACACTGGACTGAGACTGTGATGCCTGGAATTTTGAAAAACATATTGTGATCATGAGGTGGCAAGCAAGAGGACCAAAGTCAACACATTAAAGGTAGCAGAATGGAAGGAGGGAAAGAGGCTGGATCCTTTGTTGACAATGTTAGGTAATTAAATCTTTATTGCCTAAACAACTATTAGCTATTCTGTAACCTGCAGCCAAAAGCCTTCCTGATTAGAGATAACAGTTGTCTAGTAAAGTTAAAAAAAAAGCTTAAGACCCAGAAATTCTACTCATAGGCACAAACCCTAAATAATCCACAAATATTGATAAATGTTTAGTTTTGATATTTTCTTTATTACAAACACTCTTTGTAATCAAGTGAGAAATAGCAAACAGAATAACCCCAATGCATTAGAGACTTCCAGGGTAGCTTCCATTGGTATCAAAATAACTCAGAGAGCCACTTTCCTTTTTGATGCTGGTTACCATCATTTACAAAGTGCACCGATGTGCACAACCCTGGATTCAAGGTTTATATAAGTATCACTCCTAACAATTCTCTATTTCTCACAATCCTTAATTTTCAAAGATAGGTTACAAGATTGTAATATTTTCGCCCTATTCTCAGAAAGGGTGTGTGTTTCAAAACCACAAACCTTTCCCAAGTTCAGATATCAAGGCATATAGGAAACTACAAGGTAACTCAAGTTTTTAAAAAGAAAGGAGATGGGCGAGAGCGCTGGTTGTATAGGCAATCAAAACAGCCTTCCCTCTAAATCTAGGGCCAGAGAAAGATTGGATATAATTAATTTTTTCCTTCTTCAGGAAGGATTTCTCCAGTGTCTTTTTTTTTTTTTTTTTTTTTTTGAGATGGAGTCTTGCTCTGTCACCCAGGCTGGAGTGCAGTGGCGCCATCTCGGCTCACTGCAAGCTCCGCCTCCCGGGTTCACGCCATTCTCCTGCCTCAGCCTCAGGAGTAGCTGGGACTACAGGTGCCTGCCACTGCGCCCGGCTAACTTTTTGTATTTTTAGTAGAGACGGGGTTTCACCGTGTTCTCGATCTCCTAACCTCGTGATCCGCCCGCGTCGGCCTCCCAAAGTGCTGGGATTACAGGCGTGAGCCACCGTGCCCAGCCTTCTCCAGTGTCTTAAAAGTAACATTTCTTACATAGACTTCAAAGTGAAAATTACAAAACCTTTTTGGATCTCTGTGCTAAAGGAATTATGTAGAAAAGTGTTAATGCTGGAAAACAATATTCACTGAAAACTTGGATTTCTTTCCAGAAATTGTTTTATCTTAATTACTTTTGCAGTGGGATCTCACTTAGTGAAGTCTTAATTGACAAAGCTCATGAATTTTCCTTAGGGAAATGACTTGTGGCCAATAAAAAGAAGCAATATGTAATAAGCATCGTGCCCCAGCATTCGGCTCAGGTACTAACTATGAGAACAGTAACTCAAGCAAGCATCACTGTGAGGCTTTATTGAGTCACAGCTAGATGCTTCCAAAGGGGAAGCTAAACATTCTTCAAAACCTATAAAGCCTTGATTAAATATATGGTCTGCATTGTATTTGGAGGCTGAATATTGTAGTATAATATAGCATACCACTGTGGTATAATGCTGTAGTATATAGTATAGTATACTATCTAGTAGTAATAAGGGGTAAAAATGTAATGTGTTCTGAATTAGCATGGATTTTTATCTTTGATTTTGGATCTTTTGCTCTGAATAGCAAAAATCAAGGGTGTTCTATTATGGTTTTAAATGGCTTTTATACCTCCTAAAATGTGATCCCATTATTTTAGGGTTTCACATCTAAAATAGGCCTCTTTCTCTTGCAGTTTACTCAGACACTCCTATCTTTCGAATTTTTTAAATTACACTTGGAATCTGGAAATAATGTCTAGCCCCTTTTAGAATGAATTCCAGTTTAAAATAAATGATTACACTCAAGAGAAAGAAATCTGTTGAGCAATGACAATGAATTTGTTTTGCGCTGCAGTCAGGTGCCCAGTATTTTGACAAATGCTGGTTCATAGAACACAGCTTCCCGTGCATGGAGAGTTCCTGTTTCTGGCCATGCAGAGGGATCTGTGGTGGTGTCACTCACTGAAGAAACACTAAAGGAAGAACAGATTTGGGGGTAAAATTCACAAGCTTCAAAAGTATTGAGGTTGAATAGTCTTTTTTATATCCTTGTAGAGACTCCAGTAGGCAGGTTAGTAACCAGGTTGGAGTAGAGAGATGTCTGGGAGAACTATTTACACTGGAAGTTTCCCATATCCCAGGCAGAATGGATCATACCTTCTCCTGTGCTCCCATATCTTTTTTCATCCAAATGGTATTGGTTGGCCTCTGCCATTGTAAGTTTTCCTTTCTCTGTCTTTTATTCTATGTATTAGTCCAGAATCTATAAGGAACTTAAACAAATCAACAAGTAAAAAACAAATCTCCCATAAAATTCGGCAAAGGGCATAAACAGACACTTCTCAAAAGAAGACATACAAGCAGCCAACAAACATATGAAAAAATGCTCATTGTCACTCATCATCAAAAAATGCAAATCAAAACCACAATGACACAATGAGATACCATCTCACACCAGTCAGAATGGCTTTTATTAATAAGTCAAAAAAAAGAACATATACTAGCAAGGCTGCGGAGAAAAGAGAAGGCTTATTCACTGTTGGTGGGAATGTAAATTAGTTCAGCCACTACAGAAAGCAGCTTGGAGATTTCTTAAAGAACTTAAAACAGAGATACCATTTGACCTAGCAATCCCATTACTGTGTATACCCAAAGGAATATAGATCATTGTACCAAAAAGACACATGAACTCGTATATTCATTGCTGTTCTATTCACAATAAAAAAGGCATGGAATCAACTAGGTGCCCATCAATAGTGGATTGGATAAAGAAAATGCGGTACATATACACCATGAAATACTATGCAGATGGAAAAAAGAATGAAATGATGTCCTTTGCAGGAACGTGGATGGAGCTGGAGGCCATTATCCTAAGCAAATTAACATAGGAACAGAAAACCAAATACTACATGTCCTCACTTGTAACTGGGAGTGAAACATTGAGCACACATGGACATAAACATGGGAACAATAGACACTGTGGACTATTAGAGGCACGAGGGAGGGAGAGGGGCGTGGATTGAAAAACTACTGTTGGGTGCTATGCTCATTACCTGGGTCCAATATCCCCATGTAACAGTCCTACACTGGTACCCCCCATATCTAAAATTAAAGCTGAAATTTTAAAACAAAAAAACAACCAAATTACCACAAATTCAGTAGCTTAAATCAACACTATTTATGTTATAGTTCTGGAGGTCAGAAGTCCACAATGGGGCAACAGTCTGGTTCCTTGTGAAGACTTCAGGGACAATCTGTTTCTCTGTCTTTTCTAGTTTCTAGAGGCCGCCTCTATCCCTTGGTTTATGTCCCCTTATCACGTCGACCTCTGTCTCTGTCATCACATCTCCTTCTCTGACTTGGGCCCTTCTGCCTTTCCTCTGTAAAGACCCTTGTGAATATATTAGGCCCATGCAGATAATTCAGGAAAAATCTCATCATCTCAAATTCCTTGATTTAATTGCATCTGCAAAGTTGCTTTTGCTATGCAAAGAAACATAGTCACAGGTTCTGGGAACTAAGATGTGGACATCCTTTAGGGGCCATTGTTCTGCCTCCCACACCTTATCTACTTGGTTATTTGTAAGTCTAGATAAGCTTCCCTGCTCTGGGGTCCTAACTGACTCAGTTTGCATCCTCCCTCTGTGTTCAACATAGTACATGGTAGGCACTCCGCACATATTATTGGAACTTACTAAAGAGCCCAGGTATGGGGTGAGGCGCTAGACTAGAATGATAGTGTTAGGGGGAAAGGAGGCTAGAGAGGACGTTTGTGGCATCTGAAGGAACCAGCGATAAGACCCTCTCTGTGCCAAGAATCAGTGATGAAAGACTGAGCTGACTGGAGGACTGTGTCCTGTCTCGATGACGGGGATGGGACTAGGAGCAGGCATGAACCAAGGTAGTTGAATGAAATGCTTTAGAAAGTACTTGCCCTCCTGATGTGCCTCATGTGTGCCTCAATGTGTAAAACCCATTTTACAAAAGATTGTAAAATGTTTTAAATAGGAGAATTTTGGTGAAATACTAGGCAACCACTGTATGATCCCACTTGGGAATATCCTATCCTAGGTGAACACATTCAGTAAGGCAACCAAGCAATTCCAAAGCTCTATGTTAGGCCAACAAGAAGGGGGCCAGCAGATTTTTAGATAAATGAGAACTGGCCAATCTGCAGACGCTCTCAGTTGAGAGTTCAAGAAGCAGAGGATCAAAGAAATAAAGTACTCATCCCCTGCCAGTGGTTGGAGCTGCTGGGAAGATAACCTTGCCCAGGCCCGGAGGTCCCAGAACTAGCAGCTCCGCTCAGCCTCTTCCATGGTGTTTAACTCCAACTATCTAGCAATTATTTGACAGGTAACATCCCTTAGAAAGGCTGATTCTAGTGTACTGATTGTATTCCTAGTTAAAAGGACCACACACCTTCAAAGCTTGGACCTGAAAAACACCATCCCTTGTATCAAGATGGTAGGAACCGGAAGGTTATGCCATATTTCAGTTCGACTGTGGCACCCTCGCCATAAGCATCTGCTGTGAGAGCTGATTGTCCACAGTGGGCCTGATAAAGTGACAGTGGAATATCCATAAGAATGGTCCAGGAGGCTGTTCAAGCTAAGGAATCAGAACGTAGGTGCATGGCAGGGCTGGAGATGGTGTTTTCAGAGCCATCAGAACATAGTGAATAAAGAAGGTGGGAACGCTCTAAGGAGGGAGAATCTACAGAGAAAAACAGATGAAGTTAGAGTGAAGAGAGATAATCTAGAAAGATAAAGGAGGCCAAACAAAGAGGTTGAGTGAGATGATAAGGAATATAACGTACAGAAACCAAACAAAAAGGTAGGTTCCGGTGGGAAGGATCAGATGTCACAATTCCCACTGGCGTCTTGCTGAACAGGGCTTTGATCACCCTGTCACCCTAAGATCCAGAGCATTCGCCTCCAGCTCCAAAGCCCTCTGGCCCTACAGCTAGAGTGAAGGGGCTCTTTGTTGCCGTCCCATCTACAGCCCCTCTCTGCCCCCGCACTCCCCATTGCACATAACTGCTGTGACGAGACTCCCTCTTGTATCTAGTTGCATAACTTTGGGTGCTGACTTATCCCAATGCCTGTGTGGTCTCTAGTGAGTCTGAGCGTTCAACTTTCTTTTCTTTCTTTTTTTTCCTTGATACATGATCTCACTCTGTCACCCAGGCTGGAGTGCAGTGGCATGACCACAGCTCACAGCATAGCAGCCTCAAACTCCCAGGCTCAAGTGATTCTTCCACCTCAGCCTCCTCAGTAGCAGGGACTACAGGCATGTGCCAGCATGCCCAGCTAAGTTTTCATTTTTTGTTAGAGACAGGGTCTCACCACCTTGCCCAGGTTGGTCTCAAACTCCTGGGCTCAAGCAATCCACCTGCCTCAGCCTCCCAAAGTGCTGGGATTACAGGCATGAGCCATCACACAGGCCTCCAACTTTCGATTCAGGGTTTCCAGTTTCAGGATTCCAGCAATCTGACTGCCTGGCCCTGAAGCCGACCACTGACCTTGGTATTCTCACTAAAGGCCAGCATTCTGCTCTTCCCATTTGGAAAAGAGCTTTCAGGCAAATGCTTTGAAGTTCCACCTGCATTGTAAAGTAAGACAGGGATCAGCACAGTCAAATGGAGCAGAAATGCCAAAGAGAAAGAATGCGGTTGGAGAAAACACCAAGGGGATGTTTGACTGAGCTGTTTAAAGAGCACAACCTTGAGAGTCTAAAAGGAAGGGAGGGACAGTAAAGGATGAAGGTGAGTAGGAAAGCAAAGGATTGCCACGAGAAGCAGGTGCCATCTTGATGGCTGAGGCGGTTTTCTGACCCAACTCTAGTTGTCTTCATTATTCTCTTACCCCACAGGGAACTAGTCTCTGAATGAGGGCAGTGGAAACTTTCAGAGGAAGGCAACTGGAAACTGCTGGTTTAGGTGACATATGATAGAAGAAAGCATTTCCTTCCAGCAGCTTCTGAAACAAACACGGTTTCAGCCGTGTCGGCTTACTGCTCCTTCAAAGGAAAGCACTAGCTGCCCTACTGAGTTCTAAGCTTTCAGCATCTGTCTTTTCTTGCCCTTGGTAAACAGAGGAAGAAAGAAAAGGAAGCTGAGCATCCAGTTCTGCAAGTAGTGTTCCTATGATGATCTTTCTCAATCTGGTTTGGGCAGTCAACTTGCTTGCTCAACTTCCTCCTCTTGGCCTTTGCATCTCAGTTTGAAACAAAAGCTATTTGGACTGTGCAGTTTTCCCCTCTATATGTGCATTAAAGCGTTTTAGGCAGCATCTAAGATATTTGAATAATATTCTGTGTTTAAGAAGGACCCCATAATCTACCCCATAATAAAACAGGTAAATTAGCATGGATTCTTCACATTGCCAAAGTAATTGCTTATATTAAAATTACCATAGGGTCACTTTAAGACTTACGGAAAACAGGTTTTCCTTTATTATTAGTTGACCCACTCCCTGACCAAACATAGTGTTTATTTTGAGATGATTATAGCCATTCTTTCTTTCTTTCTTTTCTTTTTTTTTTTTTTTTTTTTTTGAGACAGAGTCTCACTCTTTTGCCCAGGCTGGAGTGCAGTGGCAGGATCTCGGCTCACTGCAACTTCCACCTCCCAGGTTCAAGTGATTCTTGTGCCTCAGCCTTCCGAGTAGCTGGGATTACAGGTGTGAGCTATCATACTTGGTTAATTTTTGTATTTTTAGTAGAGATGGTGTTTCACCATGTTGGCCAGGCTGGTCTTGAACTCCTGACCTCAAGTGATCTGCCCGCCTTGGCCTCCCGAATTGTTGGGATTACAGGCATGAGCCACCACACCTGGTCTGATTATAACCATTATTTTCTTCTAATAGTCACATGGGTATTCATTTTTAAATAAAAATTAGATTTATATATTTTTATATATTTTTTCTCTCAGTCTGAATTTGGCATCACATTTGGGTTTGGAGAAAAGATTGAGTCATAAGTTTAAGTTGGCAAGAATTTCATAGAGTGTAAAGAGAAGCTCCTGTCCTAAATTATATAGAGTTCAAATTGTTGGAGTTGCTTTTTCCTGAGGAAAAAAACAAATGATTAAGAGTAAAGACACTTACCCTTAATCATTTCATGAAACTCTTGTAAATGTATTATCGCATGTTCTCTGTTCTTTCATCTGGGTCCTGCACATCTGTTCCTTGGTGATTCCTATCAGTGTCAGAGAGCATGTAGGCAAACTTTGTGTTATTTTCATCCCTTTCAGCAAATGAATCTTGATTATCTGATTTGTGTCAAGTACCATTCAAGAGACTTGCAAGGAGGGGTAAAGAACATGTGCAAAGATTTATCAGACCTTGGAGCCTTCCTAGGAGTAAAAGCTTGGTAGGAGTGATGAACTGCCATGAAACTGCTCTTGCTGTGCGTCAATTCAATTTCCCTTGTGTTTTTAAAGTGCCCTCTGGGAATGGCAGCAGCTAATAGACCATGTGTTTAATGGAAAGAACCAGGGCTTGAGGGTCCAATAACAGCAGGCCTGATTCTCAGCCCCATCAAATATTAGCTGTAATCTTGGGCCAATTAACTCCAGTCCTGTGTCACTGAGAAATGCATCATTAGGTGATTTCATCATTGTGCAAACATCATAAAGTGTACTTACAAAACCTAGATGGTATAGCCTACTACACACTCTTAACACTTTCACTAAAAAGGAGTCCCATTTAAAAGAGAAAGAGACTTCATTTCAGCAAGCAGTTTGCAAAGAAGGAGACACGCCTTTGGTATAAAACAAAGGTGCACTCCACCAGAGCAGAGAGGCTGTCATATATGGGGAACGTTCCCACCCAAGTTCCCACTCCAGTCCACTATGCAAATGAATGATGCAAGCTTGTTCAGTTAAAATTGGTTGATGTTAAAACTGATCACCAGACTAAGTTCATTGGTCAGGTCCAGTTGGCAGAATGGAGCCTTCCAGTGGCAATTGATTCTGGAGGCACAAACGGGAACAGACAGCTTTGAAAGCCCCAAAGTTTATCTACTGTTCAGCTGGCACAAGGTATGTGTGTAACCTTCAGTTAGCAATTGGCTCTCAGCTCCACTCAGAATTTAGACCCAGTTAGCCACTCAGGATCCATCTCAAAGTGTTAGCTTTTTCAGGGTTCACAACACCTGGGATATATGATATTGCTGTGGTATCTATGGTAAAACCCATTGCTCCTAGGCTACAAACCTGTACAGCATGTTACTGTACTGAATACTGTCCACAATTGTGATACAATGGCAAGCAATTAGGTATCTAAACCTATCTAAATATATAAAAGGTACAGAAAAAACATAGTATAATAGATATAAATGGTACACCTGTATAGGGCACTTACCCTGAAGAGCTTGCACAACTGAACGTTTCTCTGGGTGAGTCAGTGAGTGAGTGGTGAGTGAATGAGAAGGTCTAGGACATTACTGTGCACTACTTTAGATTTTATAAACATGGTACATTTAGACTACACTAAATTTATTTTAAAATTTTTCTTTCTTCAATAATAAGTTGAAGTTAATCTTCACTTATGGTAACTTATTTATTTGATAAACTTTAAATTGTTTTAACTTTTGACTTAAAACATGTAGCTTAACACACACTGTACAGCTGTTCAAAAATATTTTCTTTTTTCATATCCTTATCCTATAAGCCTTTATCTACTTAATTTTTTTTTTTTTTTTTTTTTTTTTTACTTTTTAAACTTTTTTGTTAAAAACTAAGACACACACACAGTAGCCTAAGCTTATTCAGGGTCAAGATCATCAATATCGCTGTCTTCCACCTCCACGTTTTGTCCCACTGGAAAGTCTTCAGGGGCAATAACATGCATGGAGCTGTCATCTCCTACGATAACAATGCCTTCTTCTGGAATTCCTCCTGAAGAACCCGTTTAAGGCTGTTCTACAGTCAGTTTGTTAGTTAGTTTGTTTGTTTTGTTTTTTTTGAGACAGAGTCTCACTCTGTCACCCAGGCTGGAGCACAGTGCCACGATCTCGGCTCACTGCAACCTCTGCCTCCTGGGTTCAAACAATTCTTCTGCCTTAGCCTCCCAAGTAGCTGGGATTACAAGAGCCCGCCACCACACCCAGCTAATTTTTTTGTATTTTTAGTAGAGATGGGGTTTCACCATGTTGGCCAGGCTGGTCTCGAACTACTGACCTCAGGTGATTCACCCACCTCAACCTTCCAAAGTGCTGGGATTACAGGCATGAGCCACCGCACCTGGCCTACAGTTAATTTTTTTAATAAGTAGAAGTACATGCCAAAATACAGATAAAAAATATAAACCAGTAACATAGTCATTTATTATCATTATCAAGTATTGTGTATGCTACATAATTTTATGTGCTATAGTTTTAGGCAATGGGCAGTGCAGTACACGTTACTTTACACCAGCGTCACCACAGATCCGTAGGAAATGCACAGTGCTACAGTGTGAAGATGGCTAGGACACCACTAGGCTATAGAAATGTTTCAGCTCCGTTATAATCTTATGGGGCCACCGTCATATACATGGTCTGCCTTTGACCACGTTATGCACATTATGTGGTGCATGAATGTATTCTAAACTCCAGTCTTCTCATCTGTAAAATACAGGTAAAAATGTTTTACCTTATAGAGGTTTTACATGAATTAAACCAGGAAAGTTGAATCCAGTAAGTGCACCTGGGGTCAGACTACTTAGGATTCAAATTCTGGCTCAACCATTTACTCGCTGTGTGACTCTGGGCAAGCTGCTTAATGTCTTCAAGTCTCAGTTTTCTCTCTCTCTATAATATTCATAAAAATCATTCTCTGTTTCTCTGGTGGTTGTGATGAGCAAATGAAATTAGAAAAGATTTCCATAGTGCCGGGAATGTAGTAAATGTTCAGATGCATGTTAGCTGTTGTTATTGAAAGCACCATGCACAATACATGTTATTTCCCGTTCTCTTAACTAGGTTGCAGATTAATAGATAATTGTGCTAAAAGTGCCCAAAGGCAGATTCTTCTCTTTACAAAGAATTCCTTTCTCTTTTCTTTTTCTCCTTTCAAGAATGTTCTGGTACACATTAGCAAAACACCTTGAGGCAGAGAATCCTAGAAAGCCTTTAATACGTGTATTTCCTTCACCACTAAATTCTTGTGCTTTTAGAAAAAGCAGGCTCCTAAAAGGGGTCAGTTTGAGTAGGAGTCTAAGGTTGTAAATAAAGTATAAAAGAAGAGACTTTGTCAGCCCAATTAAACATAGATCATTATTACTATTAATTAATATGTTCATTACAGTGTTTTCTATATATGCTTTTTTTAAAGTATGTATCTAAAGATTGAATTTTATTCAAGGGATCATTGGGTAGGTGTTTCAAATTACAGAAAAATGTCCCTTTGGGTACTAATTAAATGTTTTCCTTTGGAATAATGTTCAGAGTTCAGATGATGATTGCCATACATTTTTTGGTTGGGAGCATGGCCTTGCCCCTGCTCCTGACCCCAGACAGGCCCCCACACCTCCCAGCTTGCCTGGGCTCCTTCTGAGCCCCTGCTCCTGACCCCAGACAGGCCCCTACACCTCCCAGCTTGCCTGGACTCCTTCTGAGCCCCTGCTCCTGACCCCAGACAGGCCCCTACACCTCCCAGCTTGCCTGGGCTCCTTCTGAGCCCCTGTTCCTGACCCCAGACAGGCCCCTACACCTCCCAGCTTGCCTGGGCTCCTTCTGGGTTCATAGGGGATTCCTCAACATTCTCACTTTGTCCAATACAGCCACCACTCATGTGGGAGCTTTTGTGCGCTCAGCAAACACATCTTGCTCCCAGTGCATCGGAGCACTCCAGATCGCTGCGCAATTCTGATGCTCACCGTGTTAAGACAAGACAGACAGGTTTATGATTTTCACTAGAACAACTCTTGCAGAGTTTTACTATTTTTCATATAACAACTCTGCCACTTTTCCTTTTCGTATGGTGACTTTCTCATGCCAGGACACACTAAATGAATACATTTATAAAGGTGGTATTGTATGGTTACCAGGGGTTGCATGTTGGGGTAATCGGGTGTTATTATTTAACAGCTAAAAAGTTTCTGATTGAGATAATGAAAACATTCTGGAAATGGATAGTGGTGATGGTTACACAACACTGGGAATTCACTTAATGCTCATGAACTACACTCTTAAAAATGATCAAAATGGTAAATTTTATGCTATGCATATTTTACCACAATTTTTTAAAGTAACATTTTGACATTATGGTTTCATCAGTTTAAACAGACTTCTAGGCAGGGGGTATCCGACGGCCCGAGTCTTGATCACTTGCCATTTGGAATGGAAGCCCATAATAAAAATGCTGCCTTCCAGAGACTGCAGGGACCTTACCCATGTGACCAGAATGCTGTGCTTCCTCATTAGCCTATTAATTAATTGCATAGAATTTGATGCTTGGACAGTACTTGAAGGTTTGCTATTTTTGGAAGCTCTACACATCTTCCTTTCAGTGTCATCTACCCTTTTCAACAGCATCCGTAAATCCAGTTTCCAGCCCAAGTGTTGATGCATCTCATCATATGTTGTAAATGCCATAAATGGAGGAAGCAAGTGTCTCTCAGGAAAACACTCAGCACCTAGGGAGCTGACTACATGGAGTGGAACACACAGGAACTTTTCCCATTAAAAATAATGGAAACAGCTGCCATTGAGCAATGTTTCACTTAGGAGCAGAGTTTTCAAGAATGACTTACTTGTCAAGTGAAGGGTAGGGGTAAAAGTCACACTTTCCCACTCCTGGTGAGTCAATTCTTGGCCTTTCCATCCCAGTCAATGTGAGATTTTTAACTGGCACTATCCAATCCTGGGATTTGTTGGGACATTTATATTTTAAAAGCAACTAATCCTCACGGAAAAGCATAAACACATTTTAAAGGTTCTGATGTTTGAATAATATTAGTACAATAATCTCCTGAGACTAGAATGGATTATTTGCTATTCTTCAGAGGGGGTGACTGTATAAAAATGAGGAAAGATGACCTTTTATACCTTAGCATGATTGCAGGAAGAATCGTGCCTTTGGAATGGAGATTGTCTTCTCTCCCTCTCACTCTCCAAGCTTCTTTCTTCTCTCTTTCCTCTGTCTTTGAGTATTTACCTCTGCCTCTTTTTCTGTCTTTCTCACATAGGCACAGTGCTATAATAATTGTACTTTGTATTTGTCTAGTATTATCCATTATTTTCCATTATTATCCATTATTATTCCATTTCATCCTTGAAATATCCCTGTAAGAGGATAATTAGGGCAAATATTATTATCATTGCCATTTTATAGATTTTTAGAAATGAGAAGATACATAAGGGTTAAGTGACACATCGCAAGGTATGGGAAGATCCAGCCCTGAAACCCATGCCTTGTGACTTGGGTCTAATACTGCTTCTACAGCTGCAGCCATTTCTGGGGATCATACAGTCCTTGAAGGGAATATAGCACTACCAGACATATGTCACTACCCAGTGACGGACAAGTGGCAGGTGTGGTCCTTAGTAGAGTTCATCATCAAGTTCTTCTGAATATGCTCCCTGGAGCTGTCATCCTGCCTGCTGAGCAGCCTCTGTCCATTCAACCACCCATCCATCCATCCAGAATAAAGAAAATGAAGGAGATGCTCAGTTGGAGGAGGTCAAGAGATACATCTGCCCTCTGGATCCTGGAGACTGCAATGCTAAGCGCTTCTTAAAGTCAAAATTGACAAATGAATTCAGCCACTTTTAGTACAGATAGCTGCAAAAACATCACAACAAAATTATTTTTCTTTTGTTGTTGTTGGTTTTTTTGTTTTGTTTTGTTTTGTTTTGTTTTGTTTTTGAGACAGAGTCTTGCTCTGTCGCCCAGGCTGGAGTGCAGTGGCACAATCTTGGCTCACTGCAACCTCCATCTCCCAGGTTCAAGCAATTCTCCTGCCTCAGCCTCCCAAGTAGCTGGGATTACAGGCATATGCCACCATGCTCGGCTAATTTTTTTTTTTTTTTTTTTTTTTTTTTTTTTGTATTTTTAGTAGAGATGGTGTTTTACCATGTTGGCCAGGCTGGTCTTGAACTCCTGACCTCAGGTGATCCACTTGCCTTGGCCTCCCAAAGTGCTAGGATTACAGGCATGAGCCACCATGCCGGGCCTTAAAATTATTTTTCAAAAGATAAATTCAGTTGTCATACTGAATTTTTATCCAGTTAATTCTAGCTATGCAGATACTGGATTTGGGTAACTTAATTTAAAAATATGTTTCCATTTCCCTTCTCCCTCAAAGGATTGACTTAGTTATGTAAATATGCAAAAGATTAGCAAAAACACCTTAATATTTTGGTTAATTGATATCTGTCATGCTGGATTGCCATAATTTAAGAACTCTTCACCAGTTTCTTAAATCGTCTGTATTTTCCCTTTTTATTATATTTTAAAAAAATCTCTCTCTTAAAAGCCTAAAAAAAACCTTTCAATGTGCACAAAAAAACAGTTTCTAGTTTTTATTCTCCATTGCTATTTGCAATTACTCAGAGAGGAAAAGTATTTTGGAAAAAAACTCACCCAGAATCAGGTGACAACTCACATTCTCTTTCTTAGATGTCTAACAGTAACAAGCAAAAGCCAATTCAAAGATAGATCTTTGGGGCACCCTCTGGTGGCTGAAAAGAGTCATGAAATCAGTGCCCATGTGTATCAAAAGGCCAGTAATCTTTGCGACTTATTTTAAAGGGCCATCACCAACTTTTCCATACAACATTGAAAATGTAGCCAGATCAGGAATGTGGGAAGGACTGAAAAGAATTTGGAACCACAAGAACTGGACTTGAGTCAGAGCTCTCATCTATTAGCTATGTGAACCTGCATTTGGTTGGCAGGTCAGTTTCCACAGAGCTGACGCCGAATCTGGAATTTCTCACTGGAGATAAGAGGCAGTGTCAAAACTAGAGGAGTATATGATTCCATTTATCTGATATGCCCAGAAAAGGTAACTCTATAGAAGGTAGATCAGTGATTGCCTGGGGCTGGGGAGGGCATGGGGATTAACTGTAAATGGGCATGAAGGACTTTATTGCGGTGACAAAAATGTTCTAAAACCAGACTGTACCTGTTGCACAACTGAGTAAATTTTGTAAAACATCACTGCAGTATGGATTTTAAAGGCGTGAATTTTATGGTATGGTATGTAAATTATACCTCAGTAAAGTTATTTTTTTTTTAAGCCAGGAGGGAAAAGCAGAGTGGATAACCCCTAGAGACATCTTGGTACAGAGCCAGGAAACCTGTAGCCAGCAATTGTGTGGGAGGAAAGGAAACTGTGGGGTAAGGTAGGGGTGAGCAGGAAGAATGCCTAGAAGAGGTGCTGACTTTTGGAACTTCATTTTGCACACAGGTGTGCCCTTAGCTCACACCTCAGTGGGTTGCCTGAGGTTAGCATGCTAGAGGCTGAAAGAAACCCCCTCCCAACTCAGCCTCCCATGGCAGGTATTTAGGGGCATTTCTGACGGAGTAAGACTATTAAAGCAGCCAACTAGATGCAATTCCATCAAAATGACCATTTTGAAATGTAAAACCAATGTTTTATTTATTACTTTTCTCAGTAACAGGTAACTCAGTGTGGTTTGAGAACTAGATGAGATTAAGAAGTGCACTGATGAGAGAATGTCTATTTTTTACACTGTTTACTAACAGAAAATGTGAAAGTGAGGATTTATAAAAGTACCAGAAGAAAACTCAGATGAATATCTCTATAAACTAAGGGTAGAGAGAAACTGGTAAGGAGTAACATCTAAACCAGAATCTCTAAAAGAGACAAGAGATGGATTTAATGGATTTTTTTCAAAAAATAATAGATAAAAGAAAAGAAAAAGAAAAAATTAAGACACAAACTATGCATTAGGAAATAATACTGTATCATATATACCAGACAGATTTATTAACCTCAATATAACAGATACTTGCAAACCAGAGAAAAATGTGCAAAGGGTGAGTAGAGATAATTCACAAAGGGAAAAATAAATGAAAAATTACAATCTGTCAAGATATGAAACAGCTTTAACCTAACATCTCATTAATGAATGCTATTAAGAAAACAATGTGGGCCGGGTGCAGTGGCTCACACCTGTAATCCCAGTACTTTGGGAAGGCAAGGTGGGTGAATCACTTGAGGTCAGGAGTTTGACACCAGCCTGGCCAACATGCTGAAACCCCGTCTCTACTAAAAATACAAAAATTAGCCGGGCATGGTGGTGCATGCCTGTAATCTCAGCTACTTGGGAGGCTGAGGCAGGAGAATCGCTTGAACCCAGGAAGTGAAGGTTGCAGTGAGCCAAGATTGCGCCACTGCACTCCAGCCTGGGTGACAGAACGAGGCTCTGTCTCAAAAAAAAAAAAAAAAAAAAAAAAAAAAGATTGATGTGGCTTACCCTCAGTGCTCTGGTAGGCTGGTGCAGCTTTCTGGGAGGTAATTTAGCATTATACCTCAAAATGTAAAAATGCAAACCTTTTGGCTCAGCAATTCCACTTGGGGGAATTATTTTATGGCAATAATTACACATGTGTGAAAAGATACAAACATTAGTATGTTCATGATCAAGTTATTTGTAGAGACAAAAATTAGGAAGGTTCTCAGATGCCCATCAACAGGTATTTGATGAAGTATTGTACAACTCAATAGAATATCTGCAGTAATTAAAAATGAATGGGATGTATATTTTGGGTCATGGGAAAATGTTTACACTATGTTGCTAAGCAAAAAATGTCAGTGTCATAAGAGCATAGATAATATGATCATATTTTTGTTTAAAGCTATATATATGGCGTGTATGTGTGTGCGTGTGTGTGCGTGCATGGAGGGTAGGGTAGATGAAACATACCCAGATCTCCCTTCAAAGAAGGACATTTTGCCCTAGCTGTCCCTTCAAGGACTGCCTCAGCTGCAGAGTCACCTCTCCTGAGCAGGTAGGGTGGGCACATCCTGATGGAGGTAGGAGTATAAGGCCAGGCCACTTCAGCCCAACACAGAACAACTCTGATGCGCCATTTACACTGTACAGTCCTCGTGGGGAAGGCTAAGTCTGTTGTCACGCCTATGATTAGCTGGAGTTCTCGCTCCATCCAATTTTGTTTTATTTCTCTTCTTTCCATAGGTGTTAACCCCAAGGACAATTCTTCAACGAGATGCTATACAGCAAACTCTGTCTCAGAATCTGTTTCCCAGAAAATCCAACCAGCAATTTTTATGCCTATGCAATGAACAATTCTGGGGGAAAAATACCCATCAAGTATTTTGTATTGGATGGCTTTTATTTTATTTTATTTAGGCACCGGTGCAAAATTTCTGGCACTGTCAGGTTCTTTCAAAGTGGGTATTTGTTAGTTTTGTTATCAGATAAAAATATTAAAGCAGTTTTTATTTGGGAAAATAAAAATCCAGTGGTTTGGTTTTAGTCTGGTCAAAATAGCTACCTCAAAGTCTGTATCAAAATGGCAGCATCTGACCCATCTAGCGTGCATCCTTCTTAACGGGAAGGTAAGCTTTGCAAACACCCCTCTTGTTCATACCCTTCCCACTACTCTAGGCATTCAACCTTGTGGAAGTTTTGGTACTTCTTCTACAAGGTTGTTGGAGCGTTGTTGAGGTTGACTGTGAAGTGTAAGATGAAGAGCAATTTTGTGGGGACTGTGAGGAACCACTAAAGTTGGTGTGCAGCACCTGGATGGAAATAGATGGGAGCAGATGCTACATGCTGATAAATCTCAAACTTTGAGTAGTTCTAGGTACTCTCTCCTTTTTCATCATGAATAGGTGGAACACATGTGTTAGGAGGAAAGCCAAATGCTGTTTGCCACCCAGATTCCTTAGCTTAGATCCTTGAATTGTTTAGCAAAAGCCTTATACTGCCTGTACCAGAAGGATCTGTCTTTTACTTCCCCTTTGAGTGTTCTGTAGCTTTTCCAGATTTCAGCTACATCTCGCGGTCGCGTTCTGAGATGTAGGGGAAACTGTAGGGTTAAAAGCCATTCCTACTGAGAACAAATTATTTTTTGGCCAACATAATCTTGGGGAATATTGAATTAGCTGTAATTTGTAGCAGAGACTATGAGTTATTCCCAAAATCCATCCTCCCCTTCTTCATTTAGTAAATACAAAACACAAGCTTTTGGTGGCACATGGCCATCCAGCTAAAGACCACATTTCCCAGCCTCCCTGGCAGCTAGATGTGATTAAATGATATATTCTATGAGCAGAATTGAAGTTCCAGGCTACTTCCTTAAAGGAAGTACCTTTCTCTCTCCCCCTACTCCCTTGCTAGTTGGCATACAGACCCAGCAGATGTGGTGGTGAGTTATTTGTGCAGAACACCCTAAGGGATGAATGGGCAACAAGACAGAAGGAACCTGGATCCCCATCACCGTGGAACCACCATAGCATCCCTTGGCTACTTACACTTGAACCGTTACATAAAAGAGAAACAAACTGCTTTCTTGTTTAGGCCACTAGATTCTGGGAAGGGGGAAGTGCAAAATAATCATTGTTTTATATTATACTCTTACAACTCTATTATAGTGTTTATTATACTCATGTAATTATTTGTTTACTTGTCTGTCTAGCTCTCTAGAATATTTCTTTCTTTCTGAACTACGAGCAGATAGAAGGCATTCCTTAAGTGTTTTTAAAACGTATAAGTCATTGAATGGTGGGAAAATTTGCAAAAAAGGGAAGCTAGGGAACTAAATACAAATTTCAATTTCACAATTTGGTATAGCTAAAGTTTCCCTTGGCCTCTCTAGCCTCGGGGTGGGGAATGACTAGATTCCTATGAACAATACATCAGGACAATGATGAATGCACACGGATTCCCAGCTTTCCCTTCCCATAACCCCAGAGGAAAATTCTGGTGCTTCTTGCTCAGCGTTCTGTGCCACTTCACCCCCATCCTGATCTTAACTCACAGTCATCTTTCAGATCAGGTTCATTGTGGAAGGTCTGTGTCAGAAAAGGCAGGGAAAGGAAACAGGAATGGTGGGTGGAGGTGGATCCTGAGGAAGCTACAGGGCATGAGAGAGTGGGAGCCTGGAGGAAGAGGGACTGGAGATTATAAACCATATTTCCATTTGAATGTCACTCGAGAGATACAGGTAAAGACTCAAATTAATTTGCCCTTTTTTGTTTTCTTTTATTTATTTATTTTTTTGAGACGGAGTCTCTCTCTGTCACCCAGGCTGGAGTGCAGTGGCGTGATCTCGGCTCACTACAATCTCTCTGCCTCCTGCATTCAACCGATTCTCCTGCTTCAGCCTCCTGAACAGTTGGGATGACATGTGTACACCACCACATCTGGCTAATTTTTGTGTTTTTAATAGAGACGGGGGTTTTGCCATATTGGCCAGGCTAGTCTACAAATCCTGACCTCAAGTGATCCTCCCACCTCAGCCTCCCAAAGTGCTGGGATTACAGGTGTGAGCCACTGCACCCAGCCTAATTTGCTTTTGATTTTTGGTCTGTGTTCTCTGAAAGTGACATCATAGAAAAAGATTGGGCAAGGGGACGCTGTCACTTTTTTTCTTTCTACAGCATTAATTGCTAAAGTTTCACTGGATTTTAACCCACCTCTTTGGGAAAGGGTTCAGCCCCTTCCCCAGTTCACAAATTACATGTGCAAGTCCCTGGAGGTTGTTTCTCTGTGGAAAGGAATTCTGACTCTCACTGTGATGCTGGCTGCTCGTGAAGTCACAGAAAGGCCACCCCACGCCTCCATAACCATCACTGGTGTCCTGCGGAGGCTGATGTCTCTGCCCAAAGCATGGTCTTCCCAGGCACCAAAAACCTTCTATCCCAAGTATTGTTTTTTTCTAGAATCTTAACTCTGCCAGAGTCATGCTATGATCCTCACAGAAGTGGAAGAATATTCTTTTTCTCCATCCCTGACCTTGCATTGATTTCACCTGCTGCATTCAACCCCTTTCTCCAGAGAGTGCAGACATGAGTCTATAGCCCAGGGTTGGCAAACCGCCCAGGGGCAGATTGTAAATATTTTAGGCTTTACAGGTCACACGACATCTCTATCTCATATTATTCTTTGTTGTTTTTTCTTCTTCACAAACTTTAAAAAGTACAAAAACTATTACTAACTTGCAGACAGTACAAAAACAGGCCCTGAGCTTGATTTGGCCCTGTGAACCATAGTTTGCAGACCCCTGGTCTCCAGGAATTGCCCAAGGAACTGGTATCTGTGATATAAGTCTTCCTCATATTAATTTTTCTCTCAAATGCATATAAAAAAGTTTAAAATAAAGATTTCCAGCCGGGCGTGGTGTCTCTCATGCCTGTAATTCCAGCACTTTGGGAGGCCGAGGTGGGTGGATCACCTGAGATCAGGTGTTCGAAACCAGCCTGGACAACATGGTGAAACTCCATCTCTACTAAAAATACAAAAATAGTCAGATAAGGTGGGACGCGCCTGTAACTTGAGAGGCTGAGACAGGAGAACTGCTTGAACCCGGGAAGCACAGGTTGTAGTGAGCAGAGATCGCGCCACTGCGCTCCAGCCTGGGCGACAGAGCAAGACTCTGTCTCAAAAAAAATAAAATAAAATAAAATAAAAATAAATAAAAGATTTTTTCTTCTCTTCTAGAACTGAAAAGCCATCATGCAGTGCTGTTCCCCAATTCAAAACACAAGTTCGAATCATCTTAGGCTCAAACTGAGAACTGGCATTAGTCCAGTTAAATTAATCTGCAAGTTGCTCCGAAGTGGGGAAGCGGGGCAGGATGGCTTACATCTTAAATGGACAAGTGTTGGACAGCAGAGTCCATCTCCCTGGAGTTTATCTTTGATAACAGATTTCTTCTGAAGAATAGCCAAGTTTGTGATTTTGTTTTTCAAAACTCTACTTCAGCAACATGTGAAGAAAAGAAGAGGCTATGGAAACACATCTGATTCCAGATATGATCATGGAAGACAGCCACCAGGAAACCCTCTGGGGAAAACAGGTCAAATCAATCATCTGCATCTCCCCAGTCCTCCCCCAAAGGCTGGTGGATGAGGAAGGTAAATATCTACTCTAAGAAATAGACAACTGGACATGCACATTCACAGTAGAGAGAAACCACCAAGGAGCGGAGGGCTGACCATGCTGGACAAGTAGATGAATGCATACATCTAAACAAGGATTGCTCTGGGTCTTCACAGATTAATGAGATCATGCTGGGAATTCCCTTTGCAGGGAACTGGCTAACTGGCATGCAGTTCTATAAATGCACATCTGTCTCATTATCTTTTTTAATATACTTTACTGAAGTATTCATATAGTTCTAATAAGTAAATATTTTTAGCTTGCAAAACTGACTCCTCATCTTTATATAATTAAGTTACAAAAAACTCTGAATCTGAAGATGATAAAAGCCTATGTATTCAGTACTGTTAGTGTCCGTGCCACCTTTTTCAGCTTTTGAAATATTGTTCATTGTTAATTTGTTCTCATTTATAACTAAGTCACATTGTATTTTTTAAAATTAAAAACAAAATAATCTGCAGCAGATATAACCAAGCTTGAGATTATGTTCAGCTCTTCAGTTGCAGACTAAACAATCTGTGGGTGAACACACCTGAGCTGGGGTGTGGGGAAGCCACACAAAACCAACAGTTGCCTTGGACTTCAGGGTCCAAATGCATCTTTAAGAGGGTTGGCAAACTCACTTTTGTTATTTCTCAGTCTGCTGGATTCACAGTATGAAGACATAGCTGACAATTCTGAGCTTTATCAAATTTACAATTTCTGAGCTTTATCAAGCATTATTCATTTGTTTAAATGATCCAGAAATCTACAGCCAGATTACTGAATATTTAATATTTAGGAAGTTGAGTTGATTATAGACAAGACGACTGACTTGCAAAAATGTACTTTGCTCTTGTTATTTGACAAATATAATTGGCTTCTCCTGGCTGGTAAGGAAATGGTCCGTTGTGAATGTGGAAAGCGGTGACATTTGTGTAAGATGGGCTCTCAGGGCAGCAACCAGATGGCTCATTTCTGCTGACAAGTGAGATCCTTGCTAGACTGTGTGTGAAGATATGCACGTGTTACTGGAATTTTTGTTTTACCAGAGAGAATTAGGAAATATTTACCAAATGGATTTTCTGTGTATTTATATTTATTAGCACAGAGTGTATAAGGTCATAAAATCAGTCATTCATTCAGTAAATATTCTGTGTGAGGCCCTGTGCTGTACTGATACCAAAACATTTAAGCATAGTGAATACATCTGCTTAATAAAAAATTATGACTCATCCTAAAGACAGAATATTTAAAATAACTGTCCTATTGTGTGGTCACCTTATGTAGAGGACATAAATCCTATAGTTATCTGCAGCTCCCAGTATTGCAAAGTCTATGCAAAAATGCAAAGTAAAACACACACACACACACACACACACACACACGCTTTATGGGAAAGGAAAAGGAAGCTAGGTCTCCCTCTTTAATTAAAGAATATATTCTCTAACCTTGTAGCTATTTGAAAGCTAATTTAAGCTCTGAAAGCAAAAAAAAAAGGAAGACTCATCTATTAAGTGATCACTGCCATGCCCCAAGGCAACTGTAGATCCCAAATGTAATCATTTAAATGTCAGCATTTTCCTTCCCCTTTTCTGCAGTGATACAGAGAGCTCCATTGTCTATTCTCTCAGGCAGCTCATGCTGGCAGATTCCACCTGCAATCACACAGTGCAATTCTCCTTACTTGGGAATGGGAGTCTCGGGGGAGGACAACTTGGCTCTGCCAGTTAGTTCAGCTCACACAGCTCTAGCCTGCTAGGAGGAGAATGGGCTCAGCTCGGGGCCCAGCACTGAGTGGGAGGAGGTCTCAAGCCTGAGGTCCGGCCCTCATTGGGATCAGAGCCCACTGACCCACACTGCTGACCTTGGCACTGGGCGGAGGCAGGGCTCCCAAACATCACTAGGGGATTTCCCTAGGACAACCAGGCCCCTGTCTCTGTGTGCTGAAAATCCATACTAGAGGGGCTCCTCCGGGATGACATCTACAGATGATCAAAGGAAACTGAGTCCTAAACAAACAGAATTTGTATGGAAGGAAAGAGTTGTCTCCGGGTGTGTGTGTGTGTGTGTGTGTGCGTGTGTGTTGGGTGTGTCATGGGTTGGGGGTGGGGAGTTGTAAGGGGATGGAGAAGGAACGTTGTCATTTCTTGGGAGCTTGAGAAAGATCCCATTAGATTTTTATCTCATAAGTTGCAACAACAAAAACAAAAAAGTTTCTGATGAATTATATAAGAAAAAATAAAGAGATTATGGGCAGATCTGAGAATGATTTAGGAGAATCAACAGCTCTTGTGGCTGATTAGATATGTAAAGCAAGGGAGAAGGAAGGGTTAGGACAGATTTCTGGCAACCATGGGCCCCATGTGCCCTTCTCTCAGATGTGGAGACAGCGTGTACATTGCCTGAATTACCCACTCACCCCTGACTTCTGCTGCTCTCCCACCAAACTCTCAAACAAGGCAGGCCCTGGATTCTTCACTATAACAATCGCTGCATTTTGCCTGCATATAATGAATATATTTTTGAACTAAAAACTTGGGACACACAGATTCCTCTTTGGTCTGACAATGAGACAGGGCTGTGTCTCCAGTGAGGGTGTAAGGTCCTCAAGATGGTTTTGCTTTTAGGACTCTGATGGCGTGCTGCAAGGTGGGACTGGAAAGGCTGGAAGCCCTCTGGTGGTGTGTGTCCTAGCTCCTCTGGTCATTAGAACCATAGCTGACCTCATAAAGGCATATGAGTGAGGAGATTGATCTGGATAAATCTCAGGATTCCATAAACCTCAAGTGTAGCCTCTGAAAGAATTCTATTTTCCAAATCATTTTAATCTCATAACGAAGCCCAAAGAAAGTCAAACATGAACAATGTTTCTTATTTCTTCCCTTTTCATTAAAAAAAAAATCCCTAACCCATTTCTTTATTAAATTGCATGAAGAAGGCCGGGCGCGGTGGCTCACGCCTGTAATCCCAGCACTTTGGGAGGCCGAGGCGGGCGGATCACGAGGTCAGGAGATCGAGACCACGGTGAAACCCCGTCTCTACTAAAAATACAAAAAAAATTAGCCGGGCGCGGTGGCGGGTGCCTGTAGTCCCAGCTACTCGGGAGGCTGAGGCAGGAGAATGGCGTGAACCCGGGAGGCGGAGCTTGCAGTGAGCCGAGATCGCGCCACTGCACTCCAGCCTGGGCGACAGAGCAAGACTCCGTCTCAAAAAAAAAAAAAAATGCATGAAGAAGACATCACTTCAGGGCCTTTCGCAAAGACGGAGCAGGAGGTGCCTTGTCCCATTCACCACTGAAGCGCTGTGATTAGGTACAGGCAGCAGCTTTCAAACTAGCATATAACACAGCAATAATAGGCTTTCCCTATAGTCTCTGGCAAACATAGGAGCTGTTATTTAAGATTTGATGGGGGTTTATCAACTTCTTGATTAAAGAAATAAAAACTTTAAGGCATCTTCTCTAATCGCAGTGCTTTCTTTTGAATTCTGCCTCTGGCTGTGTCTTACTTGGTTGGAAAGCAATTGTCTGTGGTGTTTCAACACACCTGATGCAGACTGCCTTTTCCAAGATATTTGTATACAAAACAACAGTGGAAGATAGGCAGAGGGCAGGTCTGTTTCCTTGCAGGGATAATAAAGATAATGTCCCTCTCCAGGAGAAAGATTGGGCAGGCTTGTTAATAGTCCCCTTGGAAGACTGGGAATATCTTAAGCTCCAGGTTCCTTGGCTGTGACATAATGCACTGCGTGCACAGCAGCCACCTGGGCCCACCTCTGCATCACCCCCATGGGACTTGGGGCTCCCAGGGAACCCATGGGAACACGAAGCTCACGCTGCCAGCTGTGCTGTCATGAGGTCTTTTGTTGCTGACTGGGAGTCTCATGTCTTCTGCTAGCATCAATGGAGCTGCGACTGGCTCACTTGTGAGCTTCCAAGCAGGGCAAAAATCTCAGATCCTTCATAGTTGTTGACATTGTTCTCTCTTATCATCCTTTTGGCTCATTATTTGATTTAAATGTTGAGGAAGATTAGAGAGAAGTTGTGATAAAGATAAAGGCACATCATGTGGCTAATGTGAGATTAATGCTGTTCTCTTCAGGGTCCTGCCAGCTTCCTGGTTATCTTTACTTTTCCCCTGCCCCCCATCTGAGCAAGCATCAAGTCAGTGCATTGCAGACACAAACCTAGTTATCATTAGTGCTAGCTTCTGGCCAGGTGTGTTGGCTCACGCCTGTAATCGCAGCACTTTGGGAGGTTAAGGAGGGAGGACTGCTTCAGCTCAGGAGTTCGAGACCAGCCTGGGCAACATAGTGAGACCCCCATCTCTACAAAAATTTTAAAAAATTATCCAGGCATGGTGGTGTGAATGAATGTATGGTCCTAGCTACTCAGAAGACTGAGTTCGGAGGACCACTTGAGCTCTGGAGGTCGAGGCTAAAGTGAGCTGTGATTGCACCACTGCACCCCAGCCTAGATGACAGAGCCAGACCCTGTCTCAATAATAATAATTGTTCTGCCATGTACTGAGTGCCTGGTATCAGCCATTCCTCATTCCATGATCTCTGTTTCTTCCAATAGTTTTGAAAGCTTAGTATTATTACCAACCTGAAGCTAGGAAGGGCTAAGAAACTTTGCCATATCACAGAGCCTCATGATGCGGCAGGATTCTTACGTGTATTTATCTCGTAGCAAAGCTCATGTTCCTTCCACTGCAACCTCATGCTACCTCAGCTATTAGAAGAGGATTTCAGAGGAAAACAAGGAACATGTTAATGGTGATGTTGGCTGGTTTGCATAGCTTCCTCTCCCCAGTGCCTACACCTACCCCATTTCCTGATTTGCTGCCCTATTTTACTTGACCCCATTACTTCCAATCCACAGCTGTTCCTCAACCCTTTTCCCATTAGCATCTCTTCTTTTTATTATTTTTTAAAAGTTAGCATCTCTTCTTAAATGCAGAGATATTCATAGTATTTTTTCACAGCTGATTAGAAATCTGTGCATGAGGAGATGGGCTAAGAGATACAGGGTTATGCATGATGTAAGAGAATAATGACAGGAAGCACATGATGAACTGGCACTCAGCAGCAGTGAGAGAGTAATCCATGACCTCAGCTTCCAGCCCGTGGGGCTTCATACATGTCCACCGGAAACCTAAGTTAGGAGTGCACTCTCCAAGTCTTCCCCATGGGGGCTCATTTGAGGGATGGCTGCCATCCAGCCTATATTTCCAGGAAATGGGACTTCGATTACTTGTAGTGTTAACTTTAAAGGAAAGAGATTTTGATGATTCTTTAAAGGGAAAGGACATTTGAAGAAATGTTGAATGAAAATATAGAACAATCCACAACTCGGCTGGGCGCGATGGCTCACACCTGTAATCCCAGAACTTTGGGAGGCTGAGGCGAGCAGATCACAAGGCCAGGAGATCAAGACCAGCCTGGCCAACATGCTGAAACCCCATCTCTACTGAAAATACAAAAATTAGCCAGGTGTGGTGACATGTACCTGTAGTGCCAGCTACTCAGGAGGCTGAGGCAGGAGAATCACTTGAACCCGGGAGGCAGAGGTTGCAGTGAGCCAAGATTGCACCACGGCACTCCAGCCTGGTGACAGAACAAGACTCCATCTCAAAAAAAAAAAAAAAAAGAAAAAGAAAAAAAAAAAGAGAGAGAGAAGAAAAATTGACAACTCACTTTCATTTCCAGTCGCGTGGCCCTTGCTGCCACATGTGCACCAGCTATGAAATTCCCTGTGGTCTGTGAGCAGGTGGTGGAACACCTGCTAAATGAGCTACTCACTTACACATATCCAAGCACCTCTATTTTCCCACAATTCACCAAACCCCTCGGCCCTGTTGGTGCCTTGGGTTGTGGAAGATTTGAAAACAAAAGTGTATTTACAAATTCATCCTCACCATTACATGGTATAATACTATATTTTCCCAGCAGAATTTTTATTCATTGCTGCCTTCAAGAGTGTAGGCACATGCTAAAATATATGAGTTCAATAGCTTAATGTTGGTTTCGTCTATCATTAGAGCTGAGTTGGTAAAAATTATATAGTTGAGAAGCCATTTGGAAAGGCAGAGATGCAAGAAGACCAGAGTCAGAGGAAAGGGTAGAGAATGGAAAATATCGGTTCATGAAATGACGGAATTGATCCAAGTCACTGTGGCTAATCAAGAAGGCCCAGTGAAGGGTGAGAAATCTGCAAATCTTCCTTTACTGGTGTATTTCTTCTTATTCAGCTGACCTCATTCTGTTCAGGTCACATCGCCCAGGCCTCTTGAACTGTACAGGAGGGAAATAAAGAGACCAGTGATGAGACCAAGGGAAGGAACTGGGCTTGGCCTTGGAGAGTGCACCCACAGAGGTTCCCAAAAGGAAAGAAGACACAGTTTACAGTTTTCAATCTGTTTACTAGCAGTCTCTGGCATCTTCTACACACAGTCAAACCAACCACAGCTTGCCCTCCCGTCAGCCCAGGCAGCTGCGGACCGCTTTCTGATTGATGTGAATCCTCCTCACTGCACGTCTCCTCATTCTTACTGATTTGGCCAAGCCATACTGCGGTTTTATTGACAGACAAGATTCATTATCCAAAAGCATCAGGTTTGTGTTGGTTTGGTGGCTTGTAGAACAAGGTTTACTTCTTGTTGATGTGATTTTGGTGTTTTTGTTTTTGGTGTGAAAAATGTGACAGGTTTTTTTTTTTTTTTTTTTTTTTGTTTTTTTTTTTGAGACAGAGTCTGGCTGGGTTGCCCAGGCTGGAGTGCAGTGGCACAATCTCGGCTTACTGCAACCTCTGCCTCCTGGATTCAAGCAATTCTCTGCCCATCCTTTTCTTTCCATTCATTTATTGAAAGTTGGATTGAGTGCCAGCCACTGTCTATTGTCTCTAAAAATGTTAAAATTCCCCTACATCATGTCGATCCTATGTTAGTCTACACAGTATGTTTAGCCCCTCTGAGCTCATAAGAAATGAGCTGGTAAAATGAGAGCACGAGCTCCTGGGTATAGAGAGAAAGGAGACTAAAACGTCTGTGAAAATGAAACATTTAATTAAGCTGACTGATTTTAAACTTTTTCAAACATGAAACATATGGCTCTATAAAGCATGGAACAGGAAGCCAAAAAGTGACAAGCTGGTCAAAGTTTGATTTTCTTTCAAATCTACAAACAAGGCATTTAAATGTTAAAATGATTCAGACCCACGACTGGGATGTTCCCTAATTTATTTTTCTCTTTAAATGGTCAGAATACAGGCCAAGTATGGTGGCTCACTCCTGTAATCCCAGAATTTTGGGAGGCTGAGGCAGGCAGATCACTTGAGGCCAGGAGTTCAAGACCAGCCTGACCAACATATGGAAACCCCATCTCTACTAAAAATACAAAATATTAGCTGGGTGTGGTGGCACAAGCCTGTAGTCCCAGCTACGCGGGAGGCTGAAGCAGGAGAATCACTTGAACCTGGGAGGGTGCACTGAGCCAAGATGGCACCACTGCCCTCCAGCCTGGGTGACAGAGTCAGAATGTCTCAAAAAAATAAAATAAAAGGCCAGAATACAGACCTCTTCAGGGCCTCAGGCCATAAGCACTTTCAGAATCCTAAACACAATAAAGCCTCCAGAGCCAGCACTTCACCACCTTGCATGTAGAAGGTACTAAACACACGAGTTGAAATTTATTTAAAAAAAAATGCTGGACATTGTTTTTCCCTGGAATACATGATCACACTTTTTAAGACTCTCTGAATTGCCTATAATTACCGGAAGGCCTCATGTTTCACACTAATAATTCCAGCATTAGTGGGAAGCTCAGAAGACATAAGGAAAGACAGAATTCATTATTAATGAAAGTACTGCCGCCCTCGGAGGAAACATGTGTGTCTAATGCCCAACTGACTTCATCTTTTCGTCAATAAGTCCATGCTCTCTCATCATTGATGGCATCTATTGGTCGGCTCACTGGAGAGGACCACAGCTAATTAACAAACACACTTTGGCCTTAATGAAGCTGCTGTTTCCGGTCTATGATACTACTTCAAGGGTACTACATCAATATAAATTCAGACTTTTCCTGCTTTCTTGATTTTACTCTTATTATAGAACTAAATTCCGATTATTTCTTTTAAAAGATGATTCAATTAAGCTCCCCATATCTAATGAAATGCACACATTCTCACATATTTTATATTTTAACATGAGATGAATTCACTTAAAAGAGTAATTTGTTTTTTGCCTCCTCCTCCTGCTTCTTCTTAACTGGGGGTCTGTGAATGAATTCGTTTTCTAGGCCTGCCATAATAAAGTACTACAGCCTGGGAAGCTTCACCTCCAGAAATTCATTTTCTCACGGGCTGGGACGCTAGAAGTCTGAGATCAAGGTGTTGGCAGGGATCACTCCTTTTGAGGGCTGCGAGGGAAAGAGCTGCTCTAGGCCCCTCGCCTTGGCTTACAATTGCTGTCTTCTTCCTGTGTCTTCGCATTGTGTATTAGTCTGTTCTCACATGCCTAATAAAGACATACCCAAGACTGGGTGATTATAAAGGAAAGAGGTTTAATTGACTCACAGTTTCACATTGCTGGGGAGGCCTCACAATCACGGCAGAGGGCAAGGAGGAGCAAGTTACATCTTACTTGGCAGCAGGGAACAGAGAACTTGTGCAGGGGAGCTCCTCTTTATAAAACCATCACATCTCATAAGACTTATTCACCATCAAGAGAACAGCACAGGAAAGACCGCCCCCATGATTCAATTACCTCCCACTGGGTCCATCCCACATCACATGGGAATTGTGGGAGCTACAGTTCAAGGTGAGATTTGGGTGGGGACACAGCCAAACCATACCACATAGTCTTTCCTCTGTAGGTGTCTGTGCCAAATCTCCTATTCTCATAAAGACACCAGTCATATTAGATCAGGGCCCACCCTAATGACCTCACTTTAATTCCTCTGTAAAGACCCTATCTCCAAATGCAGTCACATTCTGAGGTACTGGGGGTTAGGACTTCAATGTATTAATTTAGGGAAGTGGCGGGGAAGGAGGGAGTTGTTAGACCATTCTTGCATTGCTATAAAGGAATACATGAGGCTGGGTAATTTATAAAGAAAAGAGAGTTAATTGGCTCACAGTTCTGCGGGCTGTTTAGGAAGCATGGCACAGGCATCTGCTTGGCTTCTGGGGAAGCCTCAGGGAGCTTTCATTCATGGCAGAGGTGAAGCAGCATGCCACATGGGGAGAGCAAGGGGAGGGAGGAGCCACACGCTTTTCAACAATCAGATCTCATGATAACTCACCATCGTGGGGACAGCACCAAGCCACAAGGAATCTGCCCCCATGACCCAAACACCTTCCACCAGGCCCCACCTCCAACACTGGGGATTACAATCCAACATGAGATCTGGGTGGGACAAACATCCCAACTATAGCAGGGGGACAAAATTCATTGCATAATGATGAAGAGGAGGTGAGATTTCCAAGGAGAGACAATGGAATGCATCGTTAGGGGCACCTTCTCTGGAGTCAGATCATATGTGTCAGACCCTAACCCGCTTCTCACCTATGTAATCTTGGGCAAGTTTTCTTTTCTGCCCTTCGGTTCCCCTTTCTTTAAAATGGGTTCATAATGATACCTTCTGCAGGGAGCTTTTGTGAAGATCAAATAAATGCTTTTTACACGAAAGCCCTCTGTTTATTACAATAATTTCAAGCTTTTCCCTTAAAATGCTTAAAGGGTGCTTATGCATTCCCCTCATAAGGGAAGTGAATAGTGTGTTGACACGCCATAAAAATGTAAAACGTATCTTTATATGTGTGGTGAGGTGAATTGAGATGTCTATTTTAAAATTGTATTTTATAATCACAATTTTCTTTTTTTCTTTTTTGGTGAGACAGAGATTTACTCTTGTTGCCCAGGCTGGAGTGCAATGGCGTGATCTCGGCTCACCGCATCCTCTGCCTCCCAGTTTCAAGCGATTCTCCTGCCTCAGCCTCCCAAGTAGCTGGGATTACAGGCATGTGTCACCAAGCCCGGCTAATTTTGTATTTTTAGTAGAGACAGGGTTTCACCATGTTGCCCAGGCTGATCTTGAACTCCTGACCTCAGGTAATCCGCCCGCCTCGGCCTCCCAAAGTGTTGGGATTACAGGTGTGAGCCATTGCGCCCGGCCCATAATTTTCTTTTATACTCAAAACTTATAATACCCCTTGTGTTAGGGCATGAAATGGATTGTGGGCCATACGTGGCAGATTTCAGTCGAGACTCTACCCTGCCAGCCTTCTCAGCCAACCCCTACCTCTTCTCCCCCATCTGAACCAGAGGCAGCTTTCAATTGTGGGCCTAGTTCTTTCTGAGCAAACCTGGTCCAAGATCAGGTTCTCCAAATTCAGATGCCTGCCTTTATTTTTACAATGAAAACCTAATTCTGGACCAGCGTTATTCTGTACTGGTATATACTAGTAGCTGAGTATTTCTGGAGAAAATCTGATAATCATGTAGGCAGTTTCCATAAAGATATCACAGCATTTAGCCTCTCCTGAGCCCTCTGCACCACTGAATCTTTCTTCATATCCCTGGTCCACACCACATCCCAGACTCATAGGCAGCTCTTCCCAATCTCGACCTCTGCACACAAGCCCTGTACTCAGAGCCTACTACTCATGACAACTCCCTTATCCTTCACCAGGAACATGGTGGTTCTAGCAGCACAAAACTGCTTAATCCCACACACGCTGTAATGGTTAATACTGAGCGTCAACCTGATTGGATTCAAGGATACAAAGTTTTTATCCTGGGCGTGTCTGTGAGGGTGTTGCCAAAGGAGATTAACATTTGAGTCAGTGGGCTAGGAAAGGCAGACCCATCCTTAATCTGGGTGAGCACAATCTAATCAGCTGCTAGCATGGCTAGAATAAAAAGCAGGCAGAAAAATGTGAAGAGAGAGACTGGTCTAGCTTCCCAGCGTACATCTTTCTCCCGTGCTGGATGCCCCCTGCCCTAGAACACTGGACTCCGTGTTCTTCAGTGTTGGGACTCAGACTGGCTCTCCTTGCTCCTCAGCCTGCAGATGGCCTATTGTGGGACCTTGTGATCATGTGAGTTAATACTTAATAAACTCCCCTTTATTTTTATATATATATATATATATATATATTCCATTAGTTCTGTCCCTCTAAAGAACCCTGACCAATACACACACCATGCTGAATCTCTCCTTCAGGCCTTTGCTCTTGCACAGGGAAATACCTCCTCTTTCTCTGGGCTCCTCTGCTTTTGTCTAATATACTTTTACACTTCTTTCAAGACTCAACTCAAGCATCACGTCCCTCTCTCCAAAGCCTTGCTCATTCAGTGTCTGCTATAGTTTGAATGTTTATGTCTCTCCAAAATTCATGTTGAAACCTAGTACCCAATGTGATAGTATTCAGAGGTGAGACCTTTTGGGAAGTGATTAAGTTACGAAAGCTCTGCCCTCACAAATGGGATTAATGTCCTTATAAAGGAGGCTTCAGAGAGCTGCCTGGCACTTTCTCCCCTTCCACTCTCTGCCACATGAGGACACAGCATTTGTTCCTTTCTCCATATGAAGAGGCAGGAAGAAGGTGCCATTTTGGAAGCAGCAAGCAAGCCCTCTCTAGACACTGAATCTGCTGGAGCCTTGATCTTGGACTTCCCAGGCTCCAGAACTATGAGAAATACATTTCAATTATTTATAAATTACCCAGTCTGTGAATGCTTTGGTATAGCAGCAAGAACAAACTAGAAAACATCTCTGTCTTAGCTAAACAGGTATGTATTCCTCCTTGGTGACCCCATCATACCCTCCACACATCTCTAGCACTTTTTCTAATGGAATTGCTATATCATTGATTCATCTCTCCTAACACACTGAGTTCCCTGGGGGCAGAAGCCTCATGTGTTCATTTCTGAACCTCACTGTCCGGCGTAGTACATGCTAACATAGTAGATGCTTCAAGGGGCTTGTCTTCTCCCCAATTATATAGACTACTGAAGTCATTTGTGTGCCCAGCTCCTGAAGAACAAGGCACCAAAGTCATAATAATTTTTGATTTCATCTCCAACAGGATTCTTGGTGTCAAGGAACAAAACCCATCTGTGTTGATTTGAGTATAAAAGGATTTTGCTAAAAGCAATTTGGTAGCTCATTGAATCGGTAAGAAGATCAGAAAGTTGGACTTGACCAGGAGTGACAGCTCACACCTGTAATCCCAGCACTTTGGGAGGTTGAGGTGGGCGGATCACCTGAGGTCAGGAGTTCACGACCAGCCTGGCCAACATGGCAAAACCTTGTCTCTACTAAAAATACGAAAATTAGCCGGGCACGGTGGCGCGCACCTGTAGTCCCAGCTACTCAGGAGGCTGAGGCGGGAGAATTGCTTGAACCTGGGAAGCGAAGGTTGTAGAGCTAAAATCGCACCACTGCACTCCAGCCTGGATGACAGAGCAAGACTCTATCTCAAAAAAAGAAAGAAAGGAAGAAAATTGCACTTAAAAATAGGTATAAAAAAGGTAAACAAAAGGCAGCCTGGGCCACAGTCAAAATCATACTATCAAACCACGCCACTTGATGTCCAGCATGCACTGCCATCCATGGCATCACCAGCTGTTCCTGGAAACTAGAGTTCATTGGGACACCTACCATAACCCTCCCACTGGGCAGACTATCCACCCTTCCTGGACTCCCTGCTCCCAAGTCCAAATGGGGTGTGGAACCTTAGTTGAAGTGCTGATACTCTCAGTTCAAGGGGAAGCTGGGAAGGTGGGTAGCTGGTGTTTTCAACCTGGCCAGAGAAGGTATAGGACTTCCTCAGTGAAGATGGATCAGATAATGGTGGACAGAAAAATTAAAAATATCAATTATAGATCCCTTAGGTCTAGCATAGGCTGGCAAATAGTAAGTGCTAAGTAAAGGCAGATAAAAAAATAAAGTATGAATAAATATCCTCTGAATGTGTTTCCAGGAGCCCACTTTGCCAAGGGGAATCTTAATCTGGCCCTACAATAACATATTTTAGATGAGGAGACAAAGAGAAAAGAGGATTGGAGAAAAACCCAACATGTATTAAGTGTCTGTGACATGCCAGGTGCTGTGCAGGCACATTAAATATTTTCCTGCAGGCAGGCCATACAATCCTCACTGGGGGATTGGTGGAGCCAAGATGGCCGAATAGGAACAGCTCCAGTCTAGAGCTCCCAGCGTGAGCGAGGCAGAAGACGGGTGATTTCTGCATTTCCAACTGAGGTACCGGGCTCACCTCACTGGGGAGTGTCGGAAAGTGGGTGCAGGACAGTGGGTGCAGCGCACCCAGTGTGAGCCGAGGCAGGGCGAGGCACGGCCTCACCCAGGAAGCGCAAGGGGTCAGGGAATTCCCTTTCCTAGTCAAAGAAAGGGGTGACAGACAGCACCTGGAAAATCCGGTCACTCCCACCCTAATACTGCACTTTTCCAACAGTCTTAGCAAACGGCACACCAGAAGATTATATCCTGCGCCTGGCTCAGAGAGTCCTACACCCACGGAGCCTTGCTCATTGCTAGCACAGCAGTCTGAGATCAAACTGCAAGGCCGCAGCGAGGCTGGGGGAGGGGCACCTGCCATTGCCAAGGCTTGAGTAGGTAAACAAAGCAGCCAGGAAGCTCGAACTGGGTGGAGCCCACCGCAGCTTGAGGAGGCCTGCGTATCTCTGTAGACTCCACCTCTGGGGGCAGCAAATAGCCAAACAAAAGGCAGCAGAATCCTCTGCAGACTTAAATGAATAGAGACACAAAAAACCCTTCAAAAAATCAACGAATCCAGGAGCTGGTTTTTTGAAAAGATCAACAAAATTGATAGACTGCTAGCAAGACTAATAAAAAAGAAAAGAGAGAAGAATCAAATAGATGCAATAAAAAATGATAAAGGGGATGTCACCACCGATCCCACAGAAATACAAACTACCATCAGAGAATACTACAAACACCTCTATGCAAATAAACTAGAAAATCTAGAAGAAATGGATAAATTACTTGATACATACACCCTCCCAAGACCAAACCAGGAAGAAGTTGAATCTCTGAATAGACCAATAACAAGCTCTGAAATTGAGGCAATAATTAATAGCTTACCAACCAAAAAAAGTCCAGGACCAGATGGATTCACAGCCGAATTCTACCAGAGGTACAAAGAGGAGCTGGTACCATTCCTTCTGAAACTATTCCAATCAATAGAAAAAGAGGGAATCCTCCCTAACTCATTTTATGAGGCCAGCATCATCCTGATACCAAAGCCTGGCAGAGACACAACAAAAAAAGAGAATTTTAGACCAATACCCCTGATGAACATCGATGCAAAAATACTCAATAAAATACTGGCAAACCGAATCCAGCAGCACATCAAAAAGCTTATCCACCATGATCAAGTAGGCTTCAACCCTGCGATGCAAGGCTGGCTCAACATATGCAAATCAATAAACGTAATCCAGCATATAAACAGAAACAACGACAAAAACCATGATTATCTCAATAGATGCAGAAAAGGCCTTTGACAAAAATCAACAACGCTTCATGCTAAAAACTCTCAATAAATTAGGTATTGATGGGACGTGTCTTAAAATAATAAGAGCTATCTATGACAAACCCACAGCCAATATCATACTGAATGGGCAAAAATTGGAAGCATTCCCTTTGAAAACTGGCACAAGACAGGGATGCCCTCTCTCACCACTCCTATTCAACATAGTGTTGGAAGTTCTGGCCAGGGCAATTAGGCAGGAGAAGGAAATAAAGGGCATTCAATTAGGAAAAGAGGAAGTCAAATTGTCCCTGTTTGCAGATGACATGATTGTATATCTAGAAAACCCCATCATCTCAGCCCAAAATCTCCTCAAGCTGATAGGCAACTTCAGCAAAGTCTCAGGATACAAAATCAATGTGCAAAAATCACAAGCATTCTTATACACCAATAACAAACAGACAGCCAAATCATGAGTGACCTCCCATTCACAACTGCTTCAAAGACAATAAAATACCTAGGAATCCAACTTACAAGGGACGTGAAGGACCTCTTCAAGGAGAACTACAAACCACTGCTCAGTGAAATAAAAGAGGATACAAACAAATGGAAGAACATTCCATGCTCATGGGTTGGAAGAATCAATATCATGAAAATGGCCATACTGCCCAAGGTAATTTATAGATTCAATGCCATCCCCATCAAGCTACCAATGACTTGCTTCACAGAATTGGAAAAAACTACTTTAAAGTTCAAATGGAACCAAAAAAGAGCCTGCATTGCCAAGTCAATCCTAAGCCAAAAGAAGAAAGGTGGAGGCATCACGCCACCTGACTATGCTACAAGGCTACAGTAACCAAAACAGCATGGCACTGGTACCACAACAGAGATATAGACCAATGGAACAGAACAGAGCCCTCAGAAATAATGCTGCATATCTACAACCATTTGATCTTCGACAAACCTGAGAAAAACAAGCAATGGGGAAAGGATTCCCTATTTAATAAATGGTGCTGGGAAAACTGGCTAGCCATATGTAGAAAGCTGAAACTGGATCCCTTCCTTACACCTTACACAAAAATTAATTCAAGATGGATTAAAGACTTAAATGTTAGACCTAAAACCATAAAAACCCTAGAAGAAAACCTAGGCAATACCATTCAGGACATAGGCATGGGCAAGGACTTCATGTCTAACACACCAAAAGCAATGGCAACAAAAGTCAAAATTGACAAATGGGATCTAATTAAACTAAAGAGCTTCTGCACAGCAAAAGAAACTACCATTAGGGTGAACAGGCAACCTACAGAATGGGAGAAAATTTTTGCAATCTACTCATCTGACAAAGGGCTAATATCCAGAATCTACAAAGAACTCAAACAAATTTACAAGAGAAAAACAAACAACCCCATCAAAAAGTGGGCGAAGGATATGAACAGACACTTCTCAAAAGAAGACATTTATGCAGCCAAAAGACACATGAAAAAATGCTCATCATCACTGGCCATCAGAGAAACACAAATCAAAACCACAATGAGATACCATCTCACACCACTTAGAATGGTGATCATTAAAAAGTCAGGAAACAACAGGTGCTGGAGAGGATGTGGAGAAATAGGAACACTTTTACACTGTTGGTGGGACTGTAAACGAGTTCAACCATTGTGGAAGTCAGTGTGGCGATTCCTCAGGGATCTAGAACTAGAAATACCATTTGACCCAGCAATCCCATTACTGGGTATATACCCAAAGCATTATAAAACATACTGCTATAAAGACACATGCACACATATGTTTATTGCAGCACTATTCACAATAGCAAAGACTTGGAACCAACCCAAATGTCCAACAGTGATAGACTGGATTGAGAAAATGTGGCACATATACACCATGGAATACTATGCAGCCATAAAAAATGATGAGTTCATGTCCTTTGTAGGGACATGGATGAAGCTGGAAACCATCATTCTCAGCAAACTATCACAAGGACAAAAAACCAAACACCGCACGTTCTCACTCATAGGTGGGAATTGAACAATGAGAACACATGGACACAGGAAGGGGAACATCACACACCAGGGCCTGTTGTGGGGTGGGGGGAAGGGGGAGGGATAGCATTAGGAGATATACCTAATGTTAAATGACGAGTTAATGGGTGCAGCACACCAACATGGCACATGTATACATATGTAACTAACCTGCATGTTGTGCACATGTACCCTAAAACTTAAAGTATAATAATAATAATAATAATAATAATAATAATAATAATAAATCCTCACTGGGATGTCATGTTCACAAGGCAGGGACCAACCGTGCCTATCTTATCATTCATCATCTCCCCAGTGCCTAGCACAGTGCCTGGCATACAGTAGGGGCTGGATAAATGCTTGTTGTTGATGCTGCAATCCGACAAAGGAGATATTGTGCTGCTTTGCTGGTGTACAGCAGCTTAGGTTTTGGCGGTCACAAAACTAGTGAGTAGCAGCAGCCAGGCACCCAATCCAGTGCTCTCTCCATCCTCACACCTGTATGGATGCTAAACTGTGCATCGCTCTGTGCAGTCTATCACTTGTGTGGGATTCTGGGATTTTTTTTAAAAAAAGCTTCTGATGAACAATATCCCTTTGAGGACCTGTGGATTTGGAATCTGAGTGCCTGCTCCCCACCTCCCAAAAGAATCACATTATTAAATGTATATTCTTTCAGATTACAGGTTTCTATAAAATGGACCTTGACCTCATGGCTCAGGGGGTTTCAAAGCCCTGTCGCAGCCTTGCTCTCTAGGTATGCATTTTCAAAGTCTTCAGAAGATAGAGCGGTTTTTCCAAAATGATCAAAGGACACGCCTCCTGAGGCGCCCTCCCCTTCTCCTGGCCCACTCCTCAGCTGGCCTCTGCGTCTGCCAGAAGTGCTCAAATGAGGCTGATTTCTGAAGAAATGTTTTCATCATAAGAATTGCAAGCAGGCAAGCCTCCGGCTTTTGCTTGTCAATGCACGCGTTTCCAGCCTTTTTAGTTCCTTTATCAGATACTTCCTGCCCCCTAGTGGTGGGAAGCAGCAAAAAGGACAGGCTGACCTAGATACTGTTTCCAGAGCTGACTATTCAGCCGTTAGAGCAATCATTGTTCGAAGCAAGCAAGAGCAGGAAATAAACAAAAACCCTTTCACGGTGGTGCTCCAGGGTCTAGTTGTTAATTTTTGAGCGAGGAAAAGTTGTTCATGAAAAAATATATAGTATTTGAGCACATTTGATGGAAAATAAAAAGGAATCTTTTGCAGGGCCACACCTCGCCATCCTCCAGGGTTGTCATTCTCAATGTGCTCTACGTGGACGGCTCTGCCCTGCGTCGCCAGGTGCTGCCACCCTGCAATGTCACTGTATTTCTTAGATGCTGAACCAAGCCCAAGGCAAGGACTCCCCTGCTCTGGAATGTGTGAGCAGCTGCTGAGGTCTGCATGTAGAGGAATAATTACCACTTTCTGTGGAACGAATACTCAACTTAGGACCAAATAATAGCAATCTAGGAAATTTAGAAATAGTAAAGATTTTTGGTTTATATGTAATGGATGTTGCTGCTGTTCCAACCTTACAAAGTAAAGCTGTCTGCTTCCCAAATTCCAAAAATTAAAATACTCCTCCACCTCATCCTACCAACCAGTGCCCTTTGGCTCACTCTCATCTCGACACAGGTGCTGTAGCTTAGTACACATCAGGAAAGGGCTGCCCTACACTTTTCTTTCCGGAAGCAAACAGTGAGTGAATGGGAGATGCACCAAGAAACCTTATGACTTCGGCTACCTGGTCATGCCCTGCCTTTGCTCTGACGGTCACATTTCTTTTGGGAGCTGTCCTAAGATGGTTGATGGAACACGGGCTTTGGAACCAAACAGTTCCAGCTCCACTGCAATCCATGTATTAGCTGTGTGACCTAGAAAATTCACTGAGCCCCTCTGATCCTGTTTTCATCCGTAAAGCAGGGCTAATGATACTTTCCTCACAGAATTGCTATGAGAACTAAATAAATATCTCTCTGTATATCTTGTATCTATTATACATACACAGTCATGTGTCACTTAGCGTTGGGGATGCATTTTGAAAAATGCATCATTAGGCAATTTCATCTTTGTGCAAACATCATAGAGTGCACTTACACAAACCTAGATGTATAGCCTACTACACACCTAGGCTTTATGGTGTAGTCTATTGCTCCTAGGCTACATACCTGTACAGCATGTTACTGCACTGAATACTGTAGGCAATTGTAACACAAATAAGTATTTGTGTCTCTAAATATACCTAAACACAGAAAAGGTACAGTAAAAATACCATAAAAAGACAAAAATGGCACACTTGTATAGGGCACTTACCATGAAAGGAGCCTGTAGGATTAAAAGTTGCTCTCAGTGAGTGAGTAGGTGACGGCTGAGTGAATGTCGACTTAGGACATTACCATACACTACCGTGACTTTATAAACACTGTGTACTTAGGCTACACTACATTTGTTTTAAAAATATTTTTCTGGGCCAGATGTAGTGGATCATGCCTGTAATCCCAATACTTTGGAGGATCATTTTAAGCCAGGAATTTGACCAGCCTGGGCAACATAGTTAGATCCCATTCCTACAAATAAATTAAAAATCAGACAGGTGTGGTGCCATGTGCCTTTAGTCTTAGCTACTTGGGAGGGAGGAGGATTGCTTTAGCCCAGGAGTTCGAGGCTACAGTGAGCTATGGTCACACCACTGCACTCCAGCCTGGCAACAGAGCAAGATCCTGTCTCAAAAAAATTATATATATATATATTCATTCAACAATAAATTTTAGCTTATTGTAAATTTTTTCCTTTCTAAACTTTAAAATTTTTTGACTCTTTTATAATAACATTAGCTTAAAACACACATTGTAGACCTGTATAAAATTACTTTTCCTTATATCTTTATTCCAAAAGCTGTTTACTTTTTAACTTTTTAAGCTGTTTTGTTAAAAACAAAGAAACAAAAACACATTAGCCCAGGCCTATACAGGGTCAGGATCATCAAGACATCACTAAGTGACAGGAAATTTTCAGCTCTGTTACAATCTTATGGGAGCACCATGGTAAATGTGCTCCATTGTTGAGAGAAACACTGTTGTACGGCACATAACTATTGTGTGTGTGTGTACACAAAGTGTCTAATATGATGCCTAGCACACAGCAGGTGCTCAGTCCCAGTCACTTCCTCCACCCTCCCACATCTTCACCATCATGGACTCCCCCAGGTCTCTCCAAGCCTGGGAGGACTGCGGTCCTTACACTCCACGAGGCCCAGCAACACCCTAGCAGTCTTCGTATTCTGCTCTTGCTCCGGAGAGGGGCAAGACTACTCAGCTCACCGGATTCTGAGATTTCTCAGGTCCAGCTAATTTTTGTATTTTTAGTAGAGACAGGGTTTTGCCATGTTGACCAGGCTGGTCTTGAACTCCTGACCTCAGGTGATCCGCCCACCTCCACCTCCCAAAGTGCTGGGATTACAGGGGTGAGCCACCACGCCCAGTCCCAAGTTCCTTTCATTGGCTTAAAAAACAAGTTAGAATTGGCTCTGGGTGCAAGGAAGGTAGGATATGGTGACAATAGGCTCCCCCAGTAGGGAGAGAACTTACTGGATTCAGTGCCTGGCAGCTCCGGCCACATCCTCTTCCAGCATCATGTGCCAAAATGCTGCCAGCTACCCCGGAAGATGCTCTATCTACTAACCTCTGCCTTCGAGCTTCCCTCAGGGTTCCCCTCCATCCCACTGAAACAGGGAGCATGGTGGGGGGGTGGGCGGCAGCGGAGGGGACACCTGCTGACCATTACTCTTCCCACTCTGTACCATGGCTTTCTGTTCCACTTTTGGTCCTGGAATTCTAAACCCATCTATACTTGGGGGCAGGGTGATTTTTGAGCATTTTAAAAAACTCTTACTTCATAATTATATAAGCTGACAAGAGTTAATACAATGAAGCACACTACATATATCCATTAAATCTGACAATGAAATCAATTAAGAAGGTATCATTAGGCCAGGTATGGTGGCTTATGCCTGTCATCCTAGCACTTTGGAAGGCCAAGGTGAGAGGATTGCTTGAGGCTAGCAGTTCAAGACTAGCCTGGACAACATACTGAGAGCCTGTCTCTACAATAAACATTTTTTAAACGAGCCAGACATGGTAGCGTGCATCTCTTGCTTCAGTCTCCCAAGTCCTACCTATTTGGGAGGCTGAGGTGGGAGGATCACTTGAGCCCAGGACTTCAAAACTGTAGTAAGCTATGATTGTGACACTGCACTCCAGCCTGGGAGACAGGACAAGACCCTGTCTCTAAAATAAAAAAAGAAAAAATATTTTTAAACATTCACACCTCACAATTGCCCTTTATAGTGAACTGCATCCTATTTTGGCCAGATATTTTCCCTAAGTCACACATGGCTCCCCCTCAAGTCTGACTCTAATGTGAAAACAGCCTCTTGTGTTCAGTCAACATTAGTGGGAAAAGCTGGGAGAAAGAAAGAGATGAGAAATGAGAAATGTAGCTGAATGGTAATTCTTCCCTCAAATATTTTAAATGTCTCATTCAACAAATATTTATCGGACACTTACTATGCCCAGACACACCACTAATCATTGGGGGTACATCAGTGAGCAAAGCAGGCAAAAGCCCCGCCCTCATGCAGCCTGAGAAGACATGCCATGCTAGGCCACATCAGCGCCCAAAGGCAAAAGGAGAAATCAGGAACACTGATCTTGTCTATTATTTAAAAATCCGATAATCTGTCATGAATTTTTGTTTTGATTTTTTAAAATATTGTGCCAAAATATTTATCTGGATTACTGAATGTTTTGTGTCCCCTTAAATTCTGTGCCTGAGGCAAGTGCCCCACTCCTCTTACCCCAGTCTTGGCCTGAGACAGACGGGAGTAGATGCTGAGGTGCACTGCCCACATTTCCAGTTGAAGATTGATGAGCCCACTTTTTCCAGCTGCTGAGAGTGTTGGCAGCTGACAGCTCACAGCTGAAGCCCCCTCCAGAGACTGCCTTCAGCTGCAGACAGTCCCAGCCCAAAGCCATGCCCCCTTCCCCAGGGCAGCCCACAGCTAATGATTGGTCAATATGGAGACAAAAGGTCCCAGAATAAAACAGAGGCCAGGTGACAATGCTTAAGTGTCAGGTGCAAGGTAGAAGCAAATGTTTCAGTAAGCCGCAAGGTCAGAGTGGCAGGTAGGGCAATGGACTCACAGAGATCTATAGAAATGGCTAGAATCCCTAGAGGCAAGACAGAAGGGAAGTCAACAAGGGTATTGCAGAATCTGTGCCAGTGGTCTCGAAATGCAGTTCCCTACCAGCAGCATCAGCACTACCTGAGAAATTGATAGAAATATCAGTTCTCAGGCCCCAGTCCAGAGCTACTGGATTAGAAACTCCAGGGGTAGGGCCAGCAATCTGTGTTTTTTTAACAAGACCCCTAATCAATACAGCCAGAAGAAAGGAGGTGGCTGAAGGCAGCTGTGCCACTAAAAAGTCACAATTCTTCCAGCCTGGCCAACATGGTGAAACACCGTCCCTACCAAAAAAAAAAAAATAATAATAAATTAGCTGGGTACGGTGGTGCGGGCCTGTAGTCTCAGCTACTCCGGAAGCTGAGGCATGAGAATCGCTTGAACCCGGGAGGTGGAGATTGCAGTGAGCCAAGATCATGCCACTGCACTCCAGCCTGGGTGACAGAGTGAGACTCTGTCTCAAAAAAAAAAAAAAAAAAAAAAGTCACAATTTTTTAACCAGCTTCTGTACCTGAACCAGTTTTTGGACTCAGAGCCCACTGACTGGAGGAAAGGCCATGGTTATGTCCCTGGTCCTTGAAAGTATAACTGAAATGGACAATAGGTGGAGTGGGCAGAACACTCACATGCTCACATTGGCTCTTTGGCCTGTGGCAAAAGCTATCACGGTGGGAAAGGATTCTCAAGCTGCCTCCACACATCCCTCTGGGCAAGACTGCAAATTAAAAACTTCCTGGGGCAAATGGCAGAAGTTAGTGCCACCCTTAAAAACCTAAAGGAAGCAGAGTGGTAGTCCCCAGCAAATGTAAGTCATTATGTCTGGCCCCTACACAAATCAGATAGATTCTGGAAGACGTTAGTAGAGTACCCCAAGTTCCACCAACCAGCAGTGCCAATTGCAGGTACTGTGCCAGATGTGGCATGAGCCACAGCCTCCACCACGGCAGCTGATCTGGAAGGAGCAATTGATGTCATCTCTTTCCTCTACTATCCATTCTCAATTTCCCTCATCCTTGGTTAGTACCTAGAACAATAAAATAATAACTTTTATATGAGATGGTAAAGATGCTATGATAAATTGGATAAGAGGAAGAATGTTTTGCAATTTTCAATAGGTTAGGCATCACTGAGAGATGACATTTTCATAAAGTCTTTTTTTTTTTAAAGAGTCTTGCTCTGTTGCCCAGGCTAGAGCTCGATCTCAGCTCACTGCAACCTCCGCCTCCCAGGTTCAAGCGATTCTCTTGCCTCAGCCTCCTGAGTAGTAGGGATTACAAGTGTGCACCACCATGCCTGGCTAATTTTTGTATTTTTGGTAGAGATGGGGTTTCACCATGTTGGTCAGGCTGGTCTTGAACTCCTGACCTCAAGTGATCCACCCGTCTCAGCCTCCCAAAGTGCTGGGATTACAGGCATTAGACACCATGCCCCGCCATTTTCACAAAGTCTTGATGAATATGAGTGTGATTCCCTGATAATTCAGGGGAACAGAGTCTACACAGATGGAACAGCAAGTAAAATGGCCCTGAGGCTGGATCATGTCTGGAATATTACAGCACCAGCAAGGAGGCTGGTGTGCAATGTCAGAGGTAGTAGGTGGCCAGACAAGTAGGGCCTTAGAGATCATTATAAAGACTTTGGCTTTTACCCAGAGTGAGATGGGCTGATAGAAGGTTTGAGGTAAGTAACATGACCTGACTTTACCTATGAACAGGATCACTGACTACTGTGCTGGGAATGGCCTGTAGGGAGGTGGAGTGGCAGAGCAAGAGATAATGGTGGCTTGAACGGGTGTGATACAGTAACTGTGGAAGAAGTGATCGGCTCCTGGATATATTTTTAATAGAGATGCCATGGAATTTTCTAACAGACTGAATGTGAGGTGCAACAGAAAGTAAATTGTCAAAGATGACAAGTTTTTGGCCTAAGCAACTGGAAGGATCAAGTCTCCATTTAATTTACCACGATGGACCAGCCTGGGAAAGGAGCAAGTTCAGGGGAATGAGAGCAGGAGTACAATTTGGAATAGGTTGAGTTGAGATGGCCTTTAGATACTTAAGTAGAAATATTGAATAGAAGTTAGATATAGGAGTCTGGAGTTCAGGAAAGAAACCATCACGTAAGATGGGTGCTGAGGGCCTGAAGATTGAAAGAGAATACCAAGGGCGTGGGTGGGAATAGAAAAGGGCCCTGGGTCACTCAAACATTCAAGATCCGAGAGACGTGGAGAAAACTGGGTAAGGAGTGGAAAAGCTGGGGAGACTAGAAGACATTAGCAAGGAAAATCACAGGCATATAATGTCCTGTAAACCAAGTGACATAGGATTTCGGGGAGGGGGAAGTAATCAACTGTGTAGAATTAAGTAAGATAAGGACTGCAAATCGAGCATTGAAGGTCAGTGATGACCCTAATAGGAGTTTCCATGCAGTGGTAATGGCAAAAACCCACTGGAGTGGGTTCAGGAGAGAAGAATTAGAGACAAGGGGAATAGCCAACTCCTCTAAAGTTTTGCTAAAAGACGGAAGTAGGGTCGAGAGAGGTGTGTTTAAGATGGGACAGATATCAAGATGTTTGTATGCTGGTGGAAGGGGTACACTGATAAAGCAGGAGTGCAGAGAAAATTGCTGGAGCTATGTCCCAGAGGAATGAGGGGCAAAGGGGATGGGATCTAGTAGGCAGGTGGAAGGCTTTCTTTGGCTAGAGCATGGATAACCCATGTCTTGTAATGGGGAGAAGGCAGGACACATGGTGCAGACTGCAGCAGAGGTGATGTGTGGCAGTGGGAAGTGGATGAAGAGCAGGGCAAAGTGAAGTTCCTTGTAGGTAATATTTTCCTCTCACTTTATGAATTAACATAGGTGTCACATCACTGGCTAGTAATGTAACTTTGATCAAGCTATTTAGTGTCTCTAAGATGCAATTACCTAATCTGTAAAATGAGGATAATGTTACCTATGCCATAGATTGTTGTGAGGATTAAATGAGTTAATACTTGAAAAATGCTAGGCGAATAACTAGCACATAGCAAACAACCAAAATAGATAACTTTTACCCTTTATGAATAGATATTATTTTCAATGGAGCAATAAGGAGGGAAGGAGTTAAGAAACATATGTTCCAGAACTTCATCTTCTTTCAAGTAAAAAGACATTTTTAGAAAAATCATTTAAACATTGGAGCTTTTCTCTCATTTGTAAAATAGGGTATCACCTGATCTATAAATAGTACTAGTTGTGTGAATATTAATGTTGTCATATATTAAATATGTCTTGAAAACCTTAAGTACTAATCTTATGATGATTGATATTACTGTTATGTTGTAACTAAAATTTCACTGGGGGCAAATAAGTACTTAAAATCAAAATTTCATTGCTTTTGTAACCTTTATGAAGAAGTAATGATTAGTGGGAAGAAAAACAACTGGACAGTGTCTGGCAGGGACCTTTTCATTCAGGATGGATCACGTTGTACAATTTTCTTTCCACTGTTACTAGTTCTTAGGGGCAAAGTCTACAAACAAGGGAGTCTCTCCAGGGATGTACTGTGCCCCAGGCTACAGCATCATTCCCCCATTCACAGAGTCCCCTCAAAGGCAGCAAGATCCCTCAAAATAGCTTTAATTCTCCTGCTGAAAAAGCAACTTCATTTCCCAGAGTGATTAAATAAGATCATTAGAGGTCAAAATTGCATTACTCCTCAGTTTAAAATTATTCTTGACTATCATTCCTCTACAATTTTAAACAGGATTAAAGCAGGCCTAAGACACTTTCGCATTTTCCTCTCCTCATATTGGATCTAGTCCCTGTTTTATTGGCAATTGTAAAGTTGAAAATCTGGAAAATAATATATGTATCTCTTAACCACAGAGATTATTCCTAAACATATTTCAGAGTAATACTCTTTACATACTCCCATCTACTTTGACTTTCATTTAAGTATTTTTAACAGCTATGCTGTAGTTATGGTGAGCAATATATACACAGGAAAACGGAAGTTTGATAACTAGTGACACAATAAGTAGCTCCCTCTGTGGCCTGTGGCCTAAGCTGCACTTCTCGTATAGCCAAAAGTGGTTTGCAATCCCTGTAAGGTACCTAGCTGCTATCAGGTCAGGAATTTACCTAGCTCCTTGGGAAAGATGACCCAAGTGCCTTAAAGCTCTCTTAATTCAGTAATTATAATAGAATCAATAGAAGTGGTATAATTATAGAACCTTAAACCAAAAGCTCCAGGGAGATAGAGATGCGGTAGACTGGCCAATCACTGCCTCCCACCCCACACTCTCTGAGACTGTCTCCACCCAGAGCTCAAGCAGCTGTGTCTATACCAGGTGGCCACTCTCCTCATCCTCTACTCCCTTTCAAGCCAAGATGAACCCACCAAGAATCTGAACTAAAAAGCTTGAATCAGAAAGATGTAGGTAGGGCATCATCTGGCAAGGTCAGAGAAAGTCACAGCTGGAGCCAGGCCCCAAAGTAGTTCAAAAGCCAGAGGGTAGCTGGAGCAGATAAGCCTTGAGTGAGCACAGAACGTGGGGCTGCTGGGAGGAACAGGAAACTGGAGCACACTCATTGAGAGAGGCAACAACACGGGACCTTGAGGATCCAGGAGAGGCTGAGGGAACAGTTTCAGTCCTGACTTTCCAGTTCTGGGCCCATGTGGCCTGGTGAGACTTTGTTGCCTGTCCTTAATGAGACTCCCTGCTGTATCCCTACAGCAAACTTGCCTTTATTTCAGCTAGCTTCTGAGGGTTTCCTTTTCTGTAACTCAGCAATATGTAATAGATAGGCCTGATCCTCAGCCTTTATGGACAAGACCGCTGAAGACGGCGAAGCCACACTGTTGGCTAGTTCTAGAACCCAATTTGCCTTGTTCTTAGTTTTGTTCTATTACCCAGTCTATGTTGTTTTTTTTTTTAAATTTGAGACGGAGTCTCACTCTGTCATCCAGGCTGGAGAGCGGTGACACAATCTCAGCTCAGTGCAACCTCCACCTACCGGGTTCAAGCGATTTTCCTGCCTCAGCCTCCCAAGTAGCTGGGTCTACAGAAGCGTACCACCTCACCCCACTAATTATTGTATTTTTAGTAGAGGCGGGGTTTCACTATATTGGCCAGGCTGGTGTTGAACTCCTGACCTCAAGTAATCTGCCCACCTCGCACTCTATGTATTATTGAGCACTGAAAAAGTTAGATCTCAAAATAGTAAGCAATATTCCAGCATTGGTTTTGCTTATCATGAAAACTGTAAGTTAAACCAAGTTTGTTCCCACATAAAAACACACCTGATACAAATGCTTGCTTTCTGTCGGTTCACCTCTACCAAGGAATTGCAATTCCAACTAAACATAAAGAAGAGTGGCCTAAAAATAATTTGCATTCACAAGATATAGAAATTACTCATTTCTCGGTAAGTCCTGGCCCAGTATGTATATCCCATTTCCTCCCTTAAACTGTATCTTGCACCGGACTATTCACAGACACAATTTTTTAAAATTTAGTTTAATATCTGTCAAGTTCACTTTTATTACAAATATTACCCTTAGATGCATTTTCAAGCCTTTAAGGAAGAGATGTGGCAGTGGAACAGATACAAGAACTACTGAGTGTGTCATAAGGGGCGGTTGCCACCACTTCCTGTGCATGTCCTCTGAGTGACAGTGAAGAGGATGTGTGTGGGTAATGGCTCCCCGTATACCTGGGGGGCTATGTCACATGCAAGACAGAACACTGACAGGAACACCCCAATTGGAGTGGGTACTAATGTGAGCCAGGGCGCTTTTATCTTTCTTGAATGTTAATAAGGAAAGCAAGCTCAGAGGATGGTTTTGAACACTGAGGAAGAAGCACTGGCTTAGCTTCCTACATTGTGATGTTAATAGGTTTGGAAACTGGTTGTTTGGTAAGTTGCATCTGAAAGGTTCACCAGGTCCCAGGAAGTCTCTAGTGACCTAGAATTCAAGGTTGGATAGTTTCTGAACTCCTAAATATTGTGAACTGGCTAAAGGCAAGCTCTCTGAGTTAACCTAGGATTTTCTCTAGCATTCCACCCGTTAAGCAGAAGGTTTAGCACATGGAGAAGGAACAGAAATCAAGTATGCCTACAGAATGTGTAAGTTTGTTAGAATTAAAATTTGTCAACCAAGAATAAATGTTTAATGTTTTGGTATACCTTCAAAAAAGTTTAAAATTTGCATTAAGCCACAGAGTTAAAGATATCAGAATAATATGTTTGTTTTGCTCATATTTCTATAAGACACCAAAAATTACAATAAAATTCCTATTATACATTTTAGAATACTACATATGCACTGAAGATTAATCTTTTACAGTATCAGAAAATTCCATTATCTCATATAGTTACAATAGAATTTAAATTCTGGTTTAGCCCTCTCACAGATAAAATTAAGTATAGTTTTTATTGTGTTTAGATAATTTTACATTATTAAAATGTTTTCAAGAAGTACACTGGGACTGAAATCAAAATATTTTGGCAACTTGATTCAGAATTAAAGGTTTTTTGTTTGTTTGTTTGTGAGACAGGGTCTTACTCTGTCACCCAGGCTGGAGTGCAGTGGCATGATCTTGGCTCACTGCAACCTCCGCCTCCCAGGTTCAAGTGATTCTCCTGCCTCAGCCTCCCGAGTAGCTGGGATTACAGGCGCCTACCACCACACCCAGCTAATTTTTGTATTTTTAGTAGAGACGGGGTTTCACCATGTTGGCCAGACTGGTCTTGAACTCCTTACCTCAAGTGATCCACCCACCTCAGCTTCCCAAACTGCAGGGATTACAGGTGTGAGCCACCGCACCCGGCCAAAGGTTATTTTTTACACCTCTCTTTATTGAACAGAAATGTGACCTGTGAGACTGTTCATATTCCCCCAAGACAATCCATGTGCTTCCTTGATACACACATTAAAGACCATACAAGAGAAAGTTTTAGTCATCATGAAATCACGTCTATAACAAAAGTAGGACACAGCAGGATAAAACATGACCTCAGGACATCAAAACACTTTCCAGCTCTGAACCTACTAAACTTGACCCAACAGCAGTGGAAGAACTTTTGCCCATTAGTGACTCTCCTGAACAGGTGACCCTGAGGCCTAGAGTTTGGTCTCTAACACTACTGACCTTCAAAGGAAACAGAGTACCTTGGGGATAGCTGACTCCATGACATGGAGCATGAAGAAATCAAAATGGGTATGGAACATCCTGTTGTTTTCGGATAGCATGGATGCTTTTATAGAAGCATCAGAATGATGAAAGGACATTCAGGTCAACATAAAGGGACTCTGACCAAGCTGTGAGACTGAGCATTAAATATAAGCACAATGAGGCAGTTATAACACATAACAGTCTGTGATAGAAGTTTAACATTTTAGTAAGAAGGATGTTTATACAGGTTGAATATCCCTAATCGAAAAATCCCAAATCCAAAACTTTGTGAGTACTGACATGATGCTCAAAGGAAATGCTCACTGGGGCATTCTGGATTTTGGATTTTCAGATTTGGGATGCTCAACCAGTAAGTATAGGTATAGTGCAAATATTCCAAAATCCAAAAAAATCCAAAATCCAAAACATTTCCAGGCCTAACCATTTCAGATAAGGGATATTCAATATGTATTGGGTATTTTATTTCTTCTAATAATTATGTCTGTTTAAAATATTTAGGTATGTAGTTATTTCTATCTGGGTAAGTACCAAAGAATAAACATATGGAAGTGGTAATTTGGCCAAATCTTGACAGAAGGTACTAAAATGGAAAGTGGATTGATTAGCACAAAATAATAGGATGCATGGTGGGCACAAATTATAACCAGGTAGAAGGTGGCATTGGCAGTCATACACAATGACCAAGGAAGAAAGACAATTCAACATGTAATTTAAAATATGAATTACTCAGTGTCCTAAAGAGACAAGGTAACTATGAAAATTAAATCTCTCATTACTAAAAATGAAACCTCTAAAACCAAAAGTCCCAATAAAGAATACAAATATTTTAAATAACATAACAGATCAAAATACCCTAATGACATGCCAATAGGTTAGGTACTGTCAGCCATGCAAAACCTAATACATAATTACTGCAAAAGATACCAAGTTTCAAAGACAAAAATTCATAAGACATGGACTTAAAAATTTACCATTAAAAAAAGTCAGCTCCACACTGTGGCTTAGGTTTGAGTCATCCTCATCTAAATAATCAGACCACGCCCAGATCAAGATTCAGCTGGTCAAAAACCCACTTCCATTCCTTTTCCTTTAGTTCTGGTAAGAACACTGAAACCCAGGAAAGCAATAAAACTGAAAGATTAGGAATATATTAAGAATCATAGTATACTGGTAAATTATTAAACAGGTACAGAAATAATAAATTTTATAATCATTGTTTATATATGTCTTTTATCAGCTGTTTAAGGTGTTTCAAACTTCAGAGAATGGTACTCATTATGGCCAATCATTTCAAGACTCAGCCACACTAAATTTGTACTCACAGTTTAAATTTTTTCAGAAAATTTTATTAGTGAATTTTAGAACGTTTAAATGCTTAAGAAAAATTGGATTTTCTAAATTTGTTTTCAATGCGTGAATTGAATGAAGTGAAAATTAAACAAAATACATATAGTTTTGAGTATTCTATGTCCAAAAGTCCCTCTGACAATTAAACAATCAGTTTACAAATTCACACTTCAGAAGAGAAAGTCCATAATTACTGAATCCTAATAACCCTTATTAGAATCCAAAGGAATAAGTGATTTTAAAAGCACATAGAAAGACAAAGCTTGAGGTTATCTATTCTGACCAAAAACAGTATATAATTTCCTTGGTTTTAAAGACAAGTGAATCACAACTTAGTAGGAATCACATTTCCATATTAACCAGCTGGGTAGATGAGACATGATGTTTGATTGAGACTACCACATAGTCTCTCTTCTTCATTTATTTTATTTTTAGAGACAGGATCTCACTCTGTCACCCAGGCTGGAATACAGTGGTGTGACCACAGCTCACTGTAACCCCGAACTCCTGGGCTTAAGCAATCATCCTGCCTCAGCCTCCCCGAGTAGCTAGGACTACAGGAGTGAGTCACTGTGCCTGGCTCATACTCTCTCTTCTTCTAATCACAGTATTTTACTTGGTTGAAGGTAGGCCCCCAAGAGAAAAAAGAATCTGAAGTACAAAATGTTGGCTCAAGAAAGAAAGGACAACTCAGAAGGTCAGTACTTCAGAAAGGTACTGTTTGACCAGTGGCCAGATCTCTAAGAACATCATGGAATTGTAAGGATACCTCTCAAAGAAAGAAAAGCATTAGTCACATTTAACCTGATCCACACAAATCAATACAAAAATAATACTAGAAAAATAGTCTGATTTTGGCAAATCATCCAAGTGATTATATTCACTGTACTTAGCCCATTCCAGGTGAAAATACAAAAAAAAAAAAAAAAAGTAGAAAAGAGTTCATCTGCCTTGTTAGATTTATGAGTGCTACCTTCTTGACATTTGTTCCTGAGTGAATGAAAGAAGAAATTAATCTAGGGAAGAACCTCTCCCCCTTAAAAACAAAACAAAACAAAAAACAGAAACAGCTTCAGGAACAGGAATACAAGTACTCCATTTGTAAAATTAAGCACAACATAATTAATTCAGCTCAGCTGCTGGTATCACACTGACCTCAACTGATTATACAACTTTTTAAGTCATGAAGATTAACCTGAAATTAGAAAGCCTTAAGGGGGAGCCAGTATTCAGAGTGATCCTCAATATGGCCAATTGTTCTATACATTTATAAATACCATATTGATATCCTGAAGGTCCTCTGTGGAGTTGAAGAAGGTGAGATTTGACCAGAAAGCTTTTCCCAACTATGACTTTTTTCTCATCTCTTCATCCCAGTCACAATCAAATGCTTCATCACCTAGTTCTGGTAAAGTGAAGAGGGATTCTTTGGAAACAATCAGTTTCTCGGTGGACCCACGGAGCTGAAAAGATTTCCTTTTACTGACACGCATTGGAGCTGTGGTTGTAGGAGGGGAGCTTGGGCCTCTCTCACCTCGGTTCTTCCTTTCAGGAGGAGGGGATTTTGATTTGGATTCCGATGGGGGAGTAAAGCAGAAGTTTGCCAATCTGGCTAATGTGCAGGCATGAACCTTGCCGCTTTTATTACTGCCTGAAACCTCTTCCTTTTTGTCTCCCTCACAAGTAAGATGAGCACACCCAGTCTCGTTCCCAAGCTCTAATTCAGGCTGAATAATCCTCTTCTCAGGGGCACACATCACCTTCTCTCTTGGTCCGTGTTTCTCTGGTGGCTGCTGCGACACCTCCTTTGTCTCACCCTGTGGCTGACTGGAGATCTGGTTTCCTGGGGTAGATGTTAACTTTCCTGGACGCTTCACCGGCAAGGCTGCGTCTCTTCTTGTTCTACGCTGGGAAATTTTAGGACTATGAACTGCTATTTTAGTTGCACCAGGTGACACATGGCTGTGATCTTCAAAGGAGTGGATCAGTTTTGACTTCTGCTTGAAAGTAAATTTTGCCAGTTTGGCCACAGGGGAACCTGGAGGCTTAACATTTTCAATTGCAGGCTCTTCCACTTGCGCAAGGGATTTCGGTCTCTTTCTTTTGGGTGAGTCCAGCATTCTGTCTGGGCTATGTACAGGAGTGGACTGAGGATGGGAAGGGACTGTGCACTGTGCAGGCACCCTGGTGCTATTTCTGCACAACTTCTGGGCCCTCTCTTTGCACAGCTTCTGCAGGTTCCTGGGGACATGATGAGTCAGTACTGAGTCTGGTTTATCAGCAGAGACTGCTGCTTCAGAATCTAGTGCTAGCCTTTTTTTCTTGTTACTTTCCACATTGTCTGCCCTCCATGGAACACCTGTCTCTCCTGGTGATGGAAGCAACCCAATGTCCACTTTGCTCCTTTGGCCTGGCTCACTCTTCTCCTTACCCTGAGATGTGCTGTTAGAGATCTTCGAAGCCATATTTTCTCCAGATGTTTTGGGATGAGGAGACACAACAACAGTGTTTTTAGGTTCACTCTGATGAGTTGCCATGAAATCAAACCAATCTAAACTGTCATCTCTGTTATTTTTGTGCTGAGCTGAATGTTTCCTACTTGTTGATCTATTAGGCTCCAGATGCGGTGGGGGATCTAGAACTGGGCTTCCCTCGGGGCTGCCTCCAGGAGAGAAGATATGTGTGCTATAGTTGATTTCCTGCTGTGATGAAGTTCTGAAGTTTGATTCTTCCCCTGGACCATTTCTCAAGGATCCTGGAGTAGTCTCTACCTCCAATACCCGTGGTTGGGATTGGTGCACACTCTGATTCTGTAACCTGTAGCAAAGACAAATAAATAAAACATGTCTTGAAGGGAAGAGAATTTGTGCTAACCTATTCATTTCTTTAGTCTCTGAGATACCATCTTAAAGATTTAAGTCCCACATAATTCCAAGTTAATATCAAATACAACCTCCTAGAGCAGCAGAATGAAATAATCCTTTTTTAAATCAATATACAATTTACATACTCAGATAAACACTAATTTAACCTAAAATTGTAGTAAAATAAAGAAAATGAAATCGGAGATTTGTCTACATTTTTAGATCTCTCCAAAAGTCCAATTCATTCATTTAAGATTGTTTGAAGATCAGTGTAAAATCCTCAGCTTTATCTCTCATGTTAAATGTTCAAATACAAGACAGACCTGTTGCTACCCACACAGTAGCTGATTGCTGACCAAGTAGGTTGTTGGCTAACTTGCTTAGTAGTCAGTTTGCAGATCAAGGAACCAAAGTGAAAGACTGGGGATTATGAGGTCTCACATCTCTTTACCCAGTTGAGGTACTGAGTGCATCTGAGCAGTCACCTTCCTCAGGAGTCAAGAGTCTGTGATACTTCTGTACTGGTGCTCACACTGCCGCCTCCTGTACTCCCATTCATGGCAGACCTCCCCAGGCAACTGTGACAATCTTTCCTGCAAAGCCCAGGCATGTTTAAACATATTTACTGGGCAGCTACTCTTTTATCAATTTGATACAGAATTAAAATCTATTTACTTTCTACGAATGAAAGATCTGTTCAGTGATAATCATTTTAAATGATTTTAAATCATTTTAAATATCTTGGGCATATTAGAAACTGAAATATTGCCAGAAGGACAACTTTCTTGTTTTTTTTTACTTTAAGTTCTGGGATACATTTGCAGAACATGCAGGTTTGTTACATAGGTATACATGTGCCATGGTGGTTTGCTGCACCTATCAACCCATCATTTAGGTTTTAAGCCCCACACGCATTAGGTATTTGTCCTAATGCTCTCCCTCCCCTTGTACCCCACCCCCCAAAAGGCCCCAGTGTGTGACATTCTCCTCCCTGTGTCCATGTGTTCTCATTGTTCAATTCCCACTTATGAGTGAGAACATGTGGTGTTTGGTTTTCTGTTCCTGTGTTAGTTTGCTGAGAATGATGGTTTCCAGCTTCATCCATGTCCCTGCAAAGGATATGAACTCATCCTTTTTTATGTCTGCATAGTACTCCATGGTGTATATGTGCCACATTTTCTTTATCCAGTGTATCATTGATGGGCACTTGGGATGGTTCCCAGTCTTTGCTATTGTAAATAGAGCTGCAATAAACATACGTGTGCATGTGTCTTTACAGTAGAATGATTTATAATCCTTTGGGTGTATACTCAGTAATGGGATTGCTGGTTCAAATGGTATTTCTGGTTCTAGATCCTTGAGGAATCGCCACACTGTCTTCCACAATGGCTGAACTAATTTACACTCCCACCAACAACGTAGAAGCATTCCTATTTCTCCACAGCCTAGCCACCATCTGTTGTTTCCTGACTTTCTAATGATCACCATTCTAACTGGTGTAAGATGGTATCTCATTGTGGTTTTGATTTGCATTTCTTTAATGACCAGTGATGATGAGCTTTTTTTCATGTTTGTTGGCTGCATGAATGTCTTCTTTTGGGAAGTGTCTGTTCATATCCTTCACCCAGTTTTGATGGCTTTTTTTCTTGTATATTTTTTTAAGTTCCTTGTAGATTCTGGATATTAGCCCTTTGTCAGATGGATAGATTGTAAAAATTTTCTCACATTCTATAAGTTGCCTGTTCACTCTGATGATAGTTTATTTGGCTGAGCTGAAGCTCTTTGGTTTGATTAGATCCCATTTGTCAATTTTAGCTTTTGTTGCAATTGCTTTTGGTATTTTAGTCATGAAGTCTTTGCCCATGCCTATGTCCTGAATGGTACTGCCTAGGTTTTCTTCTAGGGTTTTTATGGTTTTAGGTTTAAAATTCAAGTCTTTAATCCAACTTGAGTTAATTTTTGTATAAGGTGTAAGGAGCAGGTCCAGTTTCTGTTTTCTGCATATGGCTAACCAGTTTTCCCAGCATCATTTATTAAATAGGGAATCCTTTCCCCCTTGCTTATTTTTGTGAGGTCTGTGGAAGATCAGATGGTTGTAGATGTGTGGTGTTATTTCTGAGGCCTCTGTTCTGTTTCATTGGTCTATATATCTGTTTTGGTACCAGCACCATGCTGTTTTGGTTACTGTAGCCTGCAGTATAGTTTGAAGTCAGGTAGCGTGATGCCTCCAGCTTTGTTCTTTTTGCTTAGGATTATCATGGCTATACCGGCTCTATTTTGGTTCCATATGAAATTTAAAGTAGTTTTTCCTAGTTCTGTGAAGAAAGTCAACGGTAGCTTGATGGGAATAGCATTGAATCTATAAATTACTTTAAGCAGTACAGCTATTTTCACAATATTGATTCACCCTATCCATGAGCATGGAATGTTTTTCCATTTGTTTGTATCCTCTCTTATTTCCTTGAGCAGTGGTTTGTAGTTCTCCTTGAAGAGGTCTTTCACATCCCATGTAAGTTGTATTCCTAGGTATTTTATTTTCTTTGTAGCAATTGTGAATGGAAGTTCACTGATGATTCAGCTCTCTATTATTGGTGTATAGAAATGCTTGTGATTGGTGCACATTGATTTTGTATCTTGAAACTTTGCTGAAGTTGTTTATCAGCTTAAGGAGTTTTGGGGTGAGATGATGGGGTTTTCTAAATATACAATCATGTCATCTGCAAACAGAGACAATTTAGCTTCCTCTCTTCCTATATGAATATCCTTTATTTCTTTCTCTTGCCTGATTGCTCTGGCCAGAACTTCCAATACTATGTTGACTAGGAGTGGTGAGAGAGGGCATCCTTGTCTTGTGCCAGTTTTCAAGGGGAATGCTTCCAGCTTTTGCCCATTCAGTATGATATTGGCTGTAGGTTTGTCATAAATAGCTCTTATTATTTTGAGATACTTTCCATCAACACCTAGCTTATTGAGAGTTTTTAGCACGAAGGGGTGTTGAATTTTATTGAAGGCATTTTCTGCATCTATTGAGATAATCATGTGGTTTTTGTCACTGGTTCTGTTTATGTGATGGATTACGTTTGTTGATTTGTGTATGTTGAACCAGCCTTGCATCCCAGAGATGAAGCTGACTTGAACATGGTGGATAAGCTTTTTGATGTGCTGCTGTATTCAGTTTGCCAGTATTTTATTGAGGATTTTCACATCAATGTTCATCAGGGATACTGGCCCGAAATTTTCTTTTTTTATTGTCTCTCTGCCAGGTTTTGGAATCAGGATGATGCTGGCCTCATAAAATGACTTAGTGGGGAGTCCCTCTTTTTCTATTGTTTGAAATAGTTTCAGAAGGAATGATACCAGCTCCTCTTTGTACCTCTGGTAGAATTTGGCTGTGAATCTGTCTGGTCCTGGACTTTTTTTGGTTGGTAGGCTATTAATTACTGCCTCACTTTCAGAACTTGTTATTGGTATATTCAGGGATTCAACTTCTTCCTGGTTTAGTCTTGGGAGGGTTTATGTGTCCAGAAATTTATCCATTTCTTCTAGATTTTCTAACTTATCTGCATAGAGTTGTTTACAGTATTCTCTAATGGTAGTTTGTATTTCTGTGGGATCAGTTGTGGTATCCCCTTTATCATTTTTTTATTGTGTCTATTTGATTCTTCTCTCTTTTCTGCTTCATTAGTATGGCTAGCGGTCTATCTATTTTGTTAATCTTTTCAAAAAACCAGCTCCTGGATTCACTGATTTTTTGAAGGGTTTTTCGTGTCTCTATCTCCTTCAGTTCTGCTCTGATCTTAGTTATTTCTTGTCTTCTGCTAGCTTTTGAATTTGTTTGTTCTTGCTTCTCTAGTTCTTTTAATTGTGATGTTAGGGTGTCAATTTTAGTTCTTTCCCTCTTTCTCCTGAGGGCGTTTAGTGCTATAAATTTCCCTCTGAACACTGCTTTAGCTGTGTCCCAGAGATTCTGGTATGTTTTGTCTTTGTTTTCATTGGTTTCAAAGAACTTATTTATTTCTGCCTTAATTTCATTATTTACCCAGTAGTCATTTGGGAGCAGGCTGTTCAGTTTCCATGTAGTTGTGCAGTTTTGAGTGAGTTTCTTAATCCTGAGTTCTAATTTGATTGCACTGTGGTCTGAGAAACTGTTTGTGATGATTTCCAATCTTTTGCATTTCCTGAGGAGTGTTTTACTTCCAATTCTGTGGTCAATTTTAGAATAAGTGCTATGTGGTGCTGAGAAGAATGTATATTCTGTTCATTTGGGGTAGAGAGTTCTGTAGATGTCTATTAGGTCCACTTTGTCTACAGCTGAGTTCAAGTCCTGAATATCCTTGTAAATTTTCTGCCTCATGGATCTATCTAATACTGACAGTGGGGAGTTAAAGTCTCCCACTATTATTGTGTGGGAGTCTAAGTTTCTTTGAAGGTCTCTAAGGACTTCTTTTATGAATCTGGGTGCTCCTGTATTGGGTGCATATATATTTAGGATAGTTAGCTCTTCTTGTTGCATTGATCCCTTTACCATTATGTAGTACCCTTCTTTGTCTTTTTTGATCTTTGTTGGTTTAAAGTCTGTTTCATCAGAGACTAGGATTGCAACCCCTGCTTTTTTTTTGCTTTCCATTTGCTTGGTAAATATTCCTCCATTCCTTTATTTTGAGCCTATGTGTGTATTTGCTCGTGAGATGGGTCTCCTGAATACAGCACACTGATGGGTCTTGACTCTTTATCCAATTTGCCAGTCTGTGTCTTTTAATTGGAGCATTTAGCCCATTTACATTTAAGGTTAATATTGTTATGTATGAAGTTGATCCTGTTATCATGATGCTATCTGGTCAATTTGCACATTAGTTGATGCAGTTTCTTCATAGCATCAACGGTCTTTACAATTTGGTATGTTTTTGTAGTGGCTGGTACCAGTTTTTCCTTTCCATATTTAGTGCTTCCTTCAGGAGCTCTTGTAAGGCAGGCCTGCTGGTTACAAAATATTTCAGCATTTGCATGTCTGTAAAGGATTTTATTTCTCCTTCACTTATGAAGCTTAGTTTGGCTGGATGTGAAATTCTGGGTTGAAAATTCTTTTTAAGAATTTTGAATATTGGCCCCCACTGTCTTCTGGCTTGTAGGGTTTCTGCCGAGAGATCTGCGGTTAGTCTGATGGGCTTCCCTTTGTAGGTAACCTGACCTTTCTCTCTGGCTGCCCTTAACATTTTTTCCTTCATTTCAACCTTGGTGAATCAGATGAGTATATGTCTTGGAGTTGCCCTTCTCGAAGAGTATCTTAGTGGTGTTCTCTGTATTTCCTGAATTTGAATGTTGGCTTGTCTTGCTAAGTTGGGGAAGTTCTCCTGGAAAATATCCAAGTGTGTTTTCCAACTTGGTTCCATTCTCCCCATCATTTTCAGGTATACCAATCAATCTTAGGTATGGTCTTTTCACACAGTCCCATATTTCTTGGAGGTTTTATTCATTCCTTTTCATTCTTTTTTCTTTTCCTAATCTCATCTTCATGCCTTATTTCAGTAAGTTGATCTTCAATCTCTGATATCCTTTCTCACGCTTGATTGATTTGAGTACTGATACTTGTGTATGCTTCATGAAGTTCTCGTGCTGTGTTTTTCAGCTCCATCAGGTAATTTACGCTTCTTTCTAAACTGGTTATTCCAGTTAGCAGTTCCTGTAATCTTTTATCAAGGTTCTTAGCTTCCTTGCATTGGGTTAGAACATGCTCCTTTAGCTTGGAGGAGTTTGTTATTACCCACCTTCTGAAGCCTACTTCTGTCAATTCGTCAATCTCATTCTCTGTCCAGTTTTGTGCCCTTGCTGGAGAGGAGTTGCAATCATTTGAAGAGGCATTCTGGTTTTTGGAATTTTCAGCATTTTTGTGCTGGTTTTTCCTCATCTTCGTGCATTTATCTACCTTTGATCTTTGAGCTGATGACCTTAGGATGGGGTTTTTGTGTGGGGGCCCTTTTTGTTGATGTTGTTGTTTTTGCTTTCTGTTTGCTAGTTTTTCTTCTAATAGGCCCCTCTTCCACAAGTCTGCTGCAGTTTGCTAGAGGTCCACTCCAGACCCTGTTTGCCTGGGGTATCACCAGTGGAGGGTGCAGAACAGCAAAGATTGCTGCCTGCTCCTTCCTCTGGAAGCTTTGTCCCAGAGGGGCACCAGCCTGATGCCAGCAGAGCTCTCCTACATGAAGTGTCTGCTGAACCCTGCTGGGTGGTCTCTCTCAGTCAGGAGGCACAGGGGTCAGGGACCAACCTGAGGAAGCAGTCTGTCCCTTAGCAGAGTGTGCTGCTAGAATCCTCCTAGTTAGGATCAGCTGCTCTCTTCAGAGCTGGCAGGCAGGAAAGTTTTAGTCTGCTGAAGCAACACCCACAGCTTCCCCTTCCCCCAGGTGCTCTGTCCCAGGGAGTTTTATCTGCAAGCCCCTGACTGGGGCTCCTTTCTTTCAGAGATGCCCTGCCCAGTGAAGAGGAATCTAGAGAAGGTATCTGGCCACAGCCAATTCGCCACACTGTGGTGGATTCCACCCAGTCCAAACCTCCTGGCCTCCTTAGCACTGTCAGAGGAAAACCGCCTACTCAAGCCTCAGTAACGGGGGACACTCCTCCCCCTACAAGCTCGATCATCCCAAGTCGACTTCAGAATGGTGTGCTGGCAGCAAGAATTTCAAGCCAGTGGTTCTTGGCTTGCTAGACTCCATGGGAGTGGGACCCACTGAGACCATTCAGCTCCCTGCCATCAGCCCCCTTTCCAGGGGAGTGAATGGTTCTGTCTCGCTGGGGTTCCAGGTGCCACTGGGGTATGAAAAAAAACTCCTGAAGCTAGCTCAGTGTCTGCCCAAATTGCCACCCAGTTTTGTGCTTGAAACCCAGGGCCCTGGTGGTGTAGGCTCATGAGGGAATCTTCTGATCCGTGGATTGCAAAAACCATGGGAAAAGCGTAGTATCCAGGCCAGGTAGCACAGTCCCTCACTGCTTTCCTTGGCTGGGGGAGGGAAGTCCTCCGGGTCCTTGTAAGTCCAGGGTGAGGTGATGCCCCACCCTGCTTCTGCTCACCTTCTGTGGGCTGCACCCACTGCCTAACCAGTAGTCCCAATGCGATGAACTGGGTACCTCAGCTGGAAACGCAGAAATCACCTGCCTTCTGCATTGGTCTTGCTGGGAGCTGCAGACCACAGCTGTTCCTATTTGGCCATCTTGCCAGATCTCATATTTTCATTTCAAATTTCCCTTTGGTCATGAGGGAGGATGACTTCCTAATAAGGATTGTAGTTCCCTAGAAGTAGGTCCTTTAGAAAGCCTTTCCTGACAACCTAGAAATGCCTTTTTCTTATAAAGTACAATATGATCCCTCTTCTACGTGCTTACTTTGAAAAGATATTATACCAGAAAGCAGATGAGTAAGTTATTCTAAAATTCATGTATAATCATAGAAAATATAAGGAAATACCTTATATTTAAATATATTTAAATACATTAAAATGTTAATGGTATATATCTCTGGGAAATAAGACTACATGTGATTTTTTTGTTTTCTAATTAATTCATCACTGCTACTTTTAAAAATACAAAATAAAAACATGCATTACCTTTATAATCAGAAAAAAAGCCCCCAAAATTATTGTAAACATATTGGGTTACATTCATTCACAGTAGGTTTGAAAATATCAATAAGCAAACCCACCTTTTTTTTTTTTTTTTTTTTTTTTTTTTTTTTTTTAGACAGAGTCTCTCTCTGTCACCCAGGCTGGAGTGCAGTGGCACGATCACGGCTCACTGAAACCTCTGCCCCCCGGGGCAAACCCATGTTCATTTTTACTAATTTGAGTTACAACCAAACAAAAAAGCAAATAGCTTTCAAAATTACTACTACCTAGCATACTTTTCAGCATCAAATTGAGGTCAGGGATACTGATAATTGTTAAAGTTCTGCAAAAATCTCCTAAAAGATGAGAATAAGTTAGGGTAGACTAAGCCCTATTATTTTAGTCTTTCTTTTTTTTTCAGATGGAGTTTCACTCAATCTTGGCTCACTGCAACCTCCACCTCTTGGGTTCAGGCAATTCTCCTGCCTCAGCCTCCCGAGTAGCTGGAATTACAGGCGCCCGCCAACACACCCAGCTAATTTTTGTATTTTTAGTAGAGACAGTGTTTCACCATGTTGGCCAGGCTGGTCTTGAACTCCTGACCTCAAGTGATCTGCCCACCTTGGCCTCACAAAGTGCTGGGATTACAGGTGTGAGCCACCGTGCCCCGCCTGCACTCTGTTTTGAGGCACATAGAATGGCCGAGTCAGACTGTCACCAGTATAAAGCATTTTCTGGAAGTAAAGCATGATAAAACTATAAATGGTTTCATTATAATTATCTCCTTAAGGAACAGAGAACTCTTTCCAAAACAGTAAAAACTCATATGCTGGTTGGGTTTTTTCTCACTTGATAAGATTAGCATTAGATTGTGCCTTGGAGGTAATTCACTTTCATTTGCATAGTACCTGGTTTTGTTGCTTTCAGGAGGATCAACACCAGAACATGCCTCTACATTATAAATAAATACCAGTAGAAAAAAACATTTTAAGGTAGAATCCTGTCTTTTAGATTGTCAAATACTCTTTCGTTTTTCCTTTCTTTCCCTCCAGGAGGGTCATTTTAAATTTGGGAAGTCTAATTGCCATCTTTCTAATTCATAACAATGATTCTGGGCCTCACTTTTTCTCCTTTCCCGAATCCAGCATATGTCAGTTTCTGGTAGCTTGGATCAGTCAAAATGAGCAGCCTCTCCAAAAGCAAAGCCAAGCCCAGGAGCGGCTTGAAAAGAATCAGCTACATCAAATCATAAACAACCCAAAGGAATAACTTTGATCTTGGCACCATGTTCTGGATCATAAAATGAGCCAGGAGACCAAAAGAAAGAGGGGCGAATTTTATACAAAGTGCAAGTTTACTGCAGTCTGGCACCTGGCTATTAACAGGATAATGCCCATCCCCGCACTTCCCCAGGAAGGCTGTGCTGAAGTTTCAAAAACTAGAAAGAGAAGGATGCTGTGAGAAGGAAGAATTCTCAAGGATTTTTTTTTAACGTAGTCAACAGTCTCAATGTGGTCCCCAAATTCTTTGCAGCTGTTCCACTTTTTCATGTACTTCATTCACCAGACCCCGGCTTTGAGACCAACACCAGTAAGAGCTGCAGGTCAATTATTAAGCCATTCACACTGATCATGAAGACACCAAAAATGGATAAACTTGCCATTCCTCACTCCTATTTCTCAGGCTTACACGCAAAACCTAGGTTTTTAGAAGTCCACATATTTCGGGAGTATGCGAACATTAATAGTTTGGGCAAAATTTTTTTGGTAGAGTCCACATTCACACTAAGGCATGTGACATGTTTCTTCCCATGTATCCTCCTTGTCTATTATTCACATTTTAATGAGTCATTAGAAAGGTAAGTTTTGAAATGTTGCTTCTGTCATTGCTGAGTTGTTATCTCAGCCAACACAATGTGGAGCAAAGACAAGCTATCCCCACCGAGCCTGCCTGAATGTCTGATACCCAGAAAAGTGAACACTAAAATGCTGGTGGGGGTGGTGTTCGCAGTCACTGAGTTTTGGAGCAGTTGATTATACAGCAGTAGAAAACTGAAACAGTCTCCTATAGATAGTATCTGCCTGTCCTAAGAACTTACTGACCCAACACCTGATAGATAGATTTTTCCACTTAATGCACACTTGCTTTGTTTCACTAAATGCCAAACAAGGATTTTCCATTGTATGCCTTTCTGGGTTTTCATTCCTCACCTTTCAAGTCTTCTAAGCTCTTCACTCAAGAGGCTCTGCAGCTCTAGCTTTTCCAGAATAAGTTCACACTGTCTCTGGTACTGCTCTCCAGGGTTTTCAGGAAAGGAAGTGTGGAGGGCATTCACACCTCCTAGCAGTGCACCTCCCTGAAGGGGTGAGAAAATACCAGGAGAGTCACCAGGCCAGCCTGCATAGCGGTAAGTACACTCTAGGGACCAGCAATCCCCGGGGGCTAAGACCGCCGTTTACACCCCTATACTGGGTATGAAAATCACTTGGGAGGCTTTTTCAACTTTCTATAGTTCACTCCCCCAGTTCTTGGTGGCAATCATTGCTCTAGGAAGCTATACTGTCACTGGTGGGCTATGAACATCTCTCAGGTGTGTTGAGGAAAAAAACGATCGAAGCGCACTACTTTACATCAATAGGCAAAAGCAATGCCACCCATGCAGCAAATATCTCCAGGACACTGTTTCCTCTTCATTTAATCGGTTACCTTTGGATATATTTCCAGGAATTACTAAGTCTAGAATATGAGCATTTTAATAACTTTTGATATGTTAATAAAGTGTCCTTTTTTAAAAAAAAGAAAGTTTGTAATTAGGATAAAAATTAGGTACACAAAATATCCTTACCTGCATTGAGGACTCCATGACTGACACCACCGTAATAGCGTCTTCCAGAGTTACAGTATCACGAAACATCAGGCGAGCATGAGCTAAGAAAACAAAACACATTTGTTTTTTAGGAATATTTGAGGTGAGAAATGTAATTCTCTAACTTCCTCCTCCTCACCATTTGTATTTTATGAATGAGCTATTAATAACAACATAATTTTACTAGAACAAGCACAAAAGTCAACATTCAACTAGCTTTAAGGATGTTTCTATAATGAGCCTAATCCTTCTGTGTAGCCCACACAATCTTGTATATTTATATGAAAAAGTACTCTGGGCTCTAGCAAAAAAACGGGCTATATAAACATACATTTAATATTCAGCAACTTTAGTCCTCATTTTCTAGTCTTTTATAAAACTACACAAAATTAAAACTCATTTTTCATTTCTGGCACTCCTCTTTATGATCTATGAGCTTTTCAAAGCTACCAAACAAGCAATTCTAAATTCTGAGTATTTCTTGCCCTAATATTAGCTATAAATCCTTGAAAAAAGAAAGTCCATTTGTTTTACAGTATTTTTTATTAAGCTTGTATTATTTTATTTTATTATTCAGTTCATGTGAATTCTTTTTTTAGATTTAAACAAAAGCTAAAATGTAAAAGCCAATGTTAGAAGAAAAGAATTAAGATACATGTTAGCTATATGTATATATGTAATGGGGCAGGGCATGGCATTGTCAAGTTGGTTGCTATAATGACAGGGGTGGACTGCAACTGGCAATTAATGAGCAAGAACTAGTGATGCTATATGGGAAACAATTCCAAACAAGAAACTGTCCTACTCAAAATGCTAACAGAGCTACCACTGAGAAACAAAATATCAGAAGTAAGGCTTTCTAAGTGAATGGTATATTAAGTTCTAGGAGGTCCCGAGATGGCACAAAGATTCCTCTTTCTTAATGACACCACATTCCAGTCAATACTCATAATCTGTCCTCAGAGGAGCAGAGATCTTCTGGCTCAGAGCCTTTATTTTTAAGTGACTATGAGCACCTTAGAGTGGGAGTTATTCTCATTCAACTTTGAATCCATGGTGCCAAGCCCCATGCCTTGCACACACGCAGCATTCAATACAAGCATCATTCGCTGAATGAAATAGACCTTCTGCTAATCGTATCAAGCTTTCCAACAGCCGAATGGTGGTCCGGGCAGCGTTCCGGCAATCACTCTGCCTTTGCATCTGGTAGTACCGGAGAAGAACCTGATTGCCCACATCAGACAGTGTGGGCTGCAGATTCCTTATGAGGCAGAAATAGGTTTTCATCTTTTCCATGCTCCAGAGCTTCTCTGATTTGCTTGGGTAACCTGTATGTATCAGGTGTTGGGTCAGTAAGTTCTTAGGACAGGCAAACATCTCATTTTAAGGATTTTTATAAAGTTCTGGTACTCATTTGTTAAAAGATAACCTTCATGTTTTGTGGTTATTGAAATCTAGACTTGTCTGCATAGCATACAATCAGCATCTTATGATCTAAGCTTAATAAAGGTAAGCTTCCTGCCTTTATTAAAAATTATTCAGAATAATTCTGGTCTGCCCAGTAATCAATAATATTCAAATACATCTATTTTTTTTTTTTTGAGATGGAGTCTCACTCTGTCACCCAGGCTGGAGCGCAGTAGCACGATCTCTGTTCACTGCAACCTCTACCTCCTGGGATCAAGCAATTCTCCTGCCTCAGCCTCTGCAGCAGCTGGGATTACAGGTGTGCACCACCACGCCCAGCTGATTTTTGAATTTTAGTAGCGATGGGGTTTCATCATGCTGGCTAGGCTGGTCTTGAACTCCTGACCTCAGGTGATCCACCTGTCTCAGCCTCCCAAAGTGCTGGGATTACAGGCGTGAGCCACCACGCCCGGCCTGAGTAAATCTGATTTAAAGAGAAGCCTACATTTAGAGATTTGTTTCACAATTCATTCTGGTTTTATATGCAAGAGGTGAGCGTTAATTCTGTATCATAAGGTTGTCCCCTTTCATCATAAGGCACATATTTATAACAACTTTAGTCTCATTAGTGGCAGGTAGAGAAAGGCCCTTTTCCTTCAACTCAGTATTCTGAGGCCCCGTAAGTGGCTCCTCTCACTGCTTTCTGTCTAAGCTTTTCTCTATTGCCTGGTACTACATAGCCTATCTTGGGTATTTATTTAATTTTCTTGAAAGGGAATTTCTTTTAGTTACAGCTAATCTCTCTGTTATTTTGAATGCTTTGTTTGTCTTCACGTACCTTTATTTTCTAAGATAAAGGAGGAAATGATACGATCCCAGTCTTCATTCTTGGTATCAAGCAAAACCAGGATCAGGTCAAATCGACTTAAGAGTGGGCTGCCGAGGGCAATGTTCACAGACACGGACTCCTGGGGGTCGTACTGGCCTTTGGGGTTCGTTGCTGCCAGGATGGTGGTCCTTGTGTTCAGCTTGCACACGAGGCTGCCAGGAGAGACAGTACAATTCACTGATTGTGAGGTTCAGATAAAATGCAAGATTACAGCTGTTAATAAAATGGGGCTGCTCTTGCACCTTGAAAATCTACGAACTCCTATGAAAGAAAATGTAGAATGACAGAAGGAGATATCACAAACATCAACTTCCAACAAAGTATACTGAAACTATTCTATCTTAAAGAGAAGTAACCGTTCAATAAACACTTTTTATGCCCCTGCTATGAGGAGACCCCTTTGCTAAGTGCTAAGAAGTATCCAAAATTAAACCAAACTCTTCTTAAGGGGCTTGCAATCTACTAGCTATAATGTAACACAAGGCAGAATATGGTTAAGTTCTAAAAGAATAAAGTTCCCAGGGGAAATAGGGATGATGTATATTCATCTATGTGGATAGAAAAGATGAACACAGAAGCAAACACTGTGAAGCAGCTTTTGAACTGAACCTTTCAAGACCTCTGGACATTTTTAGGTGGAGAAAGACAGGCATTTGCAGAGGGGGTGAGGGTAGAGAGTGAGGATGACTCTGGAGAATAGTGAGTGGTTGAGGCAAAAACTTTCTGTGTATTCACTCATTTTGTTTTGATTTTTTTTCTAAACACGAAAGAAACAAAAAAGAGAGAAAGAGGGAGGGAAAGGAAATCAGAAAATATGATTGATTTGGCATTGAGTTTTTGAGGAGCCATTGTGAAGGGAAGTCTGATGAGGACTGGGTTGGTGAGTGGGTTGGACAGGAAAGGACTGTGGACAGGATGCAGGGTAGGGGCTCTAGTACAATGGTCCAGTAGAGGGACAAGGTAGTCCTAAATGGAGCGTGGCAGGATAGGGATGGATGTGACATAACTTAGATATTGTTTTTAAACTAATTAATGATGGGCTAGTTCTCAAAATAATGTGACATATTCATTGGCAATAACAAATGTAAAAATTTGAATCTGTAAATTTGTATGCTGTGCACTTGATGCCCATTTTTAGTTATAGTGGGATGTCTGCCTCCCAAGTCACAGCCCTATGACATCAGCAACATGTATTACATTTGTTAATCCCTGATCTATTTCTAGCTAGCAGCTACTTCATTCCCTGAGGCTGAAAATGTTTGAGAATCTTTATTTGTGGCAAGTGGCACAAGAAGACACTGATTAAATAAATAAGAGAAAGATAAACAAGGCATTTTTACCAAAAACTAAATTCCCTTTTAAAAAATTAGTGACAAGGAAAAATTCTGGACAGTCCACATCTTATAATTTATGTGTCAAAATGGCTTTTGTAAAGACAGTTGTTTAGAACTTGGAATATAATTTGCCATAGAACAATGTAATAAGCGGTTCCTAAGTAACCCACAAAAGCACATTTAACCCACACTGAAGACGGACTATTTGTATTTCTTATTTAAAAATGTCCACAACACTGGCAATGAAACAAAATACAATTGCATATGACATAATTTTTATAAAATTATTTTTAATGCTAGGTCAAATGAATTGTTCATTCATCCTCTCTCTGACCAACCAATATTTATAGACCATTTCCTTTGTGCAAAAAGCTGTACTGAGAATCCAAAAAGGTACATATCTGATCTCTGCTGCCAATTAGTTTACAACAGAACTGCTGGGGAAAGAAGAGGTGGAGCAGAGTGCCTGCCAGATCGTAAGTGTGCAAGGAGTGCTGGTGTCAGTATCAGCATTAGTATCAGCAGGGAGAAACTTCGGTGGGGACACCTGGAGATCTATAGGGGATATAATTGGAGAGTTTTCCAATGTATGAGAAGAAAAATGAACACAGAAAGAAGGTGGTAAATTATGCCTAAGGTAACTGGGGGAATTAATTTTTCCATTAGAAAAGCTTAAGCTTAAGAATCATGCTGGTGGATCGCCAGAGCTCAGGAGTTTGAAACCAGCCTAGTCAACATGGTGAAACCCCATCCCTACTAAAAATACAAAAAATAGCCGGCACGGTGGTACACACCTGTGGTTCCAGCTGCTTGGGAGGCTGAGTTGGGAGAATCACTTGAGCCTGGGCGGTGGAGGCTGCAGTGAGCCGAGCTTGTGCCATTGCACTCACAAAGCAAGAGACCATCTCAAAAAAAAAAAAAAAAAAAAAGTTGGGGGTGGGGAGAACTAACAAAAATTTGTATGCAAAGAAAAAAGGCTGTCTGAGGTGAAGTCAGCAGAAATAGGAGCAAGGAAAATACGGGAGTGGGCAGAGGAAGAGGAGATTATGAGAGATAAGTCAGGCAGATCCCTGTAGCAAAGAGGGAGGATGAAGACAGTGCCAGGACAGACAGGGTGGTCTCTGGGCATTTGAAAGTGGGGAAGACCATATGTAAACCTGGTGGGTACAGACCTGTGATACAAACATTTTTTAAAAAAACTAAATGGGGCTTTAGAAAACAAACACAAATACATACATACAATCTAATCCTAAGTATACAGTGCGTAGTAGTGGCTCACTAAATACTAAATGAATGAATTCATAGACTGTAAGGTAACTCATTTTTCTATCCCATATGAACTCTACCTTCAACAATATTAATAAAAATAACTACATTTTTAATATCAAGCAAGCACTGCATTAGGTTTACAAAGATCATCCCTAATCACAGCAACCTGAAGGGTAGGTGCTATTATCACAAACTTAGAAATAAGGAAACTAGAAGTTCAGGAATATTAACTTCCCCAAGGTTACACTGAGAGGAGCAGAGCTGAGATTCAAACCTAGATCTGCTGGGCTCCAAAATCAATGCGCTTTTACTTCCAGACTGCCGATTCTGCCTGGGATTTTCGGCATCAACTTATTTGCCTTACTTATTTTTTTTAAAAGACATGGTCTCACTCTGTTCCCCAGGCTGTAGTGCAGTGGAGCAATTACAGCTCACTACAACCTCAAACTCCTGGGCTCAAGTGATCCTTCTGTCTCTGCCTATCAAGTAGCTAGCATTACAGGTGTACATCACCATGCCCAGCTGATTTTCAGAAAATTTTTTGTGGAGATGGAATCTTGCTATGTTGCCCAGGCTGGTCTTGAACTCCTGGCCCCAAGAATCCTCCCGCCTTGGCCTCCCAAAGGGCTGGGATTACAAGTGTGAGCCACCTTGCCCAGCCTATTTTTGTCCTACTAAATGTGGTCTTCCTTGAGAGATTGTGATTTATTGTTATAATCCTCACACTGCCTGGTACATAGTAAATGCTTAATAAATGTACATAATTTAAACGACAAATAAAAATAAATCTTTACTTAGTTCAGTATTTCTGAACTTCAGCATTATTTTACATTTACAGGCTTTGTCATAAAAGGATGCTGATACATATTTCTTTTGTATTAAACTTCAAGAAGTAAAGACATTCCAATTTCTGAAAAAACTACTTTTACATTTATTTAATGCACACATTTAAACGTCCTACAAACACAGTAGTAACTGTTCTACTAATAACTTGTGTAACCTAACATTGTAAAGTTATTTTTACCAGTAAAGACCCTTAAGAAAGTGCCCTTGTTTTTGTGAAGGTCTCCCATTACTCCCTTTACGGGATGATCCTCATCTTTACTTATGGCTTTGATCACCACCTATATGCTGGTACTTCCAAATTTATCTCCAGCCTGTGGCACCAGGTGCTATATGTTCACCTAACCTTGTTTTCTTTCCATCCTGGGAATAGAGCAAGATTGTATTTCCTATTCCCATTACAGTGAAGTAGGGCTATGATACCAAGTCTGGACAATGAAGTAAAGATAGAAGAACATAAACCACTTTTAGGTCTGGCCCCTAAAAGCCTTCCTGTGCAATCTTTTTCTCTCTCTTTACTAGTGGAGTACAGAAGAGGATAAAGCCCTGGAGTCAGAGAGCCACATGAGAGAAGGAGCTTGGGCCCGGAATCATTGTCGGAGCAGAGCACACCACCCTCAATCCACATCAGACTGACACGAACAAGAAAAACTTCCTTCGGCAAAGCATTGCAGGCACGTGGTGAGCACAGGAAAAAACTGACCAATCTTCAAAGAGAAATGAAAAGCAATGAAGACATCTCAGAAATTTGAGGTTTTGAAGTGTTAGGGAAAAAAAATTGCTTCTAGACCCCAGACAGTAAGAAGCAAAATTGAAAAAAGCTTGAACAAAGGCCCAGTAAATTTTCTCAGTTGTATAAAGTCACTTAGATTGAGCATGAAATCTGCTTTAGATGGTGGTAAGGTAGCCACTGTTAAGTAATGAAGCCCACACCCATGTTCTCAGCAGCACTACACACACAACAGCTGAGAGGCGGAGAAAATCCAGGCGTACATAGATAAAGGAATGGATAAGGAAAACGCGGTCTATACACACAATGGAAAATTGTTCAGTCTTAAAAAGAAAGAAAATGCAAACACATACTACAACATGGAAGAACCTTAACTATATCATGCTAAGTGAAATAAGCCAGTTACGAAAGATCAATACTGTATGATTCCACTTACCTGTGAAATACCTAGAGTAGTCAAATCCATAGAAACGGAAAGTAGAATGGTGGTTGCTAGGGGCTGGGAGGAGGAGGAAATGGGAGTTTTTTTAAACAGGTATAGAGTTTCAGTTTGCAAGACGGAAAGAGTCCTGGTGATTGCTTGTACAACGTGACTTATACTTTTTAAAAATTATTATTATACCTTAAGTTCTGGGATATATGTGCAGAATGTGCAGGTTTGTTACATAGGTATACATGTGAAACGGTGGTGTGCTGCACCCATCAACCCATCATCTACATTAGGTATTTCTCCTAATGTTATCCCTCCCCTAGCCCCCCACCCAGTGTGTGATGTTCCCCTCCCCGTGTCCATGTTTTCTCATTGTTCAACTCCCACTTATAAGTGAGAACATGCAGTGTTTGGTTTTCTGTTCCTGTGTTAGTTTGCTGAGAATGACGGTTTCCAGCTTCACTCATGTCCCTGCAAAGGACACGAATTCATCCTTTATGGCTGCATAGTATTCCGTGGTATATATGTGCCACATTTTCTTTATCCAGTCTATCATTGATGGGCATTTGGGTTACTTCCAAGTCTTTGCTATTGTGAACACTGCTGCAATAAACATACGTGTGTATGTGTCTTTATAGTAGAATGATTCATAATCCTTTGGGTGTATACCCAGTAATGGGATTACTGGGTCAAATGGTATGTCGGTTATAGATCCTTGAGGAAATCGCCACACTGTCTTCCACAATGGTTGAACTAATTTACACACCCACCAACAGTGTAAAACAGTTCCTATTTCTCCACATCCTCTCCAGCATCTGTTTCCTGACTGTTTAATGATCACCATTCTAAATGGTGTGACATAGTACCTAATTGTGGTTTTGATTTGCACTTCTCTAATGACTACTGATGATGAGCTTTTTTTCACGTTTGTTGGCCATATAAATGTCTTCATTCCAAAAGTGCCTGTTCATATCCTTCACCCACTTTTTGATGTGGTTTTTTTTTTTCTTATAAATTTGTTTAAGTTCTTTGTAGATTCTGGATATTAGACCTTTGGCAGATGGACAGATTGCAAAAATTTTCTCACATTCTGTAGGTTGCCTGTTCACTCTGATGATAGTTTCTTTTGCTGTGCAGAAGCTCTTTAGTTTAATCAAATCCCATTTGTCAATTCTGGCTTTTGTTGCCATTGCTTTTGGTGTTTTAGTCATGAAGTCTTTGCCCATCCCTATGTCCTGAATGCTATCACCTAGGTTTTCTTCTAGGGTTTTTATGGTTTTAGGTCTTACGTTTAAGCCTTTAATCCATCTTAATTTTTGTATAAGGTGTAAGGAAGGGGTCCAGTATCAGTTTTCTGCATATGGCTAGCCAGTTTTCCCAACACCATTTATTACATGAGGAATAATTTCCCCATTGCTTGTTTTTGTCAGGTTTGTCAAAGATCAGATGGTTGTAGATGTGTGGGATTATTTCTGAGGTCTCTGTTCTGTTCCATTGGTCTATATATCTGTTTTTGGTACCAGTATCATGCTGTTTTGGTTACTGTAGCCTTGTAGTCTAGTTTGAAGTCAGGTAGTGTGATGCCTCCAGCTTTGTTCTTTTTGCTTAGGATTGTCTTGTCTATATGGGCTCTTTTTTGGTTCCATATGAAATTTAAAATAGTTTTTTCTAATTCTGTGAAGAAAGTCAATGGTAGCTTGATGGGGATAGAATTGAATCTATAAATTACTTTGAGCAGTATGGCCATTTTCACAATATTGATTCTTCCTATCCATGAACATGGAATGTTTTTCCATTTGTTTCTGTCCTCTCTTATTTCCTTGAGCAGTGGTTTGTAGTTCTCCTTGAAGAGATGTTTCACATCCCTTGTAAGTTGTATTCCTAGGTATTTTATTCTCTTTGTAGCAATTGTGAATGGGAGTTCACTCATGATTTGGCTCTCTGCTTGTCTATTACTGGTGTATAGCAATGCTTGTGAATTTTTCATATTGATTTTGTATCCTGAGACTTTGCTAAAGTTGCTTATCAGTTTAAGGAGATTTTGGGTGAGACAATGGGGTTTTCCAAATATACAATCATGTCATCTGCAGACAGAAACAATTTGACTTCCTCCCTTCCTATTTGTACCCATTATTTCTTTCTCTAGCCTGATTGTCCTGGCCAGAACTTCCAATACTATGTTGACTAGGAGTGGTGAGAGAGGGCATCCTTGTCTTGTGCCAGTTTTCAAGGGGAATGCTTCCAGCTTTTGCCCATTCAGTATGATATCGGCTGTGGGTTTGTCATAAATAGCTCTTATTATTTTGAGATATGTTCCATCAATACCTAGTTTATTGAGAGTTTTTAGCATGAAAGGGTATTGAATTTTATTGAAGGCCTTTTCTGCATCTATTGGGATAATCAAGTGGTTTTTGTCATTGGTTCTGTTTAAGTGATGGATTACGTTTATTGATTTGCATATGTTGAACCAGCCTTGCATCCCAGGGATGAAGCCAACTTGATCGTGGTGGACAGGCTTTTTGATGTGCTTCTGGATTCAGTTTGCCAGTATTTTATGGAGGATTTTCTCATCGATGTTCATCAGAGATATTGGCCTGAAATTTTCTTTTCTTGTTGTCTCTGCCAGGTTTTGATAGCAGAATGATGCTGGCCTCATAAAATGAGTTGGGGGGAGCCCCTCTTTTTCTATGGTTTGTAATAGTTTCAGAAGGAATAGTACCAGCTCCTCTTTGTACCTCTGGTAGAATCTGGCTGTGAATCCGCCTGGTACTGGGCTTTTTTGGGTTGGTAGGCTATTAATTACTGCCTCAATTTCAAAACTTGTTATTGGTCTATTCAGGTATTCGACTTCTTCCTGGTTTAGTCTTGGGAGGGTGTATGAGTCTAGGTATTTATCCATTTCTTCTAGATTTTCTAGTTTGTTTCTGTAGAAGTATTTATAGTATTCTCTGATAGTAGTATGTATTTCTGTGGGATCAGTGGTGATATCCCCTTTATCATTTTTTATTGTGTCTATGTGATTCTTCTCTCTTTTCTTCTTCATTAGTCTGGCTAGCAGTCTATTTTATTCATCTTTTCAAAAATGAGCTCCTCGATTCACTGATTTTTTGAAGGGTTTTTCGTGTCTCTACCTCCTTCAGTTTTGCTCTGATCTTAGTTATTTCTTGTCTTCTGCTAGCTTTTGAATTTGTTTGCTCTTGCTTCTCTAGTTCTTTTAATTGTGACATAATTGCTTCTCTAGTTCTTTCAATTGTGATGTTGGGGTGCTGAATTTAGATCTTTCCCACTTTCTGATGTGGGCATTTAGTGCTATAAATTTCCCTCTGAACACTGCTTTAGCTGTGTCCCAGAGATTCTGGTACGTTGTGACTTTGTTCTCATTGGTTTCAAAGAACTTATTTATTTCTGCCTTAATTTCGTTATTTACCCAGTAGTCATTCAGGAGCAGTTTCCATGTAGTTGTGCAGTTTTGAATGAGTTTCTTAATCCTGAGTTCTAATTTGATTGCACTGTGGTCTGAGAGACTGTTTGTTATGATTTTCACTCTTTTGCATTTGCTGAGGAGTGTTTTACTTCCAATTAATTATGTAGTCAATTTTAGAATAAGTGCTATGTGGTGCTGAGAAGAATGTATATTCTGTTCATTTGGGCTGGAGAGTTCTGTAGATGTCTATTAGGTCCGCTTGGTCCAGAGCTGAGTTCAAGTCCTGAATATCCTTGTTAATTTTCTGTCTCGTTGATCTGTCTAATATTGACAGTGGGGTGTTCAAGTCTCCCACTATTATTGTGTGGGAGTCTAAGTGTTTCTGTAGGTCTCTAAGAACTTGCTTTATGAATCTGGGTGCTCCTGTATTGGTTGCATATATATTCAGGATAGTTAGGTCTTCTTGTTGCATTGATCCCTTTACCATTATGTAGTACCCTTCTTTGCCTTTTTTTATCTTAGTTGGTTTAAAGTCAGAGACTAGGATTGTAACCCCTGCTTTTTTTTGCTTTCCATTTGCTTGGTAAATATTTCTCCATTCCTTTATTTTGAGCCTATGTGTGTATTTGCACGTGAGATGGGTCTCCTGAATACAGCACACTGATGGATCTTGACTCTTTATCCAATTTGCCAGTCTGTGTCTTTTAATTGGGACATTTAGCCTGTTTACATTTAAGGTTAAAATTGTTATGTGTGAATTTGATCCTGTTATTATGATGCTAGCTGGTTATTTTGCCCATTAGTTGATGCAGTTTCTTCATAGCATCGATGGTCTTTACAATTTCAAATGTTTTTGCAGTGGCTGGTACCAGTTTTTCCTTTCCATATGTAGTGCTTCCTTCAGGAGCTCTTGTAAGGCAGGCCTGGTGGTGACAAAATCCCTCAGCATTTGCTTGTCTATAAAGGATTTTATTTCTCCTTAGGTTATGAAGCTTAGCTTGCCTACATGTTAAATTTTGGGTTGAAAATTCTTTTTTTTTTTTTTTTTTTGAGACGGAGTCTCACCCTGTCACCCAGGTTGTGAGTGCAGTGGCAGCGATCTCGGCTCACTTCAAGCTTCGCCTCCCAGGTTCACGCCATTCTCCTGACTCAGCCTCCTGAGTAGATGGGACTACAGGCACCCGCCACCACGCCTGGCTTTTTTGTATCTTTATTAGAGACTGGGTTTCACCATGTTAGCCAGGATGGTCTTGATCTCCTGACCTTGTGATTCTCCTGCCTCAGCCTCCTGAGTAGCTGGGACTACAGGCACCTGCCACCACGCCCGGCTTTTTTGTATTTTTATTAGAGACTGGGTTTCACCATGTTAGCTAGGATGGTCTTGATCTCCTGACCTCATGATTCTCCTGCCTCAGCCCCCTGAGTAGCTGGGACTACAGGCACCCGCCACCACACCTGGCTTTTTTGTATTTTTATTAGAAACAGGGTTTCACCATGTTAGCCAGGATGGTCTTGATCTCCTGACCTCGTGATCCGCCCGCCGCAGCCTCCCAAAGTGCTGGGATTAGAGGCGTGAGCCACTGTGCCCGGCCGAAAATTCTTTTCTTTAAGAATGTTGAATATCGGCCCCCACTCTCTTCTGGTTTGTAGGGTTTCTGTAGAGAGATCCACTGTTAGTCTGATGGGTTTCCCTTTGTGGGTAACCCGGCCTTTCTCTCTGGCTGCCCTTAACATTTTTCCCTTCATTTCAACCTTGGTGAATCTGACAATTATGTGTTTCAGGGTTGTTCTTCTCGAGGAGTATCTTTGTGGTATTCTCTGTATTTCCTGAATTTGAATGTTGGCCTGTCCTGCTAGGTAGTTTTCCTGGATAATATCCTGAAGTGTGTTTTCCAACTTGGTTCCATTCTCCCTGTCACTTTCAGGTACACCAATCAATCGTAGGTTTGGTCTTTTCATATAGTCCCATATTTCTTGGAGACTTTGTTCGTTCCTTTTCATTCTTTTTTCTCTAATCTCATCTTCACGCTTTATTTCATTAAGTTGATCTTCAATCTCTGATATCCTTTCTTCTGCTTGATCAATTCAGCCATTGATACTTCCGTATGCTTCATGAAGTTCTTATGCTATGTTTTTCAGCTCCGTCAGGTCATTTATGTTCTTCTCTAAACTGGTTATTCTAGTTAGCAATACCTCTAACCTTTTTTCAAGGTTCTTATCTTCCTTGCACTGGGTTAGAACATGCTCCTTTAGCTCAGAGGAGTTTGTTATTTCCCACATTCTGAAGCCTACTTCTGTCAATTTATCAAACTCATTCTCCATCCAGTTTTGTTCCCTTGCTGGTGAGGAATTGTGGAGGAGAATTTGAAGAGGCGTTCTGGTTTTTGGAATGTTCAGCCTTTTTGTGTTGGTTTTTCCTCATCTTTGTGGATTTATCTACCTACAGTCTTTGATGTTGGTGACCTTCGGATGGGGTTTATGTGTGGACGTCCTTTTTGTTGATGTTGATGCTATTCCTTTCTGTTTGTTATCTCTCCTTCTAACAGGCCCCTCTGCTGCAGGTCTGCTGGCGTTTGCTGGAGGTCCACTCCAGACCCTGTTTGCCTGGGTATCACCAGCAGAGACTGCAGAACAGCAAAGATTGCTGCCTGTTCCTTCCTCTGGAAGCTTTGTCCCAGAGGGGCACCCGCCAGATGCCAACCAGAGCTGTCCTGTATGAGGTGTCTGTCGACCCCTGCTTGGAGGTGTCTCCCAGTCAGGAGGCACGGGAGTCAGGGACCCACTTGAGGAGGCCTTCTGTCCTAGCAGAGCTCGAGCGCTGTGCTGGGAGATCTGCTGCACTCTTCAGAGCTGGCAGGCAGGAAAGTTTAAGCCTGCTGAAGCTGTGCCCACAGCTGCCCCTTCCCCCAGGTGCTCTGTCCCAGGAAGATGGGAATTTTATCTATAAGCCCCTGACTGGGGCTGCTGCCTTTCTTTCTGAGATGCCCTGTCCAGAGAGTGACTTAATACTACTGAACTGTAGATGGTAGATTTTTATGTTATTTTTTTTTTTTTCTCCACACACACAAAAGAATAGAAGCTGTTCTGGAGTGAATGTTTGTGTCCCCTCCACTTCATATGCTGAAGCCCTAACACCCAGTGTTATGGTATTGGGAGGTGGGGCCTTTGGGAGGTGATTTGGTTTAATGAAATTATAAGGATGGGACTCTCTGAGTGTCCCTCACATACATGAGCAAAAAATAACCTTTCATTCTGTTAAGTCACTGTTTGCTATAGCAGTTAGCCTACTCTGGCTCATATGTAGCATAATCTCTCCAGCAAGCTCCAGTTCCTTTGGCTACGGCAAAACCTATCCCAACAATGTTTGAGTGGTCTTCTCATCAAAGGAATCAGGCCAGAGAACAGCCCACGCAGCAACAGTGACATATTACTTTGTAGACTGTCTGACATTTCTATATTGACAGGCCTTGATTTTTAAAAATTGTTTAGCATTTTTTTTAAAAAACCCAATAAAACTGCAAAATAAAACTATACTAATGGTATTCTCACAATCCATTATATATATTTGGTAACCTTAAAATGCTAGGTACATATATTCTCTCCTCCCCCCCCCCTTTTTTTTTTTTTGAGACAGGGTCTTGCTCTGTCACCCAGGCTGGAGTACAGTGGTGCAATCACAGCCCACTGCAGCTTCCACCTCCTGGGCTCAAGCAAACCTCCCATCTCAGCCTCCTGTGTAGCTGAGACTACAGGCATGAGCTACCATGCCTGGATAATTGTACTTTCTGTAGAGTCAGTGTTTTGCTATGTTGCCCAGGCTGGTCTTGAACTCCTAGGCTTAAGCAATCCTCCCCATCCCTGCCCCTGCCTTGGCCTCCCAAAACGCTGGGATTACAGGAGTGAGCCACTGCGCTTGGCTCCTCCTCAACTTTTTAACAAGGTTGATAAAGTTGACAAAATACTTTTCACATCTACACTGGTATAATGAACAGTAATGGGATTTACAAGCAAGGGGAATAGGAAAGAGGAAAAGGTAAAAGTATTGACCATATAAATAATCTAGAAAGAACAGTAAACTCTCAAAGTACATGGTTTGAACTTATATTTTTCACATCCTGGTGGCACACTTGGATACCTCCAAGGATCACTTCATCTGTTTCACAGCCCATGCAGCCCCCTAGGGGTCAGGGACCACCCAGTAGGGTTGGCTGGACAGAAGGACTTTCCCTCTTCTCCCTGCCTCTCTCTCCTCTGGCCCCCCCTTAACCAGAGACTAGACTGTGAAGACTACCACCACAGATACAGCTTCATAAGATCCTGGAAAGCAGAGGCAAACAGGGTGCTTGGGTACTGAGCAAGCACCCTGTACAATAGCAGTGGTTCCTAAGCCAGGCAGATCAACAAGACCCAAAGTAGGTTTTGACAATGCAGATTCCCAGGTCCCACTTTACAGATTCTAATTAAGTAGGCTTGCACCAGAAAACTGATGACTAGTCAAGTTAGATCTGTGCCCTGGCCCTTCTAGGGCTGTTAGAATCACAGTATACAATAAACGTTTACTTGCCTGTCTTGTTACACGGTTGTGAATGTCTTGAGAACAAAGGCCTTATCTTTTCGTCTTTAAGGTGCCAGCAGCTAGCAGAAAGCATGACATTGTTTAGTGCTCAAAAAGATACGTCTACTGAGCAAAACAAGAGCTATCTTGCCTTTTTTTTTTTTTTTTTGACACGGAGTCTCGCTCTGTCGCCTAGGCTGGAGGGCAGTGGCGTGATCCCAGCTCACTGCAGCCTCCGCCTCCCGGGTTCAAGCGATTCTCCTGCCTCAGCCTCCAGAGTAGCTGGGACTACAGGCACATGCCACCACGCCCAGGTACTTTTTGTATTTTTAGTAGAGATGGGGTTTCGCCATATTGGCTAGGCTGGTCTCAAACTCCTGACCTTGTGATCCACCCGCCTCTGCCTCACAAAGTGCTGGCATTACAGGCGTGAGACACCGTGCCCGGCCTATCTTGCCATTTTTAATTTTCAGGTTGTACTTCCTATCTAGGCATGTGAGTATAATTCAGTAGACATTACATATATCATAGAAATGTTAAGTTTTCTCCTAAAATGTGTCTTCAACAAATATTGAGGATGTCCTTGATTATTTAAAAATCTAGTGATACCCTGCTTTTGATGAGATGCTATCCTGCTTAAGTTTGAAAAGAACCTTGAAAATAATGAAACATTATCTTTCCCAAATTATGATTTATTTAGCATCCTACAGCCTTAAAGCTCATCATCATATCAAGTTATTCAAATGACTACACACTGTCATGTGGCACTGTGCTGCCATTCACTAGGCACAGGCACTGATTTGCACAGTTTAAAAAAAGCAGATTTTAATACTGACACCCTTTCTGCCCCCAGAGGCAGAGAGTTTCACTCTGTCGCCCAGGCTGGAGTGCAGTGGTCCAATCATAGCTCACTGCAGCCTCAACCTCCTAGGCTCAAGTGATCCTCCAGCCTCAGACTCCTGAGTATCTGGGACCACAGGCATGCATCACCACGCTTTGCTATTTTTAAAATTTTTTGAAGAAAAGGGGTCTCATTATGTTGCCCAGGTTGGTCTTGAACTACGAGCCTCAAGTGATCCTCTGCCTCAGCCTCCCAAAGTGCTGGGATTACAAGTGTGAGCCACCACTCCCGAGCCCCCTTTTTTAAAAAAAACTCACGTTGCATCATTTGCTTCCTGGTTTCATCTTACTTCTATTTCATTAAGCAGCCAGGACAAAATTTAAGTAATTAAATTCCCAAACTTTAAAAATGTTTCCAGATTTAAGTAACATAAAGAACAACAAAATTATTGGTCTTCACAAGCATGTATTGATTCAAGAAGACCTATATTTTGGTTACTGACATAAGTCACATTTAGTAGGCTCTAGGCATCCTAAGTGTTTTACCATTTTTTCTATTTTGACTATAACAAGCTTTTGCAGTGCAGAAATCATATTGGCCTCTCCCAGTTGCTTAAGCATCTGAATAGTAGGGATTATGATATGCCCTTGTAGGTAAGGTATGTGCCACCCACAGGAAAACACTGCATAAAGTTTGACCTCAACTTAAAAGAGCAATTTGTGAAATCACAGTTAAATGAGACACTTAAGTGTGCTTATTTTCAAAAAAAGAACTAACTCTCTGCAGTGCATATAAGTGACACATTAAAAAAAAAAAATCTCTGGCTGGGTGCAGTGGCTCACACCTGTAATCCCAGCACTTTGGGAGGCTGAGACAGGCAGATCATCTGAGGTCGGGAGTTCGAGACCAGCCTCACCAACATGGCGAAACCCTGTCTCTACTAAAAATACAAAATTAGCCGGGTGTGGTGACGCATGCCTGTAATCCCAGCTACTCAGAAGGCTGAGACAGGAGACTTGCTTGAACCCGGGAGGTGGAGGTTGCAGTGAGCCAAGATTGCGCCACTGCACTCAACAAGAGTGAAATTCTGTCTCAAAAAAACAAAACAAAACAAAACATATATATATATATGTGTATATATATATGTATGTATATATATATGTGTATATATATATATATGTATGTATATATATATGTATATATATATATATATATATGAGAAATTTCATGTAGCCTTGGAGACCAGTCAGATATTCTGATCCGGCGGTTTGCATTAAAGGGAAATGATAATTCAAATCAAAACTGCTTCACAAATCAGCCAAACTTTAGTCACTTGAGACAGGAGAAAGAGAAAAAGAGAAAGAAAGCAAAAGCAGACATATTCAAGAGTTTCTGAAAATGATGTGGCAAGGTACCAAATGTCTCAAAGGAAAACCTGAAGTGGTTAGAAAGGCAGGGCCCCAGAATATCTAGATGATGATGACTCAGTGAAGGATTCCTATTGTAGGTGGAGAAGTAGATAAGGTTTTTCTTAATAGATTCAGAGTATTTTATTTTGGTAGAATTCATAATTAAAGTGTTCCCTTTGCACACTTAACCCTCTTATCTGCTATTAATTAACTTCACGGCATGCTATAAGTCTCTAGAGACATTTTCTCAAGAGTTTTGCATTTGGCAGTTAACTGTACACTTTGCATCAGGAAGATTAACTGGCCTCTAATTAGGGGTAATGAACTTAAGATTCTGAAAACTGGTAGCCAAAAAAGTTGGATGAACTACTGTGGAGGCTCATCCAACTTGTTCTTAAATTGTAGAGTGAGACAGAGTGAGTGTTATGAAAAATGAACACATGAGTTAACGTGGAACTTTTAGAGTGTTTTCACTGGTTCCCACCACCAAACAGATGATAGATATACAATTGTAACTAGGGGTACATACAAACAACCCCAAAAAAGCCAACATGTACTATTCTTGTACCTTTCTGTAAGTGATATTATGTCAAAAGCAAAGTTAAAAAATACAAAAAAAAAAAATTAAAAGGACAACTTAAATGGAAGAAAACAGATCACGTAATTGGTGACAGCTATGATCTTGGCAGAAACTGTAAAAACTATTACAGAGCCTGAACTAGAGTCTTCATCTCAATAGGTACAGAAGACTAAGTACTGTCTTTAAACCCTCGCCATCCTTTTTGCCTGTCTCTTTGAAACCCGCTGAACTCAAGACTTTTCTCATGAAGAGTTACCTCCTATACACACTGATTGTCCAGACTGTTCTGTCTGTCTAAACAATTGTTTCCCAGCGCTGACAAACAGACTCTTGTTTTATCACCTGTTCTTTAGTATATTTCTTAAGTGATTCTTTGTCTTCATTACAGTTCTGGACAGGCCAAACACTGGAAAGTACCCCAAGCACATAACCCCACAATTCCTTCTGTGTAAACAGCCATACAGGAACAGCTGCCCACAGCAGTGATTGGCACCTGACCCAAGAGCAGCCAATCAATGAACTAGCCAGGAGTCTAGAGTTGGTCTTGCATAAATCTTTAAATATGGATGACTGTATTTAACTGGGTCTCTCTAGAGGGCATTTGAAACGGAGACAGGAAGGAGAACTCATCTACTAAGAACAGCTGAATAAGCCTAAAAGACCCACAAACACACACAAAAAAATCAGCAACAGAAAGTACCTGAGTCATAATAACGAAGAGAATAGGTTTGAAGATGAATAAACTTCTGATGCTGTGGTGGCGATGAGATAATACAGCTGCTAATATATATACATCTACTTTAAATAAACTCCCTTTCCCCCAAATTATGTTACAGTAGAACAGTAGTTACGGAGAGTTCAGTAATGTGCTCAGCTAGCAAGTTGTGAAGCTGGAACCGCCATATAGCCCAGACTAGCTCTGGACTCTCTGCCCTCAATTATTACAGTAATTCTGTCTATGCCCAGTGTATTTTTGCAGTCACTAAAAAAGCGGGGAGCTCTTTTAAAAAAATTTTTTTGTTGGTTGTTTTTTACTTTATTTTTTCAATTCCACTGGAGAAGAGGGAGAGCTCTTGATGTTTCCTGAACTTTTTCCATATCTAGCACAGGATGTTCAATGTTTTGTAATAAAATATAAAACCATATTTTATGTACATAGTCTACAATAAACCATCCTACAGCTGAATTTGTAGGCCAGCTCATGATCTGCAGCCTGTCATAGGTGGCAAAGGTTAACCCTAAAGGTTATCTATTTACTCACTGGATAACTGAATTTTTTATAGAAATTTTTTCTAGTCTAAACCTGAAGGCCTCTATAACCCTAGAGGCAACCTACCTGATCTTTAGGCAGCGCTAACCATTAATAAGTCTTCCTTGTACTAATTTTAAATATGCTTCCCTGAACCTTCCAGCCATTGATTCTAAAGGATATGAACAAATCTCATTCCATTTCTATATTTGAGCTCTTCAAAATAATTGTAGACAACCACTTCTCCAATTACTTTTCCTATATGTGGTTCAGAAATGAGTAATATACTAAAAATATATAAAATATACAGTAAAAGTCAACATTTAAGAGTTAAATAATATAAGAAAGAATAACTTTAAAAAATGAAATGTTGATTTCTAGGTTCCCATATGATAATGGCAGCTACTTATAGCCATACTTCAACATATCCTCCAAAGACCTTACGGATAAACAAAGCAAGCAAATAAACCCATAAAACAAAACTCATCAAACTAAAAACTAACAAAGAAAGTGGAAGAATACTACAAACTTCAGTTTATATATAAATAGAGAAATAAACACCAGAAACCAGCAAAGCTAACTCTAGAGCCCTTACTGGAGTGGAAAGATCAGTGGAGACTAAGTGAAAGGAGGAGAAAGTAATGGGGGCCTCATGCTGGAGAACACAGATAAAATGCCAGGAGGAGGAGAGAATCCCATGTAGAGTGGGGAAATATTGAGAACAGGTTTCAGACCTTGTGAATCAAAGTCATTGACTACTGGAGAATAGACAGAGGGGCCTGAAAGTTCCGGGGACCAGAGCTGGCAGTCATGGGAAGGATCCCGGAGTAGATAGAGGAGACCGGCAAGGGGCAAGAGTCGCCTGGAGTCTTGGTGATCAGGTGAAGAAGGAGGCAAGCAGTGGATATTAAACATCCTATAGAAACAAATAAGAACCACAAAACAGACAAATCAACCATCCCCTTATGGAAAACACTATTAAGTAAAATGCACTTAACTGAGATTCCTCTGAACTAAAAATTAGTATACCATCCAACCTCACCATCACCTTAATAGAATACCTACTAATAATGATTCAGAAAAACATAAGACATTTTAAAATGAATGGAAATAACATGCAGCTCCATAAAACTACTACAAGAATAAAAATACTTCCGTTGATAAAACCCTCATCTCCCTACCCTGCCCCAAAAAAACCCCACAAAGCAAAGGAAATCTGTAACACAGTGCCCTGACTTGAATATCCTTAAGCAAACATTTGCAAATAGGAAAAACCATTCCAAATCAGAAATTCAAAAATTCACAATATAAAAGCACCAAAAAGCAGAAGATGTATATCCAGAGATGATAAAACTGAAGAAAGAAATGGATGTAAAGGGAGGAAGAGGAAATACTCTCAGAAATGAACATCTAATTAAGGCAGAAACAGAGAATCGAACACTGCATGTTCTCACTTTTAAGTGGGAGCTAAACAACGGGTAGACATGTTCATAAAGATGGAAACAACAAACACTGAGGACTCCAAAACTGGGGAGCAAAGGACATGGACAAGGGTTGAAAAACTACCTCCTGGGGACTGTGTTCACTATTTGGGCGATGGGCCCTACCATTATGTAATATACCCATGTAACAAACATGCTCATGTGCCCCATGAATCTTCAAAAAAAAAAAAAAAAAAGAAATTAACATTTGAATCTAAGGTGTCTAAGAAAGGACCGACAGGACTGAAAATATAATAAAGGGTGCTAAGGAGAGGAATAAAAATAGCCAAGAGAATAAAACAAAATACAGATGAGCTAAGAAGTTTAAGAAAAAAAAATGGTTGCTGCAGAGCCTAGGAAAAATTCTAACAAATAAATAATTACAGCTTCTGAAAAATAAAAACAAAACAAAGAACTGAACTAGAGTGTCAAACAATCATTCAATAAAAATTTCCAGGGATAAAAGAATACATGTCAAAAGCTCACTGATATCTAGAAAAACTGACCAGGAATAATCAACTGAGACATAGTCTAGTAAAAATATTATACTTTAAAGATAAAGGAAAAAACCCTCTGGGACTTCAGGCAAAAAAACTAAATCACCTTTAGAGCAAGTGATATCAGAATGGCATCAGATTTGTCAATAGCAACATAGAAAGCAAGACTTTAGGAAAGAAAGTATAAGCCAAGGTCTTTATATCCAGCCAAGCTATCTTTCATTTTTCAAGTGTCAATGCTATGAAAAATGATTTGAAACATGGAAAAATTCAAGACAATAATCAGGAGCCCCTCCTAAGGCATCTGCTAGAGGATGGGCTTCATTCAACCAAGAGATGATGATGATGCCCTGGCCCTCCCAAAAAGACCAATGGTGAAGCACTTCATTTTAGATAGACCAAAGCAAAAGAAAGCATAAAAGTGGAAGAATAGTAAGTAAATGCTATTTGTTCTGACAAAGTACAAATAATACAACTATTTATTTAAGTGAAGAGAAGAAGGGAGAAAGGGGAAAGTAAAATAGGCTCACTGATTACTACATGGCTAACAGACTGGAGTCATATGATATTATTTAAAGTTCCCAAGTGAGGAGAAATGAGGCTGTAGGCATTATAAAAGGTATTATAAAACGTAAGCCCTAGAATAGGGGTTGTCAAACTACAGTCCAAATGCAGCCCACAATCTGTTACAATAAATAAAAATTTATTGGAACACAGCCACTCCCATCTGTTTACATATTATGGCTTCTCTTGTTTACATCACAGACATATTGATACAGTTATACCGTCTACATCAGCAGAGATGAGTAGTTCCAACAGTTTGGCCCACAAAGTCTAAAATACTTGCTATCCTAATCTCCACAGAAAAAGTTTGCCAACCCCTAACCTATAATAAAAATGCAGCCAGGCGCAGTGGCTCACTCCTGTAATCCTAGCACTTTGGGAGGCTGAGGCAGGCAGATTGCCTGAGCTCAGGAGTTTGAGACCAGACTGTGCAACATGGTGAAACCCCATCTCTACTAAAACACAAAAAAGTAGCCAGGCATGGTAGCGTGTGTCTGTAGTCCCAGCTTCAGGAGGCTGAGACAGGAGAACTGCTTGAACCTGGGAGGAGCAGGTTGCAGTGAGCTGAGATTGTGCCACTGCACTCCAGCCTGGGTGACAGAGCAAGACTTTGTTTCCAAAAAAAAAAGCAAACCTTCCTAAATGCACAGAAAAATAAACACAGTAAGTTTTAAAAAAATAAAACCGTTGACACCAAGCATATTGATTATACCAATAAATGTAAGTGTGCTTACCTAACACATTAAAAGATTTTTCGATTGTTCATAAAGCTAAGCCCAATTCTACGCTGCATACAAAAGAACAGATTGAAATCAAAAGGCTAAACATAAAGAAATGAGCAAAGATATATTAGACAAATATAAATATTATGAAATCCAGAGTTGTGATCCTGATATAGGCAAGGTAAAATTCAGGCCACAAAGCATTTAAGACAAGGAAGTACAAATGTTAAAGGCCACAACAACTACCTTCATAAAGCAGAAATTACAAGAGATGCAAAGAGAAACAAACAAAAACCCAGTAATAAGAGACTTTAACACACCACTCTTGGTCTAAAATGCATCAAACAAACAAAAGGTAAGTAAGGATATAGAAGACCTAAATAACATCATTTATAAGGTACAGTTTGTGTGTGTGTGTGTGTGTGTGTATAATATATATACATTATATTCTCATTATACAGAATATAATTCCTGAAGCATAAAAGGGCCAGTATTAAATTGACCTTATATTAGGCTGCAAAGATAAAAACCTCATGAAGTTCCTTAAAGAAACAACACAAACAACATTCTCTGACCACAATGGGATAAAACTAGAAATTATTCACATCAAAAAGTGGTCCTTCTACTTAGAGACTAAAAACTCTCTAAGCAACTCTTGGGAGAAAGGGGATACAAAACAAAACTGCAGAATTTCTAAAACACGATGATAATAAGAATACTACATATAATCGTCTATGGGATACCACTGAAGCAGTGCCAAGGAGTATATGCAGTTTGCTATCTTTTGGATAAGAAAGAGGGGAGATGCATAAACAGGCACACATACCTATCCCCATGGGTTTTGCTTATTTTTCCAAAAAAAAGAAACATAGGAAGGACAAATCAGAAACCAATGAATATCTATCAGGGATGGAAGAAAACAGAATGGAAAGGGTAGGGATACGAATGTGATTTCTTTTGCATGTCTTTTTATATAGGTTTGACTTTGTTAAAACAAGCTATATTTTGCAAATTTGGAAAATACAATTAAATAAAAAAGGTAAAAACAGCAAATGTTATAAGTGAATGAAAACAGAAGTTTCAAAGACAACTTCTTAACTGTATATCGAATAAATAATATAACTACACAAAGAAAAGCATTCAAACTACTTTTGAACATGCACTTTAACAACATATAACCTCAGTGGTATATCTAAGCACAATAAAGGACTGCAAAGAGAGCTTGAATATTAGTTTTTTGTGATTATTGGTAATGGTGTTGATATAATATTTCTGAAACTATTTTGGAGATGTAAATGCATTCAGAAATACAGAGAATCCTATAAACACCTTTATATACATATGAAATAAAATAATTTTGAAGAGTCATAAGTATCTTCTGACCCAGGCCTAAGTTGACATACATGAACTCTATTTGAGAATATCCCTGTAAGAAGGGTGTTATTTTTGTATCAGAGACGACAGTTATCACCCACAATATTAAAAAAGTAGTAACAGTGGCTGGAATTTATTCTAGGTCTCTCCGACCCCAAAGCTCTTTAACTGAATTATTTTTAACAAAATTATCAACAATTTAATTTTGCTTTGCTTTAAATGAAGGGATATTCACTGTTGTTATTGTTGGTATTTGTTGTCCTGAGTGGCAACGGTGGCAGTTTAAAGTAGTGTTTGATCTATTGGAAGCATCTGCTCCGCCTGGGGGTTCTTGTTTCAGGCCACATTCTCTGTATGGAAAACACAGAACCGAATAATCCAAGACAGAAGAGACTCAAATCCAGGTTGTATGCTCTGTTTTTAAATAAAATTTTAATTCTTTTTAAAGAGATGTCACTTTGTTGCCCAGCCTGGAATGCAGTGGCGTGATCATAGCTCATTGCAGCCTTGACCTCCTGGGTTCAAGGGCCTCCTCAGCCTCTTGAGTAGCTGGGACTACAGGCGCACACCACTGTACTTGGCTGTTTTTTTGTTTTTTGTATCGAGATGGGGGTCTTGCCATCTTGCTCAGTCTGGTCTTGAACTCCTGGGCTCAAGGGATCCTCCTCTCTCAGTCTCTCAAAGTGCTGGGATTACAGGCATGAGCCACTGTACCCAGCCTAAATTATTGAACCATGTGAGAAATGTGAAGTCTGGTTGAAATTTTCAGGCCAGCATGTATTAGAAACATTTCATTTCAAATCAAAAGCAGCTACTAGTAGATGCCAGTGAGCACATGGTGGTCCTGTCATCCCTGGGAATAGGCTACAAATGAACTGTTCAGTAAGATCAGAGGAGACCATAAGAACCCAAGCTCTGTTACTATAAGGTAATTAGAAAATGTCTTCACTAAATTGATCAAGAAAAAAGAAACCTTTTCAAGATGGAGAAATAAAAGGTACAAACCACTGAATAGAGTTATCATAATTACATGGTTATGTAATATTTAGGAACTAAATATCTTTTAAAATGCATGATAATAAAATTGTACAAATGTCTTTATGAACCCAGAAATTAGTTATGTGGGGTGAGGAACAAAATAGAATGCTAGTTTTACAATAATAACTAGAGGAGAACAAAGATCCTGTAATTCCTTTAATGCATTAAATAATTATAGTAATCTTTAAATGAAATCTATGTGTTAAAATGCTCAGAAAAGTAAAAATTCTTACGTAAATGTAAAGAAATTGCAAGGCTAAAATACTGGTTGTGATCCATGTCATAGTTCAAGGAGGTATTAAATTCTAGATAGTGGCTAAGACAAAACAGAAACAAGGAAAGAACCTTATCTTGAAACTATAATAATACACATTTTTGCACAGTAATACCACAATAACAATGCCTACCACAGTGCGGTGGTCTAAAAAAGCAGCTCTTGAGAAATCTACATTAAGTCAAAATACTCAAAGTACTTCTCAGGCAAAACTCCTTTCAATATACAGTTATAGGTTGCTTAACAAGAGGCTATGTTCTGAGCAATGCATCATAAGGCGATCTGTTCTGTTGCAAGCATCATAGAGTGTACTTAGACAAACCTGGAGAGTACAGCCTACTATACACCTAGGCTATATGGTATAGCCTATTGCTCCGAGGCTACAAGCCTACACAGCACGTTACTGTACTGAATACCATAGGCAACTGTAACACAAAGGCATGTATTTGTGCATCTAAACATATCTAAACACAGCAAAAATAAGGTATTCTAATCTTATGAGACCACCATCATATATGTGGTCCATCACTGGCAAAAATGTTATGTGGCGTATAACTATATATTACATGTTTGACAGATGGTTTAAAGGAGAAATAATGAAAACTTGACTATAAATATGAGTAGCAAAATAATTAAAGTTCAAATCTCTCACCTTCTAGCTTTACAGCTTTATGTCTTCTCCTTTCCAACAGACAAAAAAAAAAAATCCAATCTAAAGATTTATCCTTCAAATTATTTCCTTTGGAAGATGTCACTCCAATTAAAAAAGGATTTTACTGATCATAAATGGTATCGCCTCCCCAGGCACTATTATTACTTTACATAACCTTCCAAATGTAGGTATACTGTCCTGACCCCAAGCTTCAGCTGTGAACTTGCCACTCATACACTGTTACCAAGCAGGGAAGAGATGAGTATGGGAAGAGTAAGTGTTTGGAAACTTCAATAGCAACTGGGCAGAGTGAATTCATGTCTGTTGAATCTACAAATAAAATATATGCATTTTTATATTTTTAAAATTAACGGTTATGTGGCATAATTTACATATAGTAAAAGTCATCTTTTAAAAAAATGCCCTTCTATAGTCATTCTCTTCCTCTAACCCCCTAGCAGAAATTTCTGATTTTTCTCCTTACAGTTTAGCCTTTTGTAGCATTTCATATAAATGGAATAACAAACTATATAGCCTTTTGTACCTGTCATCTTTCACTTCACATAAGGGTTTTAAGATTCATCCACGTTGTTGATTCATGTGTGTATCAGCAGTTTGTTCCTTTATATTGCTAGTAGTATTCCATGGTATGGGTCCATCAAGATTTACCTATCCATTTATCAGTCGATAAACTTCTGGGTTGTTTATATAATTTTGGGTGAATATGAACAAAGCTGCTATAAACCATTTGGGTATAGGTCTTTGTAGGTGGGAAAACATATGGATAGTCAAGTGTTCTAGCACAATTAAAAAAAAACTATCCTTTCTCTGTTGAATTATTTGACATCGTTCTTGAATATCAATTGACATTATCTGTGGGTCTATTTCTGGACCTTTATTCTCTTCCATTGAAGAGTCTATCCAATGTCACAATGTTTTGATAATTACAGCTTTATAGCAAATCTTAAAACAACGTAAGTCCTCCAAATTTGTTCTGTTTCAAAGTCACTTTGGCTATTCTGTGCTTTTCTATATAAACTTTAAAACCAGCCTGCCGATTTCTACAAAAAAGCTTGTTGGGATTTTTTTTTTTGTTAATTTCAATAGGTTTTTGGGGAACAGGTGGTGTTTGGGATTTTGATTAGAATTGCACTGGGCTGGGCATGGTGGCTCATGCCTGTAATCAGTGCTCTGAAAGGCCGAGGCAAGTGGAACATTTGAGCCCAAGAATTTGAGACCAGCCTGGGCAACATAGCAAGACCCCACCTCTACAGAAAATAAAATTTAAAAAATAGCCAGGCATAGTGGTGCGTCCCCGTAAGTCCCAGCTACTCAGGGGTGGGTGAATGGCTTGAGCCCAGGAGTTCAAGGCTGCAGTGAGCTATGATCGGGCCTCTGTACTCTAACTTGGGCAACAAAGTGAGACTCTGTCTCAAAAACAAATTTTTTTTTAAATGCAGTGATTCTACAGATCGCTTTGGGGAGAACTTGCATCTTAACAATATTAAGTCTGATAGATGAAACTAGGTATCTATCTCTCCATTTAAGTCCTTTTTAATTTTCTTAATGTTTTGCAGTTTTTAATGTATAAATGTAGAATAGATTTTGCTAAATTTATCCTGAAATACTTCCTATTTGGAGATGCTATTATAAATGTATATTTTATTTCAATTTCCAGTTGTTCACTGCTAGCAAACAGAAATTAATATTTATACATTGACCTTTTAAGATTCACTTATAAGTTCTAGTAGCTTTTCTTAAATTCTTTTTGTTTTTCTATGTAGACAATCATGCCACATAGAATACAAGCAGTTTTGACTTCTTCCTTTCTATTCTGAATGTCTTTTATTTCTTTTTCTTACTAAACTGACCATACTTCTAGTACAATATTGACCAGAAATGAGAAGAGCTGACATCCTTAATTTGCTCCTAATCTTAAGTGGAAAACACTGTCTTTCACCATGAAGTATGAGACGCAGGTGTTTTTTGTTGTTGTTGTTGTTTTTAGACAGAGGTCACTCTGTCGCCCAGGCTGGAGCACAGTGGAGTACGATCTTGGCTTACTGCAACCTCCTCCTCCCAGGTTCAAGCGATTCTCCTGCCTCAGCCTCCCGAGTTGCTGGGATTACAGGCATGTGCCACTATGCCCAACTAATTTTTGTATTTTTAGTAGAGAGGGGGTTTCACCATGTTGGCCAGGCTGGTCTCCAATCCCCGACCTCAGGTGATCCACCTGCCTTGGCCTCCCAGAGTGCTGGGATTACAGGCGTGAGCCATTGTGCCCAGCCTCATGTAGGTTTTCATAGATAGCATTTAAACAGGGAAAGAAACTTCTAGTTTGCTGAGAACTTTTATTATGAATGAGTATTTAATTTCATCAAATACATTTTCTGCATCTATTGGGATATGCTTTTTGTTTTTTAGTCTAATACATTGATTGATTTTCAAATGTTACACCAACCTTTCATTTCTGGGATAAGACCCACTTGGTTATAATGTATAACCCTTTTTATATAGTATTGGATTTAATTTACTGAAATATTTGTATGTCATTGCTTTTTCATTTCACATTTTTAATAATTATTTTTTCTTGTATTTTATAACAATATTTCTCAGTGATGGAGTAAAAAATAAGTCAAAACCAGTCCTTTACCACATAGAGTGGAAAAAGCATTTTTCCAGTGCACAAAGTAGCTGTGGTTATGACAAACTGCCTGGCCTTTTGGTGCAATAACTGAACAGAATCAGCTACAGAATGCTGATTTTGGAACTTACAACATACTTACAGATAGCACAAAAAGCTCATTAAATGGAGATATAATGAGAAAAGAAACCAGCCTCTGAAGACACTTAATAAACTATACTTCTGATTTCCTCAATCAAAGAGTTTAGAAGCAATAATTAAAGTATATTTTCTTATAACACTTCTATTGTGGACTTATCGCTTTGCTGTCATTTTTATCTATCTTTTCTAATAAAACCGTGAATACCTGAAGGACAATGTTCTATTCATCTTTGTACTTCTTAGCATCTAGCACAATGCCTGAAACATAGCAGGTCTTTAATGAGTATATATATTTAGTGAACGAACAAATGAATAGGTCTAATAGTTCTTTCTTGTATCTTTTCTGGTGGGCTATATCCTACTCTCCCCCCCTCCCTCTACCTCACTCCTCCATTAATTTTTTGCTGGAGTATACAAATAGATCTCATAGAATCTCTATATACCAGTGTCTGCCTGGCTCCCAAGTACTCATAACTATTAGAAGACACTGCTGGCAGCCCTACCTGTCTGATCAGTTGGCTTCACATCCATAATAGCAGCATTAAGACGGAAACAGTTCTAGCCCTGTTACTGCTTGAATGACCTGGCAGCCTGTTTGGTGGCCAGCCTTTGTAGCCAGGTAAGTTTCCTATAACCATTTCAGTGCCTGTGTGAGATTTCTGTCTGAACCTGGCTTATTTTTTTCCTCCACTTTATGTGTAGCCAGGGACTCACACAGCTCAATCCTGAGCCTCTTTGAATCACAAAAGGCATTTCATCTTATGCTTACATTATTTACTATTTAGTATTCCATATGCTGTAATCAACCTTCCATGAGGATTTATAAGGAGAATGCTGGAAACTATGATTTCTTTTTTCTTTTTGAACTTTTCAAAATTCCTAACACAGAAATATGCCCAGAGTACACATACAATGTTTACTGAATGAAAAAGAGAATGAGTTGAATCCTGCATTGAAAGCTCTTCAAAAATCCCTTCCACTAGTTTAGTCAACCACATTTATACTTTACTTTTCCTTTTCTCTTTCCCAATAGCTCATTTTTATTTCCTCACACACTTCTGTGGTCTAATAAGGAAAAACTCTAATGTGTGTCTTGAAGGGTGGTAACTGATCATCCCAAAGAGGACCAAACATACCTTATAGCTCAACAAGGTTCACATTTTCCCCTAAGCATATATTAAATAATCTCATTATTCCCATAGATTTTAAAGAAACTCTTACCCAGCCTTAGCAACACTTATGGTTTGTTGCTCCATTGCTTCATGGATACTGGTCCTATCATGCTCTTTGAGGCTATTGAACTCATCAATACAGCAAAGGCCCGCATCTGCAAGAACTAATGCCCCAGCCTCCAAATTCCATTCTCCTGAGTCTTTTACAGCAGTTACCGTCAGACCTGAGGAAACAAGCAAGCCATATCAACTTTTATTTTCAAAAGCATTATCTTGACTGGGCGCAGTGGCTCACACCTGTAATTCCAGCAGTTTAGGAGGCTGAGGTGAGAAGATTTCTTGAACACAGGAGTTCGAGGCCTGCCTGGACAACATGGCAAAACCTTGTCTCTACAAATAATTTAAAAATTTGCTGGGCACAGTGGTGTGTGCACCTGTAATTTCAGCTACTCAGAAGGCTGAGGCGGGAGGATCGCTTGAGCCCAGGAGGTCAAGGCTGTAGTGAGCCATATTAGAGCCACTACACTCCAGCCTGGGTGACAGAGCAAGATCTTGTCTTAAAAAAACAAAAAAGGCATATCTTAACCTATGAAAGGAAAGAAATGCCTACATTTTAAAGAGAAGGGCATAAAGACTTTTATTTGCAGTTAACCAAGAATGGATGGCATCAGGACAATTGCTTCACATATCTAGTCACTGGAAGGCCTCATAAGCTCCTATGTTCTAAAAATGTAAGGTGTGTTCTCCAGTATTTTGTAGCAACCAGAAGTTCTCAAATTTTCTGTCTCTCCTTGTAGGTCCTCTGGTCGAGTGGTCTAAACTTTTGGAAGGGGCAAACAGATCTCCAGAGACCTTATGACAGAGGGTGTGTACTATACGCTGTTTACAGAAAAGGGTCCAGTGATAGAGAATAGTAATTATTACATTCCAATGATGAAAATGAAAAGTTTGCTTCCAGTTACAATATGAGGGAAGGGATTCTCTTCATATGTCTTGTTGATTTTTATTTGTCCTGTATACCAGTCAATAAAGCAGAATGGTCAGAAGAAAAGGCTTTGGAGTCAACAAGACTTGATTTGAATCCTAGAGCTGTCATTCTAGCTGTTGAATTATAGGCAAGTTTCCTAATATATACAAGCCTGACTTTATTAATCTGCAAAAGAGGATAACAATAGAAAGTATCTTAGAGATTCTTGGATATTTAAATAAAATATAACTAAAGCTCATTAAAAGGTATATGAAACATGAGTACGTTAAGAATAACTATTGTTGATAAAAATGGATAAACTTCTGTCCAGACTGACCAAAAAAAAAAAAAAAAAAAAAAAGAGGAGACACAAGTTACAAATATCAGGAATGAAAGAGGGGGCATAACTATAGATCCTATAATGAACTAATAATAAGGAAATACTATGAATAACTCTATGCCATACATTTGATAACTTAACAAAATAGTCAAATTTTTTTGAAATATGCAAAGTTTATCTAAAAAGGAACAGATAACTTCCATAATCCTTTATTTGTTTTGAAAATTAAATATTTAAAAACCTTCCAACACAGAAATCTGCAGGCTGAGATGGCTTCATAGTGAATTCTACCAAATATTTGAGAAATAATGTCAATGCAACACAAATTTTTCAATAATAGAGAAGAGTAAACACTTCCCAACTCATTTAATGAACTCAGAATTATCATACTAATTGTCATAACTGAATTGTCATACTAAACTAGGCAAAGACATATTATAAGAAACCTATAGACTAGTACCTCTAATATGGATGCGAAAATCCTCATAAATGCAAGTGAATCAAATCCAACAATACATAAAAGGATAACAGATTATAGCCAAGTGAGGATTATCCCAGGAATGCAAGGTGAAGTTAACATTCGAAAATTAATCAGTGTAATTCGCCATATCAATAAGCTAAGGAAGAAAGAGCATACAATTGCTTCAATAGATACAGAAAATACATTTCACAAAACTCAACAATCATTTGTGATAAAACTCTCAAAAAATTAGGAACGGAAGAGAACTTCTTCAACTTGATAAAGGGTATTTACAATAATCCTATATTTAACATACTTAGTGATAAAAGACTGAATGTTTCCTCATCTCCTACAAAGATCAGAAAAAAGCAAGATTTTTTTCTTATCACTGTTAATCAAAATCATGCTAGAGGTTCTAGCCACTGAAATAAGGCAAGGAAAAGAAATAATTAACATACAGACTGAAAAATAAATAAATAAAACTGTTTAAATTTGCAGACAATATGATTAGATAGAAAATCCCAAATAATCTACTAAAAACCAACTAGAACTAGTAAACGAGTGTGGCAAGGCTGGAGGACACAAGTCAACATATGGAATATCTGGGTATAAGTCTTATAAAATACATGCAAGAATCTCTATGCAAAACTACAAAACACTGACAGAGGAAATCATGACAACCAAATTGAGAGACGAAATAAACTCTATATTCAAGATGTCAATTCTTAAAAATTGGAAAACTCTATTTTCAAGATGTCAATTCTCCCCAAACTGTTCTGTAGTTAAATGCAATTACAAGCAAAATCCTAGCATGATTTTTTAAAAAATAAATAAAGTGACAAGGTGATTCTATGATTTATATAGAGAAGCAAAGGAGATAGAAGAGCCAAACCAAAAAACAAGCTTGGAGGTCTCACATGACATACTACAAAGCTACAGTAATCAAATCAGTGTGGTACTGGAAAAAGGTTAGGCAGATAGAACACTGGAACAGAACAGAATCCAAAAGTTGTCCCACACATAGAAGGTCAAGTGATTTTTTATAGAAAATAAAAAGGCAATTCAATGGAGAAAAGATAATCTGTTCAACAAATGGTGCTGGAGTAACTGAATATCTTCATGCAAGAAGAAAAAATGAATCTTGATCATACCTCACATGTAATATAAAAATTAATCCAAAATTAATTCAATACCTAAATGTAAAGTGTAAAACTATAAAGAAAGAAAGGAAACACAGGAGAAAATAGCTGTGAATTCTTTTGGTTTCCAGTCTAGCACACAAGGAGCTTACAAGTCACTACTTCAACCTAACAAGTAAAAAGCTAAACAAAAAAATCAGTAACTTCTTAGACCCATCAGAGAAATGAGATCAGAGGACAAATTACTGCCCCAAAACTGAAGATGGTCAGGCAGATACAGAGAACCACAACTTAGCTGAGCAGAAATTCATGAGCATAAACTTTTATGTAAGAAAAACAGGCAAGAAAATTTGAACTATTATTAGCAAATTGCTAATGGCTCACAGTGGAAAAATCAAGAAGGACCCCATCATAGGGAAACCCCTAGATTTTCTGCGAGTTTTACCACTGAGAGCTCTACCAGCAACTCACAGTGAAGATGAGAGTAAAATCTACTCTTGCTTCTGGCAGAGAGAGGGAAAAGGAACCATTTAGAAATACGCCAGAACTTCCTGTTCTTAACAATGCCTGTCCTCAAAAGGAACTATTTTACCAGAGCCTTATCTACCTGGAAGAAGGGCAATATCCACCTCCAACCCCTTCCAGTCATCTGGTACCACCCAAGGGGGTGAATATGCAAAAAACTGAGAAGCACGTGTGAAGTTCACAGCCCAGGGACACAAGCTCACTAAAAGGCTGAGACCTAATCACAGGACTATAGAATCCTTTCCCTTCCCCAACACCTTATCACTGCAATACTAAAGGCATATTAACCACAATTTTCCTTGTTCCTAGTACATCATGTCTACCTTTCAACAAAAAAATTGCAAGGCATACTAAAAGGCAGAAAATACAGTTTGAAGAGATAGAACAAGCATCAAAATCGGATCTAGATATGGCGGGGACATTGAAATAATCAAACTGAATTTAAAACAACTATGATTAATATGCTAAGAGATCTAATGGAAAGAGTAGACAATATGAAAGAACAGATGGATAAAGTTAACAAATAGAAATTCTGAGATACAATAAAAAAGAAATACTAGAGATCAAAAACACTCTAACAAAGATAAAGAATGCCTTTAATGGGTTTATTAGCAGGCTGGACACATCTGAAGAAAGAATCTCTGAACTTGAAAATACGTCAATTAAAACTTCCAAAACAAAAAAGAAGAGAATATCCAAGAACTGTGGGACAACTACAAAAGGTGTAACATACATGTGATGGGAATAAAAGAATAACAATAAAGAGAGAAAGGGACAGAGGCAATAGGTGAAGCAATATTGTGTAACATTTCATTGAAATACTGTCAGACAATAAATTAGAAATCCAGGGTGCTCAGAGAACACCAGCAAAATGAATGCCCAAGAAAACCCTACACTCAAGCACATTCCATTCAAACTTCAGAAAATCAAAGATTAAAAAAAAATCATAAAAGAAGCCAGAGGAAGAAAAACAGCTTACCTATAGAGCAGTGGTCCCCAGCCTTTCTGGCACCAGAGGCTGGTTTCGTGGAGAAAATTTTTCCACAGACCAGAGTGGGGATGGTTTAGGGATGATTCAAGTGCATTATATTTGTTGTGCACTTTATTTCTATTATCACATCATGTCACAGGATCCTTAGGATGTCGCTTTGCCAGCTGGAAACCTCTGTGGTTGGAGGTGCCGCTGCATGAGTTTTACTCACATCTGCTGGGCTTGTTCCACCCATTCAGCCCAGCAGGCTGCGCTTGGCTCACACTACTACCGGCCCAGATCTCATGTCTGCCAATGGCAAGCCAGGCATGGGACGGCCACAGGTGTGTCAGTGAATGAGTGTGGTGTCCAGCCACTGTGCACAGCCAGGCATGCCAGCTGTGGTGGAGCGGGCAGCTCCAGGTACCGGTTCCATGTGAGGCTGCAGCTGGACCAGACGTACCATAAGCAGCTTCTACTGCAGGCACCAGCATCTGAACAAAGGGAACACGATGGTGCCCAAAAACTCGGAGACACCAGGAACTGCAGAGCCCCAAAGAGGGTGTTAAAGCATGTCACAGCCCTGGCTCAGGGAGCCCCAATGTTTGGGCAGCTAAAAGGGCTGCAGCTCTTCACTCCTTCTCGTCACCCACAATGTGGTGAGTGAGGGACGTGTTTCAGCCCTGTTTGTGTTACAGCTCTTTCAGTCCCATCATTCAACAGGTCCTGCATTCTTGTCTCATCTCCAGGAAGCATGAGGTACTTGGACAACTGGAGGGTGAGCAAGGTGGAGAGGAGCTTCATGAGTTACAGAACAGCTCTCAGGAGACCCGAAGTGGGTAGCTGCTTTCCGCAGGCAGGTTGTACTGACAAGTGTCCAGCACTCAGCAGAGAGGAGACCTATAGTGGGTAGCTCCTTTCTGCAGGCAGGTTGACCTGATGAGTGTGTGCATCTGGCTGGGTCTGGGGTTTTTGTGGGCTCAGAAGGGAGGAAGTGCATGCTGACTGGTCCACGGGTGGACCTGGAAAAAGCACCATAAGTTCTCACTTCAGGTTGTGGACTCCATCCAGAACCGGCAGCCTAGCCCTCAGGCTTCAGGCTGTCCCTGGCTTGAAGGTGGGGCTTCACCAGTGACCCACCCCTTCCTGCCTAGGAATGAATCTGCCTGCTTCCTGCCACCATCAACATGCCATCCATGTTGCCCAGGCTGTTCAGGATGAGGGAGGCCTGTAGGCCCATGCTGAGCTACCTTCAGCCCCCCGACATCCTCCCTCCCTGAGCTTGTCAGCACCCACAGTTTCAGAAGGAGCCAAGGCAGTGGGGTGGCACCCCTGGCCAGGTCACAAGAGTGTTCAGGCTTGGCTTCAACTTTGCTCTGAAATTGGAGTGACAGTCAGGAGTGGGGAAAGGCCAGGGAGCAGGAAAAGGTACTTCCAAGCCTTCAGGGGAAGGGGGGCTTCCTGGGCCCCCAAGAGTGCAGGGATGCCTAGGTCCAGAGCCATGGCTGGGTGGCTGTAGCTTCACCTGGGTGTGTGGGGAGCCAACTTGGTAGCAGGCAGGGCTCTCACCTGTTCCTGGCCCCTGCCAGCTCCATGGAGCGTACAGCCCTGGCCACACCTCCCACACTGCAGCTGGCATCCCCTCAGCAGTTGCTCCAAATGGGCTGATGCCACCATCAATTGTAACATATAATGAAATAATTATACAACTCACCCTAATGTAGAATCAGTGGGAGCCCTGACCTTATTTTCCTGCACCTAGACAGTCCCATCTGGGGATGATGGGAGACAGTGACAGATCATCAGGCATTAGATTCTCATAAGGAGTGCACAACCTAGATCCCTCACATGCACAGTTCACCATAGGGTTCATGCTCCTATGAGAGTCTCATGCTGCCACTGATCTGACAGGAGGCAGAGCTCAGGTGGTAATGCGAGCAATGGGGAGCAGCTATAAATAGAGACATAGCTTCGATTACTTGCCTGCCGCTTACCTCCTACTGTGCAGCCCGGTTCCTAACAGGCCATGGTTGGGAACCCTGCTATACAGGACCAAACATAAGAAGTACATCTGACATCTCCTCAGAAACCATGCAAGCAAGAAGACAGTAAAGTGAAATATTTAAAGTGCTAAAAGAGAAAAATCCCAACACAGAATTTTGTACCCTGAAAAATTATCCTTTCAAAGTAAAAGAGAAATAAAGACTTTCTCAAAGATTGAAGAAATTTATTACTAGTAGACCTGCCTTGCAAGGAATGTTAAAAGAAGTTCTTCAGAGAAAAGGAAAATGACATAGGTCAGAAACTCAGATCTATACAGAGAAAAGTAGAGCATTAGACAAAAAAAACCTGAAAGATAAAAACTTTTATTTTCTTATTCTTAATTGATCTAATAGACAACAGTTTGTCTAAAATATTAATAGAAACAACGTATTTAATTGTATATGCATAGGTATATATACATGTTTAATTATGCTTATGTATAAGTGAAATGAATGAGATGAAAGATCTAAGGACAAGGAGAAATTAGGAATATTCTGTCATTACGAGGTACTTACACTACCTGTGAACAGGTATAGTGTTATTTTAAAATGGACTTAGAATAGTTGTAAATGCATATGCAAACTCTAGGGCAACCACTTTAAAAAAAGTTTTTAAAAAGGCATATAATTGATATGCTAAGTGAGGAGAGAAAATGGAATCATAAAAACTGCTCAAAACCATAAAAGGCATAAAAAGCATCAAAGACAAAAATAGGGACAAAGAACAAGGGCAACAAATAAAAATAGTAACAAATATGGCACATGTTATGGTCTGAATGTTTGTCCCCCTGGCCCTAAAGCTCATATTAAATCTTAATCCCCATCATAACAGTATTAAGAGGGTGGGAAATCCAACTATGGTATTTGAGAGGTGGGACCTTTGAAAGGTAATTAGGATTAGATGAGATCATGAGGATGGGGCATTAGTGGCTTTAAAAGAGAAGTAAGAGTTAACACACTCAGGCCCCTTGCCATGTAATGTCTTCTACCACCTCAGAACTCTGCAGAGAGTCCTCATCAGCAAGAAGGCCTTTACCAAATGTGCCACCTCTACATTGTACTTCCTAGCATCCAGCACTCTAAGAAATAAATCCCTTTTTTTTATAAACTACCCAGTCTTAGGTATTTAGTTATAACAACAGAAAACAAACTAACTAAATATTAATCCACCTCTATCAATAATCACCTTAAACATCAATGTTCTAAATATATCAATTAAGACAGAGATTGTCAGAATTGATTTAAAAAAAAAAAAAGACCCAACTATAAGATGTTTACACAAAACCCATATTTCATTTTATTTTTTATTTCAATAGTTTTTGGGGTACAGGTGGTATTTTGGTTATGTGGATGAGTTCTTTAGTGCTGATTTCTGAGATTTTGGTGCCCCCATCATCTGAGCACTACACACTGTACCCAATAAGCAGTCTTTTGTCCCTCACCCCACTCCCACCATTCCCCGAGTCCCCAAAGTCCATTATATCATTCTCATGCTTTTGCGTCCTCACAGCTTAGCTTCTACTTGTAAGTGAGAACAAACAATATTTGAAAACCCATACTTTAAATATAAAGACACGTACAGATTAAAAGTGAAAGGACAGAGAAAGATTTATCACTCCAACAATAATCATTAAAAAGCAGGAGGTAAGAGGTAGTGATGCCAGCAACATGGCAGAACAGGAAGCTCCTGACTCTCCCTCCACCCACAAAAGCACCAAATAAACATCTATTCACGAATCAGTTCCCTCCGAGAGAAAGTCAGGGACCAGCTGAGAGACTCCTACACACTGGGCGACTAAGAAAATTTCCACATCAAATGGGAAGGAAAAGCTGAGGCATAGGACCCTGCCTTAGACACTGCTCCACATTATCTGGAAAGGACTCCCTAATATCAAGCTTCTTCCTGTGGAGAAGAGGATTTGTACTCACATGTAGAACCCTAACTCTAAGGTTTCCCATGGTCTGGTTCTTAATTCACCGGCTCTGAGAACAAAGAGGATTAAACACCCAAGACTCTCTAGACCACAATAAAATTGTGGTGGTTTGCTATGGGCACTCGAGTACTTCTGGGGCTTCATCCCCCAAGAGCAGTGCAGAGAAGGGGCCTAAAATATGCAGCCCCTTCTTTCTGCCTGGAAGGAATCTATAACACACTCTTCTGGTGGCTACATGCCTGCTTGTCTTCTAACGAACTTGCTTCAGGAAGTTAAAGAGGCAGACAAATATAGCTTGGCTGACAGCCTAAGAAGTGGACCGGCACTTCTTGAGTCTTCTCCCCTGGCTCATGCCAGAGGTAACTCCAGGTTTATTAATCTCTCATGGAAGAGAGTCTGACTGTATATTGAGCACCCACAATTTTACAGCTCCCACTCAACGGACTGTGTCCTAAACTTCCTATCTCTGAAACCAGAGGGAACAAAGTATATGTGAGTCTATCTGCACCACAGAAAAAAGTGCCAGTTTTATATGGGCATGTAGGCATTTCAGGGACGTCATACCATAGGGGCAGTGCAGAGAAGGGGCTTTAAAAACAGCTATTTCTCCTCAAATGGGGTTTATGCCACATATCAAGTGCTCCAACTTTTATAGCACCTCCCTAAATATTCCCTCTCTAAACTACTCTTAGCTCTGACAGCAGAAGATAGTAGGCATATGTGAGTCTCCTTAGATCACAGAACAAAGGGGTGGTCTTGAACAAGTGTGCAAACACTTCTAACGGCTACATCCCCTTGGAAAAGTCCCAAAAAGGGGTGAAAACATGTAGCTTCCATCTTCTCTCCAGAAGGGGCTTATAACATACTTCAAGTGGTCATTTGACAAGCTGGCTTCTAATGGACTTGCACTGGGGAGCTAACAGGGCAAACAAATAGCTCTGCAGCAGCCAAAACAGAGCTTGACACTTCATGATCCTTTCCTTTGGCTTACCCCTATGATAAATCTAGGCCTCCCCCATTCTACGTGAAAAAAGTCTGATTACACAGCAAGTGCCATAACTTCTATAACTTCCACCCAAGGTAATGTCTTCTTAACAAACTAGCTCTGGGAGTTGATGGGACTTTGCATTCTTGAGTGGTCCTAGATCCAAGAAAAAAAGAGGTGGACATACAATGGGCCCACATCCAGCAGCTATCTCCCCAGGATCTGAGGGCACAGCCTAAACATGAGTTCAGACATTTGCCATAGATCCTCTACCTGGCTTAGCACAGAAAGAGTGGGAAATAGACACCCACATTCAGCTTCACCATGAAGATGGAAGTAATTGAAACACATAGCCAACACCCCAATCTTTCCAGCTACATCTAAGATAATCTGGCTCCTAACTTCCCTGTCTTGAGGTACTGGCAGAACATGGCACATCTTAAGCTCCACAGTGCAACCCTAAACAGAGACAACAGTCTGGATGAACTCGAATATTTGAGAGGCACCTTAAAATCTTTGGCCAGACAGATTAGTGAGAACTTTCTCCTACATGAGACAAGTCTGACAAGACTGGGAGAGGTAGTTGTCTTATCTAATACACAGAAACCAAAATAGAGAGTCATGGAAAATGAAGAAACAAGGAAATACATTCCAAAGAAAAGAATATGGTAAATCTCTAGAAACTAACTGAAGTGAAGTGGAGATATGTGATGTACCTGAGAGAAAATTCAAAATAATGGTCAAAAAGATGCTCACCAGGGTCAACAGAGCAATGCAAGAAAAAAATGAGAACATCAACAAAGAGAAAGCATAAAATTATCAATTGAAAATCATATATCTGAAGAGTACTATAACTTAACTGAAAAATTCAAGAGAGGGGTTTAAGAGTAGGTAAGATCCAGTAGAAGAATAGATTGGTTAACTTGAGACAGGTTACTGGAAATCATCCAGTCTGAGGAGAAAAAAGAAAAGAAAAAGTGAAGGTAGCTCAAGCAATTTATGGGGCACCATCAGGTAAAACAACTTACGTATTATTGGCATGCCAGAAGGAGAAGAGAAAGGGATAGAAAACACATCCAAAGAAGTAATGGCAGAAAACTTCCCAAGCCTGGGTAAGAAGATAGAAAGCCAGAGACAGGAAGCCCAAACAATACCAAATAAGATGAATCCAAAGAAACCTATGCCAAGACAATCACAATAAAATTATAAAAAGTTAAAACACAGAGTGTTGAAAGCAGTAAAGTAAAAGCAAATCATCACATACAAAAGAACCTTCTCATAAGACTATCAGTGGATTTCTCAAGAGCAACCTTGCAGGTCAGAAGAGAGTGAGATGATACATTCAACATCCTAAAAGGAAAAAAAAAAACCCCATCAACCAATAACTCTATACTCAGCAATTCAGTCTTTTAAAAAAAGGGGGTGATAAAGACTTTCTCAAACAAAAAGTTTAAGCATTTGCCACCATTAGACCTCTTTTACAAAAAAAACGCTAAAGGGAGTTTTTCATGCTGAAGGAAGAAGACACTATTAGTAACATGAAGACATAAGAGAGTATAGTCATGTGCTACATAATGACATCAACAGTGGTCCCATAAAATTATAATGGAGCTGAAAAACTCATATTGCCTAGTGATGGTGATGTCCATTATAACGCTGTAACACAAAGCATTACTTGTGTTTGTGGTGATGCTGGTGTAAACAAATGTACTGCTCCGTTAGTCATATAAAAGTGTACAGTAATGTTCTAAGCCCTTATATTCACTCACTACTCACTCACTGACTAATCCAGCGCAACTTCCAGTCCTGGAAGCTTCATTCACAATAAGTACCCTATGCAATTTTATACGGCAATTTTACTGTATATTTTATATATTTAGATATGTTTAGATACACAATTACTTATCATTGTGTCACAAACTGCCTATAGTATTCCATACAGTAACATGCTGTACAGGTTTGTAGCCTAAGAGCAAAAGAGTATACCATGTAGACTAGGTGTATAGTAGATTATACCATCTAGGGTTGTGTAAATACACTCAATGATGTTCATACAATGACAAAATCACCTAATAATGCATTTCTCAGAATGTATCCCCATTGTAAAGTGATATATGACTGTATATTGTCAAATCCAAAATACTCTAGTAATACAATGGGGTTGGGTAAATTAATTATATTTCTTTTTTCTTTTTCTTTTTCTTTTTTTTTGAGATGAAGTCTCACTCTGGTGCCCAGGCTGGAATGCAATGGTGTGATCTCAGCTCACTGCAACCTCCACCTCCTGGGTTCAAGCAATTCTCCTTCCTCAGCCTCCAGAGTAGTTGGGACTACAGGCACGTGCCACCACGTCTGGCTAATTTTTGTATTTTTAGTAGAGACGGGGTTTCACCATGTTGGCCAGGCTCGTCTTGAACTCCTGACCTTGTGATCCACCCACCTCGGCCTCCCAAAGTGCTGGGATTACAGGTGTGAGCCACTGCACTCAGCCAATTAATTATATTTCTAATAAAAAGGTTAAACTGTTAAAAGAACTAAAGCTACAATAATTTTTAAGGAATGCAAATTATAAAAAGACAAAGTATGACATCAAAAATACAAAATGTGTGAGGAGGAAAAATAAAAGTGTAGACTTTGTGTATGTGATAAAAATTAAGGTGTCATCCATAGGCATGGGCAAGGACTTCATGACTTAAATACCAAAAGCAATGGCAACGAAAGCCAAAATAGACAAATGGGATCTAATTAAACTAAAGAGCTTCTGCGTGGCAAAAGAAACTACCCTCAGAGTGAACAGGCAACCTACAGAATGGGAGAAAATTTTTGCAATCTACCCATCTGACAAAGGGCTAATATCCAGAATCTACAAAGAACTCAAACAAATTTAAAAGAAAAAAAAACCCCATCAAAAAGCGGGCAAAGGATATGAACAGACACTTCTCAAAAGAAGACATCTATGCAGCCAACAGATACATGAAAAAATGCTCATCATCACTGGTCATTAGAGAAATGCAAATGAAAACCACAATGAGATACCATCTCACGCCAGCTAGAATGGCAATCATTAAAAAGTCAGGAAATAACAGATGCTGGAGAGGATGTGGAGAAATAGGAATGCTTTTACACTGTTTGTGGGTGTATAAATTAGTTCAATCATTGTGGAAGACAGTGTGGTGATTCCTCAAGGATCTAGAACTAGGATTATCATTTGACCCAGCAATCCCATTACTGGGTATATACCCAAAGGATTACAAATCATGCTACTATAAAGATACACACACGTATGTTTATGGCAGCATTATTCACAATAGCAAAGACTTGGAACCAACCCAAATGTCCATCAATGATAGACTGGATTAAGAAAATGTGGCACATATACACCATGGAATACTATGCAGCCATAAAAAAGGATGAGTTCACGTCCTTTGCAGGGACATGAAGCTGGAAACCATCATTCTCAGCAAACTATCAGAAGGACAGAAAACCAAACACCACATGTTCTCACTCATAGGTGGGAACTGAACAATGAGAACACTTGGACACAAGGTGGGGAACATCACACACCTGGGCCTATCTGGGGGTGGGGAACTGGGGGAAGGATAGCATTAGGAGAAATACCCAATGTAAATGATGAGTTGATGGGTGCAGCAAACCAACATGGTACATGTATACCTATGAATCAAACCTGCACGTTGTGCACATGTACCCTAGAACTTAAAGTATAATAATAAAAAAAATTAAGGTGTCATCAACTTAAAATGGCCTATTGTAAGTATATTTTCTGTAAGCCTCAGGGTAAACACAGAACAAACGCCTATAACAGATACACAAAAGAGAAAAGATCCAAAGCATACCAATATAGAAAGTCATCAAACCACAAAGAAGGCAAGAGAGGAAAAAGAAACAAAGGATTTACAAAAAAAAAAAAAAAAAAAAGAAGCCAATTTAAAAAATGGCACTAGGAAGTCCTTACTTGTCAGTAATTACTTTCAATGTAAATGATTAAATTATCCAATCAAAAGGTATAGAGTGGCTGAATGGATAAAAAAGACCTAACATAGGATGCCTACAAGAGACTCACTTTAACTTTAGGACTCTCAGACTGAAAGTGAAGGGATGGAGAAAGACATCCCATGCAAATGGAAACAAAAAAAGTCTAGGGTAGCTACATTTATTTCAGACAAAACAGACTTTAAGGAAAAAAACTGCAAAAAGAGACAAAGAACATCATTATATAGTAAGAACGGTATCCATCCATCAAGAGGGTAAAACAACTGTAAATATATATGCACCCAACACCACAGCACCTAACATATAAAGCAAACTTTAAAAAGTCTAAAAGGAGACATAGCCTGCAACACAATAATAGTAAGTTATTTCAACATCCCATTTTCAACACTGGACAGATCATTTAGACAGAAAATCAATATGAAAACACTGGACTTGAACTATACTTTAGACCAAATGGACTTACCAGACATATACAGAACATTCCACTCAACAGCAGTAGAATACACATTCTTCTCAGGAATACACAAAATATTCTCCAAGACGCATCACATGTTAGACCACAAAACAAGTCTTCAATTTGAGACAACTGAATTCATATCAAGTATCTTTTCCAACCACAATGATATGAAACTTGCTTCAATAACAGAAAGGACCATGGAAAATTAACACAGTGGAAATTAAGCAATATGCTTCTGAACAACTATTGGGTCAAAGAAGAAATTAATGGGTTTTTTTTTTTATCTTGAGACAAAATGAAAACACAACATGACAAAACTTATGGAATGCAGCCAAAACAGTTCTAAGAGGGAAGTTTATAACAATACATGTCTACATCAAAAAAGAAGAAATATTGCAAATAATCTAACATCACAACTTAAGGGACTAGAAAAAGAATAATAACCCGAGCTCAATGTTAGCAGAAGGAAGAGAATAACAAATATCAGAGCAGAAATAGAGACTAGAAAAACAATAGAAAAGATAAACAAAACTAAGGGTTGACTTTTAAAAAATAAAATTGACAAACTCTTAGCTACACGAGGAAAAAGAGAGAAGACTCAAAATCAGAAATGAAAAGGACATTATAACTGATAATACAGAAATATGAAGGATTATAAGAGACTACTCTGAACAATTACATGCCAACAAATTTGACCACCTAGAAGAATTAGGCAAATTTCTAGAAATATATAATCTACCAAGACTGAACCAAAAAATTATTGAAAATCTGCATGGATGAATGAGTAAAGAAGTTGAATCAATAATTAAAAGTCTCTCATCAAAGAAAAGCCCAGGACCAGAAGGCTTCATGGCTGAATTTTACCAAACATATAAAGAAGAATTAATACCAATCCTACTCAACTCTTCCAAAAACTAGAGAGAAAGAGAATTCCGAACTCATCTTTTGAGGCCAATATCACACTAATACCAAAGCCAGAAAAAGACACTACAAAAAAAATTTACAGGCCAATATCACTGATTAACAGAGATACAAAAATCTCAACAAAGTAATAACAAAACATATTCAACAATATATTAAAAGAATCACTCACCATATTCAACAATACACTGAAAGAATCATTCACCATAATCAGGTAGTATTTATCCACAGGTTACAAGGTTGGTTCCACATATGCTAATCAGTAAATATGATTCCCCATATTAACAAAATGAAGGACAAAAACCATAAAATCATTTCAATAGATGTACAAAAAACATTTGACAAAAGTAAACATCCTTTCAGGATAAAAATTCTCAACAAGTTAGGGGTAGAAGGATGTTCCTCAACACAATAAAGGCCATCTATCACAAACCCAGGGCCAACATTACATACAATGGTGAAAAGTTGAAGGCTTTTCCTCTAAGATCACAAACAAGATAAGGGTGCCCACTCTCGTCACTCCTGTTCAACATAGTATTACAATAGCATCAAAAATAAAGAAGGCCAGGCACGGTGGCTCACGCCTGTAATCCCAACACACTGGGAGGCCAAGGCGGGCAGATCACGAGGTCAGGAGATAGACACCATTCTGGCTAACATGGTGAAACCCCGTCTCTACAAAAAATTAGCCAGGTGTGGTGTTGGGCCCCTGTAGTCCCAGCTACTCAGGAGGCTGAGGCAGGAGAATGGTTTGAGCCTGGGAGGCAAAGGTTGCAGTCAGCAGAGATCGCACCACCGAATTCCAGCCTGGCGACAGAAGGAGACTCCGTCTCAAAAACAAAACAAACAAACAAACAAAAGACCACATTCTGGACTACAGCATACCTTAACAAATCTTAAAGGATGGAAATCATACAATGTCTGTGTTTGCATCACAAGGAAATTAAACTAGAAAATAATAAAGGCCGGGCGCGGTGGCTCAAGCCTGTAATCCCAGCACTTTGGGAGGCCAAGGCGGGTGGATCACGAGGTCAGGAGACTAAGACCATCCTGGCTAACACGGTGAAACCCTGTATCTACTAAAAGTACAAAAAAAATTAGCCACGCGTGGTGGTGGGCGCCTGTAGTCCCATTTACTCAGGAGGCTGAGGCAGGAGAATGGAGTGAGCCCGGGAGGCGGAGCTTGCAGTGAGCCGAGATTGTGCCACTGCACTCCAGCCTGGGCGATGGAGCAAGACTCCATCTCAAAAAAAAAAAGAAAATAGTAACAAAAAGACAGCTGGAAAATCCCAAAATATCTGAAGACTGAACAAAACAGTTCTAAATAACACATGGTTCAAAGAAGAAATTTCAAGAGAAATTTAAAAACATTTTCAACTAAATGCAAATAAAAACATGACTTGATGGCACACACCTGTAATCTCAGCTACTCAGGAGGCTGAGTCAGCAGGATCACTTGAGGCCAGGAGTTCAAGGCTGTAGTGCACAATGATTGTGCCTGGAGGATAGCAACTATACTCCAGCCTGAACAATACATCAAGATGCAATCTACCTCTACAGAAAAAAAAGTTTTTAAATAATTTTAAAAACCTAAAAAAAAACACACACACAACTTATCAAAAGTTGTAGGATACAGCAAAAGCACTTAGAGCGACATTAGTGCTACTGAATGAATTCACCAGAAAAGAAGGAAGATACAAAAATCAATAATCTAAGTTCTCATCTTAGGGAAAAAAAGGAAGGCCAAATGAAATACAAAGTAAGCAGAAAAAAAAATTTAATCAGAAGAGAAATCAGTGAAATTGAAAACCAGAGGCCAAGTGGAATGATTCACGCCTGTAATCTCAGCATTTTGCAGAGCTGAGGTGAGAGGATCTCTTGAGCTCGGAAGTTAGAGACCAGCCTGAGCAACAAAGTGAGACACCATCTCTACCAAAATTATTTTAAAAATTAGTCAGGTATGGTGGCACACACCTGTAGTGTCAGCTACTCAGGAGGCTGAGGTGAGAGGACCACTTGGGCCTGAGAGGTGCAGACTGCAATGAGCTGTGACTGCACCACTGAACTCCAGCCTAGGTAACACAGTGAGACAGGAAGGGAAGAAGGGAGGGGAGGGGAGAGGAGGGGAGGGGAGGGGAGGGAAAGGGAAAGGGAAGGGGAAAGGGAAAGGGAAGGGGAAAGGGAAGGGGAAAAGAGGAAGAAAAGAAAAGAAGAGAAAAGAGAAGAGAAGAAAGGAAGTCTACACAGAAAGCAATGACAATCAACAAAACCAAAAGCTGGTTTTTAGAAAAGATCAATAAAATTCATCGGCCTCTGGACAGGATAATGAAGACAAAAATAGAAGAGACATAAATTACAAATATTAGAAATGAAAGAACCTCACTACAGATCCCACGAACATTACAGCATAATAAAGAACATATAAACAAACAACTCTGCCCATAAACTTGATAACCTGGATGAAATGGACCAATTCTTAAAAAATGCAATCTGCCAAAACTTCAACCAGGAGAAGCAATCTGAATAGGCTTATATCTACTAATGATGTTGAATCAGTAATTAATAACCTTCCAAAACACAAAACACCAGGACCAGATGGGTTCACTGGTAAATTTTACCAAATATTTAAGGAAGAAATGACATGAATTCTCTACAATCTCTTTCATAATACAGAGGCAGAGGGAATGATTCCTAGCTCATTGTATGAGGCCAACATTACCTTAATACCACACCAGATAAAGACATTACAAGAAAACTGCAGTCCATATCTTTCATGAACATAGATGCCAGTATCTTTAACAAAATATTAGTAAATCTAGTCCACAATGCATAAAAAGAATTGTACACCATGAACAAGTGTGATTTATCCTAGGTATAATCACGTTAAAAAAATCAATTAAGGCTGGGGGTGGTGGCTCATGCCTATAATCCCAGCATTTTGGGAGCAAAGGTGGGCGGATTGCTTGAGCCCAGAAGTTCAAAGACCAGCCTGGGCAACATGGTGAAACCCCATCTCTACAAAAAATACAAAAATTAGATGGGCATGGTGGTGCATGCCTGTAGTCCTAGCTACTCAGGAGGCTGAGGTGGGAGGATCACTTGAACCTGGAAGGCAGAGGTTGCAGCGAGCCAAGACTGAGTCACTGCACTCCAGCCTGCACAACAGAATGAGACCCTGTCTCAAAAAAATAAAATAAAAAATCAATTAATATAATCATCAGGCCGTTGATAAAACGGCCTAACAAAGAAAAATCACAATATCAATAGATGCAGAAAAAGCATCTGACAAAATCCGACAGCCACTCATGATTAAACAACAACACAAAAAACTCTCAGAAAACTAAGAATAGAGGAGCAACTTCCTCAACTTTATAAAGACTCTCTACAAAAAATCTGCAGCTAACATCAAAGGTAATGGTAAGAAACTTGAAGCTTTCCCACCAAAATCAGGAACAAGGTAAAGATGTCCTTTCTCATCACTGCTTTTCAACTTTGTACTCCAAGTCTTAGCTAATACAATAAGATGAGAAAAGGAACAAAAAGTATACCGACTGGGAAGGAAAAAATAAAATGCTCTTTGTTCGCAGATAATATAATCATCTATGTAGGATGTCTGAACAAACTGAGAAAAAAATACTCATGGAACTAATAAGTGATTATAGCAAGGTTGCAGGTTAATATGTAAAAGTCAATTGCTTTCCTATATATCAAGAATGAACAAGGTGATTTGAAATTAAAAATACATTACCTATTACCATTGGCCGGGCACAGTGGCTCACGCCTGTAATCCCAGCACTCTGGGAGGCTGAGGCGGGTGGATCACCTGAGGTCAGGAGTTCGAGACCAGCCTGGCCAACATAGTGAAACCCCGTTTCTATTAAAAATACAAAACCAGCTGGGCATGGTGGCAGGCACCTGTAATCCCAGCTTCTTGGGAGGCTGAGACAGGAGAATCGCTTGAACCCAGGAGGCAGAGGTTGCAGTGAGCCAAGATCGCGCCATTGCACTCCAGCCTGGGTGACAAGAGTGAAACTCCGTTTCAAAAACAAACAAACAAACAAAATTACCATTTACATTAGTCCCCCTCAAAATGAAATGGGTATAAATGAATGAAATACCTACAAGATTTACAAGAGGAAAAGTCTGATGTTATCAAAGAAGAACTACATAAATGAAAAGATATTCCATTTTCATGAATAGGAAGACTTCATATTGTCAAGATGTCAGTTCTTCTTAACTTGTTCTACAGATTCAACCCAAGCTAATCAAACTTCCAGCAAAAGCTGGGCGCAGTGGCTCACATCTGTAATCCTAGCATTTTGGGAAGCCAAAGCAGGCATATTGCTTGAGCAATATGTGTTTCAATAGTAGCCCAGAAACACAGGGAGACCCTGTCTCTACAAAATACCCAAAACTAGCCAGGCATGGTGGCATGTGTCTATGGTCCCAGCTACTCAAGAGACTGAGGTGGGAGCATCACTTGAGCCCAGGAGGTCAAGGCTGCAGTGAGCCATGTTCATACCACTGCACTCCAGCCTGGGCAACAGAGTGAGACCCTGTCTCAAAAAAATAATAATAATAATTAAAATAATAATAATAATAATAATAATGACATCTTTACACATCTTAGAATGACTGTAATCCAAAGAACTGACAACACCAAGTGATGGTGAGGATGTGGAGCAACAGGAATTGTCATTTATTGCTTCTGGGAATGCAAAATGGACAGCCACTTTGGAAGACAATTTGGCAGTTTCTAACAAAAGCAAACAGATCGTTACCATACAACCCAGCAGCTGTGCTCCATGGTGTTTACATAAGGCACTGGAAAGTTATATGCACATAAAAACCTGCTCACAGGTGTTTACAGAAGCTTTATTCATAATTGCCGAAACTTGGGGGCAACCATCTTGTCCTTCAGTAGGTAAATGGATAAACTGTAATACATCAGACAATAAAATATCATTCATTGTTAAACACAAATGAGCTATCAGAGCATGAAAAGACATGGAGTAACCTTAATAGCATATGTTAGTAAGTAAAAGAGGCCAATCTGAAAATACTACATACTGTATGATTCCAACTATATTACATTCTCGAAAAAGTAAAGCTATGGAGATATTTAAAAGATCAGTGGTTGCCAGGGGTTGAAGGGAAAGAGGGATGAGGGATGAACAGGCAGATCACAGAGGATTTGGGGGCAGTAAAACTATTTTGTACAATACCATAATGGTGGATATGTGTCATTATACATTTGCCAAAGCCCATGGAATGTACAACACTGAGTGAATCCTAATGTAAATAATAGAATTTGGGTAGCAATGATGTGTCATTGTTGGTTTATCGGTTGTAATGAATGTACCACTCTGAAACTAGCTGACACTAGAGAAGGTTGTATGCATGGCAGGGAGGGAGAATATAGGAACTATAGTTTCTGTTCAGCTTTGTTGTAAACCTAAAACTACTCTAAAAAACAAATTTTATTAATTAATAAGCAAAAACTGTTGTGACCCTGAGTTGGGCAAAGATTTCTTACATATGACATCAAAGGCACAGTACTCAAAGAAAAATTATAAGTTGATCCTCGCTGAAGTTAAAAATGTTTGTTCTTCTACAATGTTAAGAAAATGTGAAAGATAAGCAACAGATTGGGAGAACGTATTTGCAAATCCTTTATCTGATAAAGGACTTGTACACAGAATATATAAAGAATTTGCAAAACTCAGTAAGAAGTAAACAAAACCTCACTGAAAAACTGAGCAAAAAAGTTTGAACAGTCCTTTCATAAAAGAAAATATACACATGGCAAATAAGCACATGAAAATATGTTCAATATATCCCCTCCCCTTGAATCAGGGCAGAGCTTTGTGACTGCCTTGACCCATACAGTATGGTGAAAACAATGCCATGTCATTTTCAAGGCTAGATTGTTAAAATGCTAGACATTTCTGACTTGTTTTCTTGGAATGCTAGATTTTAGAGCCCAGCCACTATGTTGTAAAGAAGCCTAAGCAACCTACAGAGAGGCCTGTGTGGACAGAAAGTGAGGACCAAGGACCCACAGCCCAGGGTGAGCACCCAACCTACAGTCAGCACCAATGTGCCAAGCATATGAGTAGCTATCTTGAAAGTGGATCCTCCAGCCCCCAGTTGAGCTGCCACAGCTGATGCACATGGAACAGAAAAAACCTGCCCAAATTGCAGATCTGTAAACAAAATAAGCTGCTAAGTTTTGAAGTGGTCTCTTACTCAGTACTACATAACCTAGCCAAGACCACTAAGAGAAAGACAGACAACCTAATGGAAAAATGGAGAATGGACTTAAAATAGGTATTTCATGAAAGAGAAAGTCAATAAACACATGAAAAGGTGCTCAACCTCATAAATAATAAGGAAAATTCAAATTAAAACTACAGTGTAATGCCATTACACACCCACAAGTATGGTTAAGTATTTAAAAATCTGACAGTGCAAGTACTGGCAAGGTTGTGAGGCAAAGTCAACTCTCATGTGCTACTAATGGGAATAATAACGGATACAACTATTTTGGAAAAGAGTTTGGCAATATCTACAAAAGTTTCAGTTATACATACTCATGTACTCAGAAACTTCACTGCTAAGTCTGTTCCATACAGAGATTGTGACCATCTGCACCAGGAGGGAGATAGGTAAAAGAGGGCTCATCATAAAATTCTTCATAATAGTTAAACCTGGAAACAACTGAAAAGGCTATCAACAGAACAGATGAATAAATTGTGGTATATTCAGACCGTGGAATAATGCATAACAATTAAAAAACAAAGTACTAGGCCTGGTGTGGTGGCTCTCACCTGTAATCTCAACACTTTAGGAGGCTGAGATGAGGGATCACTTGAGGCCAGGAGTTCAAGACAAGCCTGGGCAACAGAGTGAGAGTTCATCTCTACAAAAATTTAAAAAATTAGCAAGGCATGGTGGTGCATGACTGTAATCCTAGCCATTTGGGAGACTAAGACAAGAAGACTGCTTGAGCCCAGGAGTTCCAGGCTGCAGTGAGCTATGATAACACTACTGCACTCCAGCCTGGGTGACAGAGCGAGACCCTGCCTCAAAACAGAAAAACAAAAACAAGATAAAGTATTGTACAGCTAAACACAATATGGAGAGAATATTAAAAGATAATACTGATCAAAAAATACATAGTCTACAATTTAATTAATGTAAAGTTAAAAAAAAGCAAAAACAAATTAATGCTAATAGACCTATAAGAAATACTACAGGAGTCTTTCAGGCTGAAATGAAAAAACACTAAGATGGTAATTCAACCCTACATGAAGAAATAAAATGCACCAATAAAGATAACTATATAGGTAAAAAATGAAAGACAGCATAACTGTAACTTTGTAACTTTTTTTCTTTTATCTGATTTAAAAGAAAATTGTATAAGCACAAATTATAAAATGTGTTGAGTGGCTTATAACATATGAAGATATAATTTGTATGACAATAATAGCACAAAGAAAAGGGAATAGAATTACATTGTAACAAATTTTTACACACTATGAAAATTGAATTGGCATTAATCTGAACTAAACTGCTTTAAATTAAAAAGTTGGTAATAACCCCCAAGGCAACTATTAATATCTTTAAATATATAAGAAACAAGAAGGGTATTAAAATAATACATTAGAAAATATATATTTAATATATTTAATGCCAAAGAGGCTGGGCACAGTGGCTTACACCTGTAATCCCAGCACTTTGGGAGGCTGAGGTGGGTGGATTGCTTGAGCTCAGACGTTCAAGACCAGCCTGGGCAACATGACAAAACCCCGTCTCTACTAAAAATACAAAAATTAGCTGGGCAGGTGGCACACACCTGTAGTCCTGGCTACTTGGGTGGTTGAGTTAGGAGAATCATTTAAGCCCAAGAGGTGGAGGCTGCAGTGAGCCAAGATCATACCACTGCATTCCAGCCTGGGCAACAGAGGAAGACCCTGTCTCAAAAACAAAACAAAACAGACAAAAAATACAAAAGAAGGCAGAAATGGAGGAATGTAAGAACAAAGAAGACATAAGACATGTAGAAAACAAAGAGGAGCATAGTATACATGAATCCTGCCTTGTGAGTAATTACATTAAATGGAAACAGATGAACTACTTCATGAAAAGGCAAAGGTTGTTAGAATGGAGGGGGAAAAAAAAAAAAAACCCATGATCCAACTATGTGCTGTCTACAAGAGACACACTTTAGACTTAAAGGCACAAATAGGTTAAAAGTGAAAGGATGGAGAAAGATATTTTGTTCAAACAATAACCAAAACAGAATTGAGGAAGCTATACTAATATCAGTCAAAATATCTGAATATGATCTTAAAAATGCATTAACACAAGAATAGCATTCACAAGTGTAGATATCTGTTAGACAACTTCTAGAGGATCTATGCACAAAATGTGGCCTAGCTACCTGTTTTTGGAAATATAATTTTATTGGAATACAGTCATGCTAATTTGTTTACATACTGTCTATGGCTGCTTTCATATTATAATGGCAGAGGTAAGTAGTTGTGATAGACATTATACTGCCATCAGAATAAAAAATACTAGTATGTGGCCTTTTACAGAAAAAGGATGCCAATTCTTGATCTAGTGTTTTAATGTCCATGTTGGGACATCAAATTAAAAAAAAAAAAAACTAATAGAAAGACTAGGCGGGGTGCAGTGGCTAATGCCTGTAATCCCAGCACTTTGGGAGGCTGAGGTAGGTGGATCACTTGAGGTCAGGAGTTTGAGACCAGCCTGGCCAACATGGTGAAACCCTGTCTCTATTAATAATACAAAAATTAACCAGGCGTGGTGGTGGGTCCCTGTAATCCCAGCCACTTGGGAGGCAAGGCAAGGAGAATCACTTGAACCTGGGAGGTGGAGCCGAGCTCATGCACTGCACTCCAGCCTGGGCGACAGAGTGAGAGTGCACAAAACAAACAAACAAACAACAACAAAAAAAAAACACCAAAGAAAAGAAAAAGAAAGAATAAAAAGGGCAATGAAATAATGAAGGACATGCAAATAATACCATTTAAAGAATGGTTTGTAACATTGGGTCTGTTTAGCCTAATTAAAAAAAAAAATACAGGGAATCGAAATTTTTATATCCTCTGAAAACTCTCCTATGGAAGAGGAATTAGATAAATTTGTAGCAGCTTCAAAAGAAATTAACTGAGACTAACATGTAGAAGTTTACAAGGAACTGTTGGAAACTCGAGGTGTTTGAAGAGGAATGAGCTGCCTTACAAAATAGTGAACTTTTCATCAAAGTAAGTCAAAGTAGAATGTCCACTTGTCAGGATAGTATAAAAAGGTATTTATGCAATGAGTAGGTAACTGCCTAAAGGACTAAAGGTTCTAAAAATCCCTTCTAAATCTGTCTCTTAGCAATACAGAAAGGACTTTCAGCCATTTCCTGAAATCTGTGGCAAAGGTAATTAAAAACTAAGACAGCTAAGTATTTCTTCCCACTTTTGTTAATTCCTTGAATGCAAAAGACAGAAGGAAAACAAAGTTGTCTCTTTGTCTCTGTCTTATGAGAGGCAAGAAGAGGGAAATAAATAGTACTTCTAATGATTAAAAGGTGATTATATTTAAGATGTCTTTCCTTTCAAACTTTGGGTTTTTAGTACTGGAATAGGGAAGTTAGTAGAAGGCAGCCAGGGGACAAAGGGATGAGTACCAATTCATTCTCTCTTCTTGTAGAGGATTCCTGTGTTCAACAATTCAGCAAACATTTATTGTTAATATCAAAGCATAGTAGTCTCTCCTTATCCACAGGGGATACGTTCCAAGACCCCCAGTGCATGCCTGAAAGTGTGGCTAGTACTGAACCCTATACACACTATGTTTTTCCTACACATACAAACCTAAGATAAGGTAATTTATAAATTAGGCACAGAGATTAACAAAAAATAATAATAGAACAATTATAACAATATACTGCAATAAAAGTTATGTGAACGTGGTCTTTCTCAAAATATCTTACTGTAATGAACTCATCTATTTTCAGACAGTGATTGACTATGGGAAATTGAAATCATGCAAAGCAAAACCCCGGATGAACTACTGCATGCACTAAAGTAAGCATAATGCACTGAAGTACTATGTCAGCCAAGGATTACGTATAATTTTATAATAATGTTTAATTTATACACCCTAACTTTCCTGAGCCCCACCTTTTTCAATCCTGACTCCCTCCGCATCTAGATAAGAACGTTTCCTTCCTCCTTGAAACTTTCCATTTCCCAACTAGTACCTCCAGTCAATACATATTTATACACACCCTTCCAAAAAACAGCACTCATCTTCCTGTTGACTTGTAGTTTGTTTGTATCCTATGGTAAAATTCAGTGAGCGAGTCAATGTGCGGAATTTATTGTATAAGTATTACATTTTCTCTATGAGGACATGGAACTAGTGACCAAATAAAGCTTCATTAAAAACACCAAGGGAGGAAAAATGGCACCAGAAATTACTAGCAAACCAGGAATAATGACTGCACTTAGAAAAACTGAACAGTGAAAACAGCGTTAAAAACATCACTTCAGAGGTTTCACTTCTGCAATGGCAGTGTGAGGAGCTCCATGGACATCCTCCTCACTGAAGCAAGTATAACTGGTGAAAATTATTTTTTAAAATCCAACCATTTATACAGACTATGGAAAATCTAAGGGCATACAGTAAATGAAGAAACATTTATTCATTGAAATCTAAAACTTCATAAGAATAGTGAGAGTCTAAGACACTTAAATCATGACCTGCTTCCTGCCTCTCCCCTTCTCTTCTTGCTTAGCTGGATGGAGGCTTCACTACAGGTGAATGTGGTCAAGAAGAGGAGCTCCCTATGAGCTCTTAATCAAGGGATAAGATATCGTACCAGGAGGGGTAGAAAGCATTTCTTATCCCCTCCACGTGTGAGGTACAGAAGCTAAATTCCTGGTGACTGTGGCCAAAAGGTCACGATCTTCCTTCCTCCACCCAATCCCAACGCACAGAGTAGAGGATCTACCCTAGGTGTGACAGGCAAAGAATCCTCGGCACCCCAAATGCCTTCAATCCAGCTGACTCATAAGGTAAAGGTTCCACCTGGAAAGACAAAGCCAATAAGGGCAGAGGCTACCATTTCCGCCCCCTGGCTGGAGCAGTAGCTCAGAGAGTTTGACCAGGGGGAGAGAGAGTCCACAAAAACAGGGAAAGGAAAATCTGAATCTTCCCCCACAAGAAACTGACTTTATTTGGAACACAGTGCAGGGAAATTCAAGCCTAATGGAGATTTTGGTAGCAAGTAATAAAAAGGCTGGTAGCTCTATTACAGCTGTATGCTAAACCATAGGCCAGCTAGTTTACCATAGAGAACCAGGGAAACAGCCAACAAGAGCACTTCTGGGGTCAGAACAAACCTCAAGTACTGGATTCAAAAAGTATCCCTGACCAAATTTAATTGAACCAGAGTGCTGAGCAACTTATCCCCAGGGCATTGCCAAAAAGAACAGAGCAATCAACAACTAGAGCCTACCAGCCGAGTATGATACCAAACAGCACAGATAGCTTAACAGAGATCAAGGAGAGAGTCAAGGAAAGGTTGGTTAAAATTATCATCCTAAGAGTGACTGTACACACACGTAAAGGCTGTTGCCTCTGAGGAGTAACATCAGCGACTTCACACTGTGAGGAGACACAGACTTCAAGAAATGAACCTAGCCAAGTTACTAAACAAGCAAACAACAATAAAAAAAAGGATAAAAAACGAGGCCTGGAGGAGAATTAATATAAAGAACTGGTATAATACATTAAATTAAAATATCCGGTTTTTAACAAAGAAGTATAAGATGTGCAAAAAAACAGGAAAATGTGGCCCACACACAGGGAGAAAAAGCAGACAACAGAAGCTGCCTGTGAGAGGATCCAGATTTCAAATGTAGTGGGCAAAGCCTTCAAAGTAGCCATTTTACATGTGCTCAAAGATGCAAAAAAAAAAAAAAAAAAAGGGATGATGACAATGTCTCAACAAATAGAGAATATCAATAAGAGATAAAAAGGATTTTTAAAAACCAAGTAAGAATTCTGGATTTGAAATGTACAATAACTGAAACAAAAAATTCACTAGATAGCTCAAGAGTAAACCTGAAATTGCAGAAGAAAAAGTCAGCAAACTTTAAGAGAGATCAGTTGAAATTATGCAATCCAAAGAACAGAGGTAAAGGGCAAGATAAAAAATGAGCAGAGTGTCAAAGAAATGTTGTACACCTTTAATCAGAATAATATATATATATTGGGAGTACCAGAAGGAGGGGAACTAAAAGGAGTAGAAAAAAAGTTAGAAAAAAATGACTGAAAACTCTCCAAATTTGATGAAAAACAATGGACTATACATTCAAGAAGCTCAACAAAATCCAAGTAGGATATATGTTTTAAAAAATCCACACCCATAAATCATAGCAGAAATGCTGAAAACTGAAGATAAAGAGAAAATTTTAAATCAATAAGAGAACAACTCTTCATTTAAAAGGGAGCCACAATAAAATTAAGAGCTGACTTCTAATCAGAAACAGTGGAGGCCAGAGGCAGTGGGATTACATATTCAAAGTGCTGAAAGAAAAAAAAAAATCGAACCCGGAGTCTGATATCCAGCAAAACTATCTTTCAAAAATTATGGAAAAATAAAGACATTCCCAGATAAACAAAAACTGGGAGCATCAGTAGCTAGCAGACATGCCTTAAAAGAATTACTAAAGGAGGTTCTTTAAGCCAAAAGCAAATCTCTCTGGGTGATAACTCAAATTGAAAAAAGAATGAGCACTGGCAAAGGTAATTATGTAACTAGAAAAAACAGTTTAGAGACACATATCTTTTCTAAACTGATTTTAAAAGCAATTGTATAAAAAAGTATATAATTGTATTGTTGGGCCTATAACATATAGAAATGCAATATATTTGGCAGTAACAGCAAAAGAATGCAGGTGGAAAGAAAGCTATATTGGATTAAGGAAATGACTCCAGATGGTAACTCAAATCTACAAGAACAAATGAAGAGAGCCAGAAATAGTAATTAAGAAAGTTAATATAACAAACTCTTGCTCTTCCTTCTTTTCTGAGCTTCTTCAAAAGGTATAAAATTACATAAAACAATAATTATACCAATGTATTTTTGTGTTTGTAACATATACAGATGAAATATGTGTAACAATTACAGCATAAAAAGGGGAAAATGGTATAGAATTGACAACATTTCTGTATCTCAGTGAAATAAAATAAGTCTACATCTGAAACACTGATACATTAAGTAAGCCCTATAACAACCACTAAGGAAATCATAACAAAAATAGAGAAAAATCATTAAAGAAATAAAAAATGCTATACTAGAAAATATTCATTTGATACAAAGGAAAGCAGTAAAAAAGGAATTTAAAAAAAAACAAAACAACTTGAGACATATAGAAGACAAAATATAAAATGGCAGATAGGAATGCAACCGTATCAGTAACATTAAATGTGAATGGACTGAATAATCCAATCAAAAGGCATATATTGACAGCATGGATACAAAAAAGAAAAACCAACTATATGCTATCTACAAGAGGTATTTTAGATTCAAAGAAAGAAATGGGTTGAAAGTAAAAGGATGGAAAAACATACGTATGTAAATATCAATGAGAAAGCCGGAGTATTTATACTAATACCAGACAAAAGATTTTTAAATTTAAAAAATTATTAGCAATTAAAATGGGCATTTTAAAAGGATAAAATCATCAACTCATAAGGATAATAAAACTAGGCAGATCAACAAAGAACCCTAAGATTAAAACAATAGCCAGCTGGGCGCAGTGGCTCACACCTGTAATCCCAGCACTTTAGGAGGTCGAGGTGGGTGGATTACAAGGTCAGGAGATCGAGACCATCCTGGCTAACATGGTGAAACCCCATCTCTACTAAAAATACAAAAAATTAGCCAGGCGTGGTGGTGGGCGCCTGTAGTCCCAGCTACTCAGGAGGCTGAGGCAGGAGAACGGGGTGAACCCGGGAGGCGGAGCTTACAGTGAGCTGAGATTGCGCCGCTGCACTCCAGCATGGGAGACAGAGCACTCCAGCCTGGGAGACAGAGTGAGACTCCATCTCAAAAATGAATAAATAAATAAAAATAAAATAAAAAAGAAGATCTCAAATCAGTAATCTAAGCTTCTACGTTAAGACACTGGAAAAAAGAAGAGTAAACTAAACTATTGGCAAGCACAGGAAGGAAATAATAAATATTAAAGCAGAAATTACTGGAATAGAGAATAAAAATAGAGAAAATTAATGAAACTAAAAGTTGACAATCCTTTAGTTAGGGTGACCAAACAAAAAAGAAAGAATCAAATTAGTAAAGTCAGGAATCAAAGATGGGCATTATTATTGACTTTACAGAAGTCAAAAGGATTGTAAGGGAACAGTGTAAACAATTTTACATCAACCAATTAAGTAACTTAGATGAAACTGACAAATCCCTAGAATGATACCAACTACTGAAACTAACTCAAGGAGAAAAAACAACCTGAATAGACTATAAACACAGAGGCAATATTAGTAATAATAGTTTTTAAAACCACCCATAAAGAAAAACAACACAGATAACTTCATTAGTGAATTCCACCGAAAATTTAAAGAATCAAACACCAAATTTTCACAAACTCTTCTATAGAGAGAAAAGAGGGAGAAGCACTTCCTAATTCATTCTATAGGCAGTATTGCCCACAGACCAAAAATCAGACACAGACATCACCAGAATACTAAAGATCAATATCACTTACGAATACAGATGCAAAAATCCTCAACAAAATACTAGCAAACTAAATCTAGCATTATGTAGAAAGGATTATACACCATGACCAAGTGGAATTCACTCCAGGAATGCAAGGTTCATTTAACACCTGAAAAATCAATCAATATGGTATTCTCGTTAGTAGAATAAGGGACCAAAAAAAAAAAACAAAAAACAAAAACATGATCATCTCAATAGAAGCAGGAAAAGCATTTGACAAAATTCAATACCCTTTCATGATAAAAACATTCAACAAACTAAGAACAAAAAGGAATTTCCTCAACCTGACAAGAAGCATCTAAAAAAACCTCACAGCTAGTATCATTTTTAGTGATAAAGGACTGAAAATTTTCCCATTAAGATCAGGAACAAGACAGAGATGTTTGCTGTCACTATATCTATTCAACATTGTACTGCAGGTTATAGACAGAGAAATTGGGCCAAAAAGAAAAAAGAGAGAGAGAGAGAGAAAGAAAAAGAAACAATAGGCATCCAGAAGGAAAAGGGAGAAATAAAACTATCTCTATTTACAGATGACATGATCTTGTATACACAAAATCCTAAGAAATCCACTAGAAATTTATTGGAACTAATAAATGACCTCAGCTAGACTGACAGATACCAAAAAAAAAAATCAATTCTATGTCTACACACTTGGCAAAGAAGAATCTGAATTTAGAAAAATATTTCCATTACAATAGCATCAAAAAGAATAAAATATGTAGGAATAAATTTAATCAAGAATGTACAAAGCTTATACTATGAAAACAACAGGCCAGGTGTAGTGGCTCACGCTGTAATCTCAGCACTTCAAGAGGCTGAAGTGGGAGGGTGGCTTGAGGCCAGGAGTTTGAGACCAGCTTGGGCGACACAGTGAGACCCTAGTCTCTATGAAAAATTTCAAAAAATTAGCCGGATGTGGTGGCACACACACACACACCTGTAGTCCTAGCTACTCTGGAGGCTGACGTTGGGGGATCGCCTGAGCCCAGAAGTTCAAGGCTGCAGTGAGCTATCATTGTGCCACTGTGCTCCAGCCTAAAAAACAGAGCAAGATCCTATCTCAAAAAAAGAAAGAAGGAAAACTACAAAACATTACTCAAAGAAATTAAAGGCGAACTCATGTTTACTGATTGGAAGGCAGCATCATGAAGATGGCAGTACTCCCCAAAGGGATGTATAGATTCAATGCAATCCCTATCACAATCCCAGGTGGCTTCTTTGCAGAATTGATAGAGTGATCCTAAAATTCATATGAAAATTCAAGGGATGCAAAATAGCCAATATTGAAAAAAAAGAACAAGGTTGGAGGACTCACACTTCCTGCTTTCAAAACATACTACACAAACCTAAGGTCATCAAGACAATGTAGCAGTAGTATAAGGACACAGATCAACAGAACAGAATTGATTGTCCAGAAATAGACCCATACATTTAAGGTCAATTCATTCTGAGAAAGGTTCCAAGCCAATTCATTAGGAAAATAGTCTTTTCAACAGATGCTGCTGGGAAACTGGACAAGCACATGCAAAAGTATGAATTTGGACCCCTTCACACCATATACAAAAATTAATTCAAACTTGATCAAAGACCCAAATGTAAGGTGCTAAAAGAATAAAACTCTTAGAAGAAAACTCAGGTGTAAATCCTCATGACGCTGGATTAGGCAATGGTTTTTGAGAAATGACATCAAAAGCACAATCCAACATAACGAAAATAGATTAAATGGGCATCATCAAAATTAAAAGCTTTTACACTGCAAAGGACACCACCAAGAAAATTAAAAGATAATCCAAACAACTAGAGAAACTTCTTGCAAATCATGTGTTTGACAAAAGACCTGTATGTAGAACACATAAGGAACTCTTACAACTCAATGATAAAAAGACAGATGACCCAATTTTCAAAATAGGCAAAGAGCTGGCATGGTGGCATGCTCCTGTAGTTCCATCTACTCAGGAGGTTGAGGTGGGAAGATCACTTGAGCCCAGGAGTTCAAGTCCAGCCAGGGCAACAGAGTGAGACTCCGTCTGTATTTTTTAAAAAAGGGGTGAAGGGAGTGGTTAAGGATCTGAATGGACAGTTCTCCACAGAAGATATACATAGGGCCAATAAGCATATGAAAGATGCTTAACATCTTTAGCCATCAGGGAAATATAGACCAAAACCACAATGAGATACTATGTCACACACCACCATGGCTATAATCAAAAAGACAGAACAGCAAGTGTTGGTGGGAATGTGGAGAAATTAGAATGCTGGTGGGAATGTAAAATGGTACACCTGCTTTAAAAAACAGTCTGGTGGCCGGGCATGGTGGCTCATGCCTGTAATCCCAGCACTTTGGGAGGCAGAGGTGGGCGGATCACAAGGTCAGTAGATCGAGACCATCCTGGCTAACACCGTAAAACCCCGTCTCTACTAAAAATACAAAAAAATTAGCCGGGTGTGGTGGCGGGCGCCTGTAGTCCCAGCTACTCGGGAGGCTAAGGCAGGAGAATGGTGTGAACCTGGGAGGCAGAGCTTGCAGTGAGCCGAGATCACGCCACTGCACTCCAGCCTGGGTGACAGAGTGAGACTCGTCTCAAAACAAACAGACAAACAAACAGAAAACCAGTCTGGTAGCTCCTAAAAAGGAGTTACAATATCTTACCCAGCAATTCCACTCCTAAGCATAAACCTAGAAAAATGAAAACATTTGTCCCATCCCATGCAAAAATTTGTACACATATGTTAATAGCAGCATTTTGTGTAATAGCCAAAAAGTAGAAACCACCTAGATGTCCATCAACTGACAGATAAATAAAACGTGGTATACCTATACAATGGAAAATTATTGGGTAATAAAAAGGAATAAAGCATCAATATATAACACAACATGAAAGAAGCATCAAAAACATTATGCTTCAAAGATGCTGGTCATAAAAGACTACATATTATAAGATTCCGTTTATATGAAATGTCTAGAATAGGCAAAACTATAGAGACAAAAAGTAATTCAGTGCTTGCCTACTGCTTGGGGGATATGCTGGGGAGGGGGATGTGCTAAAGGCTACAAAGCTTCTTTTTGAGATCATGAAAATACTCTAAAATTGATTGTGATGATGGTTGCACACCTCTGAATATTCTAAAAACTATTGACTCAGATGCTTCAAATGAGTGAATTACATGTTATGTGAATTCTATCTCAACAAAGCTGTTACCTGAAAAATATTACTGTGTAATCATACCAGGGGGTACTTAGAGGTGGATTCTTTGCATGCCGGATTCAAAGCCTTATCAGGCACAAATTCTACCAACCAAATTTCTACCAATTAATTACCTATTAGCTCATTTGTGAAGCATTTCCCCTCCCTATCCTTTCTGGTTTTTGACTCTTTCTAAATGACCATGCATATGAGGCCTCCAATCTCACAAAGCCTACATGCCTAGCTTCTGCCAAGCGTCACTCCATCTAATGTCATTTGTCTCTATAGTAACCAACTAGAAAAGCTGCTATGCTTAGTAATGGCTTTGTACGAGCAGTGGTCTAGCCTAGAGATGTTTTAAAGATTTGAGTCCTCTCTACCGATTACTGTTTTTTTTCCTGGTATTAAAAAGTGAACCTCTGATGAATGAGAGCAGTAGAGGGTTAGAGAGAAAAGGATGGAATATATTATAAAACATGAAGGAAGATGGACTGCAAGTAGAGACTTGAGTTCAAGAGGAAACGAGTTTAGAAAGACCTTGATTGATAAGAGGACTAAGAAGACACAGACAAAAAACTAGGTATAAGAAACAGAAAATAATTATTAGGCATTTCCCTTCAAAATGGTCAAAAACAACATAATGATATACACACCAAGAAACTGTCAATAAATGTAATTACAGTGCTTCAGAAAGCTGACTGATGTAACCTATGGCTATGCAAAAGGTGTTTTACAGTATAGTCCAGCTATGGATAAGGGATCAGATATAGCTTATACCTTCAACAAACTTCTAACACAATGATGGGTAGAAAAGAACACAAAACAGTGAAACTTTTATTAATGACGTGGAGCAGAGAAGGGGAGAGGGTACGCTATGTAACAGACATGGAAACCTTATAAAAAGTATAAGGATGCATTCCAGGATGTGTAGCTCCATCCCCCACACCTTCCAAGGGATGCCTTTTTCAACAGGAGGCTTGACATCTGTAGTACCCCGTGGGGAGCCTCCCCCAGCTTTGCCTTGGCTGGGTCTCCTTCTCTCTCCCAGTATACACCTGGACCAACCTCATTAATGGAGCTTTGTTCCTCAAGAGTTCATTAATCAAGTCATTACTGGAGTGTCCGCCAGCCTGTGGGTTCTTCCAGAAAATGATACCAATCTATTTTTTCTACATACAAAGCCCACTTTAAAATTTACTTGACATGGTAGAGAGTACAAAGGTACTAGGACAGCCATCAGAGGAATGGGTTTCTGAGCAGCAGCATCCTCATTTGTTATATGGGATGATATCTTACCCTCCTGCCATTCCTGTTTGTGAGGCTCAAAAACAGGTATTTTAAAGTTTTTTACAAATTGTCAAGAAAACATTTTTTCTTTTGCCTATTTTAACATAACTGGTTACAGGTGCATCTAACACTTTCTATTTCGCATCATACTTATTTGATTAGTTACCTTTCCTACTGAACCATAAGGTCTTTGTATGTCTTATCTTTGACTATTTCTCACAGAGCCTAGCATAAAAATTTCACATAACAAATGCTCTCTGTATGTATGTAATGAATTATTATTGAAATCATTATTGTACAATTTACTCCATTTAGAAATGTCTATGAACTCCATCAAATCTCTAGTCTATATTTATACAGAAAATTTTATTTAAAACTATCATTAAATTTTGACATCCTATTTCTAATAAATAAAAAGGAGCCTCTTAAACTAACTAAAGACCATATTAAAACAAGCCTTACATGAGGAATTTTTTTAAGTTGGTAATAATACAAATGAGAAGACAATTCAACACAGTGATTACCCGAGGTGGAAATCTAGATTTGAACAAAAGCTAGAGGTTAGTACTTCCATTCCTATGATAACTTTTGCAGTAGACACGGGCTGACACTCAATTTAATTCCTAGTTCTAATGTATTTTAATTTGGCACATTTTGATTTAATTCAATTTTAGTATATTTGAATTCGCTCTTTCATCTTGTTTTGTGTATGACCTCAATTTGACTTCAAGTTTCACTTCTCTGTAGAGGAGTCTTGAATCCATGCAAGTAAGCTGCATCTTGTGTCTTCAGAATTCAAGCTATATGCCCAGTGGTATATACTTCCTCTGAAGAATGGCAACAGCACACCACTCCACATACGCCACACCCTTACTGGCATGGCTAAAGGACCACATCATTTCACCCACAGGAAGTGCTTGGGAACTGACCAATATTTGGATTCAGTAAGATTAGATGCTCAAATAAGCTTAATTCTGAGGGGAAAAATATCTTATAGCTATATTAGGTTGTTAGAGCTGCCATAACAAAATATCACTCACTGGGTGGCTTAAACAATAGAAATTTACTTTCTCACAGTTCTGGAAGCTAGAAATCCAAGATCAAGGTGTTGGCAGGTTTGGTTTATTCTAAAGCCTCTTTGCTTGGCTTGCAAATGGCCACCTTTTTGCTGTGTTTCCTCTGTGTGCGTGTGACCCTTGTGCTTCTCTGTAAATCTAAATTTCCCCTTGTGAGGACGCCAGCTAGATTAGATTAGGGCCCACCCCAATCACCTCATTTAACTTAATCTCCAAATACAGTCACATTCTGAGGTACTAGGGATTAGTGCTTCAACATACGAATTTGGGGGAGACATAATTCAGTCTAAAACAACAACTAACTAGTTTCATGTATTTCTGCCCTAAGCACTAGTTTAGGCTTTGTTCTGTTCATCTTAGAGCCGATAAAATCTCTCTCAGCCATCCTTCCCCCAAGTAACCCATAGTGAGAAGTGATTGGGGGATTACATTCCATGCAGCCCTCCAAACATTATGTGGGACCCCCTTGGGTACTTAATAAAGACATTCACAGTGACCCATCTGTTGTACAATTAGATGTTTGGGAGTCACCAAAGTTGTTCAGCAACAAGTCCTACTGATTGCCTCTGAAACCAGAGAGAGGCTTTCACAATTCTTTTTTTCCTACAGCATACCAGTTAAATTAGAAATATGCCAGGACATATCTGAGGAATCCTTTCGGTCTCTCCTGGAGTAAGGTAGTATCAATGGTGAGGAAACTATTGAACAAAGTGCTCAACGACCCTTTAGTATTTCTGACAAGCAATAATACAAGAGTTAAGACAGGAGAAGCCTGGAGCTAATTCTTGCAGCTTCCAGTGAAATGTTGGGGAGTTTTTTCTTCTTAAATACTGTTGCATATGATGTGTTAAACAAAAAATTTTAAAGAAAATAAGCCAAATTAGTGGCATTCAGGTAGATCTTCTCAGTCCTTCATGCTGCACATCCACCAAAAGTGAGTTTTACAACTAGTCTCATTGTAACACTTACGGTCAGACTGCAAAATGCACGTGATTTTAACAAGCATAAAATGTCGTTTTCATGAGACTGACTAGACTCTCCTCTTAAGAGTACCTGTAATAATCAGACAACTGCATACACCAGTCTCACAGGAGTTTTAATCTTCAAATGGTCATTTTATCTTACATATACAGAGTGTCTTACAGCATACAGCAATTTCCACTTTATCTGCTAGTGTTAGGACCAGCACTAATAAGAATGAAGAGTATGTTGTTTATCAGCCACAAAAATCTGTGTCTATCACCATGGTTTGACTCTTAATACTCTAATGTCACAAACAACTGGCTTGAAGAAGTGTTTTTTGGTAGGTCCTATATCTAACTGTTCAATCCACTGACAAAAAAAGGGAACTCTTCCCCACTCTAACCGGTTTTCCTAAATGTACGAGGGGTTGACATTAGCTGTCTCACATTAACTTTCAAAAGACCATCAGATGAAAACGTTTCATCAAAAGCCACCTACTTAAGTATGAACAATGACCAAAGAATGACAAATCAAAATTCTGGGCACTATACTAAGAGAAAACTCTTCCAGAACACATACTTAAGAATTAATTTTCTCTCTGAATTTGGCCAAGTTTGGTGGTTTCATTCACAACATTTAAGGAAAAAAATGATGGTTTATGGCTAGCAGATAATAAAACAAACCTTTATACCACTTACTAAATAGAAACGGTTTAGGCTCACAAATATGTTAAAGCTTTCTCTTTCCCCGCAATGGTAGCCAAGCAGCATAAACGAATCAACATTTCCTCAGTTCAGACCTCAACTGGTTACAGGCAAGCAAGGGCTCCTCAGAATTTGCTTTACTAACGGTTTAGGTCAGAAATTTTTTTGAAGATCAAATGTCTTGCTATGTCTTTGTGTTCTTTTTCCCATCTCTATTACGTTTGTTGCCCTGTTGGTCTCCTAACACTTCCATTTTCTCCTTTTATGTTCCTGCTATGCTCTCCAAATGGCAGTAACCTGAAGTATAACTGATCACACCTCTTGTGATTTTTTTTTATTCTAGGACTTCCCAGATCTGGACTCCGAAGAAGACGCCCAGGTGCAAGCCCAAAGGTTACCTATTTAAATTTTCCAAGCACAGTGTGTAGAAAATCATTCCTCGCCCTTCATTTTGTGTTGCTTAACGGCGCTGTCGTGCCTAAACGTAGATACTGGCCAAGAGCTAGATTTCCAAAATGGCTTTGCTCCTTTCGAGCTGACATCGGTCTATAACATGCAATTTATTTCCCCTGCAGCCAATCTTTCTCTCTACTCCAAATACTACCCGATACGCAGAAAGCTGAACCTAACCCAGTGTAAACACCGACTCTCATCTGCTAAATTCAGCAAGGCCGGCAAAGCTGTTGCACTGATGTAAAAAGAGCGTTAAATCAAAAAACCAAAAAAACAAAAAAAAAAACAAAAAAACGCCAAAACACCCACACGAAGCCAACTGGAGGGGCGGGCGTCGGCCGGATCGCGCCCTCCCGCCGCAGCCACGCCTCCCCGCCGCGGCCACGCCCCCTCCGCCCCTCTCCGCGCCGCCGCCGGCGGCCTCCGCGCGGGCCTCCCAGCCCTTATTCCACTCACTTTGTTCTCCGCCTTTGTCCTAATCCACACCAGCAGGTGGAGCCGCAGTTAAAGTTTCCGAGTCCATTCCGGGAGCGGGAGCCCATCTTGCTGGCTGCCGAGGCCCTCGCTGGAGGAGGAGGGTCAGAACTCGGGTGCAGCCAATCGAGGGCAACGCTGCTACTTATCAGAGCAGAATGGGCTGTAGTTTAGTGAAATAGGAAAGCTGCAAAACACTGTGGAGTGCTCCCGTGTAAATAAAAAGAGGAAAAAAGTTTCTCAAGTCGCCGCTGCACGACGTCTGGCCGGCGCTGGAGCGGGGGTCTGCGCTCTCCCGAGCGGCCGCGCGCTGGACTTTATTGTGCCGCAACCAGCCCCAGTTCCCATTGTTTGTGTTTTTTTCAAAATATGGCAAAGGTTCAGGTGAACAATGTAGTGGTGCTGGATAACCCTTCTCCTTTCTACAACCCGTTCCAGTTCGAGATCACCTTCGAGTGCATCGAGGACCTGTCTGAAGGTGAGTGCGGCGCCCGTGCGCCCGGGCTGTCAGTTGCGGGCTGCAGACGTTGAAAGTTTCCCGGGCCGGGCCTCGCGCTGGGCGGCTGTGTTCGGCGCCTGGCGGCCGCGGGCTGCTCTGCGGAGGGAAACTTGAAGTTGATGGACGACGGCCGCCGAGGCGCGCGCGGCTTTCCGCCGCAGCCCAGGCGCCTGCCGGGCTCAACTTGCGAGGAACTTGTTTGAGCGGAGGAGCGGAGGTAGCCATGTTGTCAGCTTTGTCTGCGGGCGGGCAGCTCGGAGACCCGCACTCGCTCCCGCTGCGCCGCCTGAGGTCGCGCCGGGCTGGCTCCGCGCCGCCAACAGCCTCCGCGACCCTCCGGGCCCGAGCACGGAGGCTGGGAAGGGAGAGGCTGTGCGTGTGGTCGCGCCGGCGAGTTCGGAGCGGAGCCATCTTACCCCGAGTCGAGAATTGGGCCAGCGACCCCGGCGCACGGCGCCTCCTCTTGCCCCGCCGCCCGCCTGCCCCCGGCGAAAGGCAGGCAGGCACTCTCGAGAGCTCACGGTGGAGTCGCCGCACTCTCCGGGCTGGCCATGCCTGGCCGCTTCGGGGAGGAGAGCGAGGCTGTCCTCGCGCTGATTTCTGGCTTCCTCGACCAACCAGCGGGGGAGGCGGGCGCAGGCTCGGCCCCTCCGCGCCGCGGGCTGGGCGCCGGCGCTCCCCGGGGGCCGTGGGTCCTGTTCGGCCGGTCCTCCTCGGCCGGCGCCCGGGATGCGCCGGGATGCTGGCGCGCAGGCTCCCCAACCAACGTGGACTCCTTTCCCCTAATGACGAAAAGCTAATTTCAGGAAGAGAAATAGAGCTGAGGTAGGAAGTTACATTTAACCTAAAAGCAGAAATAAGATACTTAAATAATTTCCAGGACTTAATCTCTGCCTTATAAATAGTCTGAAGGAAGACTTTCTTCAAGACCGTGTTGAAATCTAAAATAACTCCACATCCAAATACAGAACACACCCTAAACATAAAACACAAACGTAGGCTAGGAAATTAAGGTCAACTCCTCATGTCAGTCCAAGAATTCTTGGTATTTTTTCTACATATATTTTAAGGTCTTAAAAATACGTATTTTTAATATCTTTAGTAATAAATATTTAGAAAGCTAAAACGACAATTATCTTTGCTTTAATTATCTTTTACTAAAGTAATTCAGTGCTTCATTTGCCAGTTTTGAAGGGGAAATAGTTTAACTTCATCGATGAGGGACATACTTTGAACTAGAAGTATATGTAAAAAATGCATTGAAGATGATTTAGGTAATCGTGGCATGTAAAACTTTTCATTTTAAAAACTAGTTTTTAATCTCTAAAATGTATATATCATATGTAAGGTTAATTTTAATTATAAAACAATATATATTCATTGTAATAAACTTTTAGAAAGTTGTACAGGCATATATAAAGTTAACAGTTCTCTGTACTCAGTGCCTTGCCCTATCTCCTTTCGGTAATCACAATTATTACTTTAACATGTGCCCCCGTTTTTTTTTTTTTTTTAAACCTATATAGAGCATAAATGCACATACATATATAGGGCAAATTTTGAAAGATGATTCATTTATTAAAATAATTTCAAATAGGCCATTGATAACACTAAGGGGTATTTTTCTTATTACTCTGAAGTCATTTGATTACTCTCCTATGATACTACTATTAATATAAGCATTGCAGCTACCAGGCCCATTTTTCACACCCAACAGTAATTTTTTTTTTATTGCCAACTGCATATAAAAATAGACAAAAGAAAAACCATTGATCGGTCCATTCCAACTTATACCACACTGTTTTTCAGATATACCACCAGAAGTTCTTCAAATTACAGGTATTTCTCAAGTGTTGCCTTCCATTTTAGGAGTCAGCTCTGAACAAAGAAGATAGATGACTCAGGATGTCGTTACAGGGCTTTTACATTGCATAGATGAAACCAGCCATTCATAAAGCCAAAACGTTCCATTTTTAACTGGGATCCATTCAGAACCCAGCTGAATCACATCAGGGATTTACAGTACTGGTGTCAAAAACATACTTATTTCCAATGGTATATTTCACTTCCTAGGCACCATTACTGAGCATTTATTTAGTATTTTAAAAAATATTTTAAGCTGAGTCATACTGAAGCTGCAAAGGAATCTTTCAAAAAGGTGCCATGCCTGTATACTCCACCTAGAGGCTATGTGGATTAAGGAAATTTTTACTTAGCAAAGGCTTCTAATAGGTTCCATACTTTTATATTACAGTTCTTTTAAAAATTCTGTTCTTAAAATTAAACTATAGAATTTTTTTTTTTTTAAATGAGACAGTGTTGCTCTGGCACTCAGGCTGGATGGAGTACAGTGGTGCAAACACAGCTGCTCCCTGCAGCCTCAACCTGGGCTTAAGCAATCCTCCCACCTTAGCCTCCTGAATAGCTGGGACCATAGTCGATGTGCCACCACATTGGGCTAATTTTTTAATTTTTTGTAGAGACGGAGTTTTGCCATGTTGCCCAAGCTGGTCTCGAACCCCTGGGCTCAAGCAGTCCTCCCACCCCTGCCTCCCATAGTGTTGTGATTATAGTGAGCCCACTGCACCCAGCCCAAACTATAGAATATTTTGAAAAGAATTTTCTTAATAAGTTATTTTGCCTCAAGTCTCAAAGCAGAGTTTGGCCACCGTTTTTCATACTTTCATCAGTAGCCCCAAACGTTCACTTTCCTTTAAGAGCTGCCCTGTAGCTTTGCTTCAGAAAAAGCCTTGAGGAATATTTGGTCTTAAGATAATTTGGTTCTTTCTAATATAGGGCTTATATCAAGGGTTAAGACAGCCTGAGACCCTGGCTGGATGTGCTTGATGGTCACCAAGACTGTACAAGTTTTGATTGACCATCCTGCCATTCTTAAATTTATATATATATATATCTTAATTACAGCTACTGTCAATTGAATACTTATAATATACCAGAATTGAGCATGGTGCTTCATACTTTCCAACTTCAGCTTGTTCTAATTCCAAAGCCTACATACTTTCCACTAGACCACAGGTCTTCCCAAGTAGTGTAATTAGCTAAAAATTCTCTTGATGACTTCCCTCATTCACTCACTCTTTCACCACAAATGTAAATACTTTCAGGCTGGGTAAATCATTTAATCATGATTACTGTGATTAAATAAAAGTTAACTTTAAAATAAATGAACAAATTTCTTCACCTGAGAACTTATGTAAAACATCTGACCTTACCCTTCCTCCCTCAAATACAGGGGGCAGAGGAATTAAATGAAAGCTGGGTTAAAAAAAAAAACAACAAAAAAACTGATGCCAATGTATAAAAGGGTATTGAGCATGTAAAACTCAGCAACTGTAGCAAGCATCCCATAAACATAAAAATCAATGTACAAGTGTTCCCTGAGTTGCAGCCTGTTCTTGTTAAGGCTAGATTCTCTCTCCATCTCCTCTGCTCTCACTTCCCCTGCAAATAAATTCCCTTATTCCACTGCTAATTTCAGAGCTAGAAAGAATTTATCTTCCCAGTTAGGTTTTCAGAAGAAGCCCGGGGTTTGTAGTTACAGAGGCATAGCTTGGATTCTGATTCTTTGATGTACAAATTATGAATTTGTGTAGATTACTTAACCTCTCAGAGTCTCAAGTTATTTGCATAATGGGGATAATTTGATCTACATGATGAAGCTGTTGAGGTTTAAACAATAGGTATGAAGTAGAACTAATGCCCAGTATATAGTAGGTATTTTCTAAAATAGGTTTATAAATTATGGCTATGTTCCTATGCCAGTCCACAAATGCGAATTTATACCACTTAGGATCAAGGGCATTATATGTAGTGATACAATTATATATGAAATTAAAATTCATGAAAACCTTTATGTAATAATTTTTTTTTTTTTTTTTTGGAGACAATCTCGTTCCATTGCCCAGGCTGGAGTGCAGTGGCGCGATCTCGGCTCACTGCAACCTCCGCCTCCAGGGTTCAGGCGATTCTTGTGCCTCAGCCTCCCGAGTAGCTGGGACCACAGGCATGTGCCACCCCTAATTTTTGTACTTTTAGTAGAGATGGGGTTTCACCATGTTTGCCAGGCTGGTCTCGAACTCCTGACCTCAAGCCATCCAGCCACCTTAGCCTCCCACAATGCTGGGATTACAGGCGTGAGCCACTGCGCCCAGCCACTCTATGTGATAATTCTTAGTCTTATCCTCACTTGGCTAGTTTAGTACCTTTCACATCACTTTCTTAAAACAGTTTCTTCACTTGGCTTTTGGGTCACCTACCTCATTTGCCACTTGTTTTGTAACTTAATTTGTCCTCTTATCTTTGGAGGGCTCAAATCTCACTCCCTAGAGCAAGCCCATGTATTTTTATGGCTTTACATATCATTGACAGGTTCCAAATTTTTATCCTGCCTATTCAGTATCTCTGCTTAGAAGCAGACATCTCAAATATGTCTAAAATGAACTCCTGATTGCTCCCCTACCCCACATCACCTCCCTGCAAAAGTGGCTCCTGCTGCTTTCATCTTCAGGATTTTATCCAGAATATAACTGTTGCACAGCCCCATGGCCACACGAGGTCCATGCCACCATAATTTCTTGCCTCAATTATTGAAATATTGTTTCTTCCCTTGTCCTCTTACACTCTATATTGAACACAGCAATCAAAGCATTCCTTTTAAAATGAAAGTTGGCTCCTGTTACTGCTCTGCTCAAAACCCTTCGATGGCTTCCCATGCCACGCAGTGTGAAAGCCAGAGTCCTTATGATGGCCTTCAAAACCGCATGATCTGGCTGTTCCCCTCATCCTCAATCATAGGGTTTGGTGCTTTCCTCCTTCCTTTCATTCTGCTCCAGCCCTAGCCTCCTTGCTTTTTCTTGCCAAGTGTGCCCTACCCCTGGGCCTTTGTATTTGCTGTTCCCTCTGGCGAGATACTTATATTGCCTACTTCCTCTCTATCTCCATCAACAGATGATCTCAGGAGATGTCAGATGCAGCACCCTGCATCTGGAAGTGTGCTGGAAGCTGGAAATAGAAATGGTTTAGTTCTAGGACAGAGCCATGACATAATAGGTCCTCAGAAAATGATTGCTGACTTAATAAGAGAAAATAAAAAAGGAGCTTTCAGTTGATTGTAGTTTACAATACAATATAAATAAGCAGTACGTTACTATTTCTATTATCAATTTAGGGAACAAAAATATCTACAGTTACACAAAAATGGCCACACATGGTGGCACTAACTAGATTGTCATGAGTGACCCAGAAACTCACCCTTTGGGAGTGCTTGTGTAACAGTGTGTTGAATGCAAGAGGCAGGCCACACAGTGCAAAATACCCAAAGAAGATGAAGAGGTCTCTCAGAGATGGTTTGTATTACAAAGTTATCTTCTTCCTCAGCTAAACAGGAGACTCCTCCAAAGAGTTCTACTCATCTCTGGGTTCACTTCACAGAACACATTGTAAAACATGCTCAGTAAAATCCGCTATATTGAATTACATATAACGCCTTGAATTGCACCTGAATGTCTTTTCCTCCTGCCTATCTCCACTGTGTATACTCTATTGTATCACGTGGTGTAAAGATCTTGGTTTCCTCTGCCCAATTTAAAGAATGTATGACACAGGGGGGTGCCGTAAGGGAAAAACCCTACCATTGTTCGTTGACAGTTGATGAGCTGAAGCCACTTACTTCTGAGCCATGAGGGAGGTTTTACTAATAATTTTTCTACTTTGGAGCTCTGTGATTATTTGGATCTCTGCAGCGTAGTATAGGGCTGCCCTTCCAAAGTGTGTTGAGAAGGGCCTTAAAAGATGATATACAAAAAAAGGGGGATTCCATAGCCAAATAAATTTGGGAAGTGCTGGATTAATGTTACTGGTGTTCTTTACTGAAGGATATCTCAGAAAACTTACTGTGCCAGCATGCTTTATGAATCCTCAAGACAAGGTTTACAGCATTTCCCAAGTGTTTGGCTATGTTATCTTGTTTGTGAGGCACTGTCCAGGAACTAGTGTTTCACAAAAGAGTATTTTGAGAAACTCTGATCAAAGTGTGAACTCTGGTAGGAACTTTATAAGGAGCATTTCACTGCCTTTCTGGATTGCTATGAGAAGCCAATTTTAAAGCCAGTAAGTGGCTAAGTGGACATTAAAAGGGTCTTTGATGTCATCTGGTAATGTAATTACTGAATATGAAATAATGCTTTGGTTTTTTAACCCTAGACTTGGAATGGAAAATTATCTATGTGGGCTCTGCAGAAAGTGAAGAATACGATCAAGTTTTAGACTCTGTTTTAGTGGGTCCTGTTCCCGCAGGAAGGCATATGTTTGTATTTCAGGTAAGATTAATCTTGGTAAATGTGTATGCCAAATATGTTTCGAAGTAGACTATATTATCTATTATCTTATAACCCTTATCCCTTTCCTTTTGGGTTAAAGAACTGCTTCTGCTGCATTCACTTTAAATCTGTTTCCATCATGTTTTAGGCAGTCTCTGTGTCACAGAGGAACTCTTACTTCCTGGTTTTATATGCTGAGAGATGTTAATGTGACGTTTACTTTAGAGAGATGAACAACCTACAGTAAATTTTATACTGTATCATGGCACACAGGGTGGTGAATTTGGGGCTCTTCCTGTGAATAGCACCTCAGTATCAGACTTCCAAGGTGGCTGTCTAGCAACCCAAAACATGGATTCAAAATATCTAAAACTAACTGGCATTGTTAGTAATATGCATCTTCAGTTTATGGTTTCAGCCACTGGAACTGATGGTGATGTAACAAAAACAACTTTATTTCAGCATAATCAGTAGTTGAGCTAGGTTAACAGATACGTTTAGTGGATAGAGATGTGTGGTCTTGGGTCATTGGAATGACATTCCAGAGTTTACTAAAGCATCTTATAATCTACATTATCTTATAAGAGGACTACTTTTGCAAATTTACTACCCCACTAGGTATTTGTGAAGAGAATTTCTAGTAATAAAAATTTTGTTCTTAGATACCACTGAGAGTATTTGGATCTATACCAAGGCTTCAGACATTGTCTTCTATATTCAAAAGTGTTATTTCTTTTAATCCATGTTAAATTGCTATATGGAACCATTCAGTTATTCCTCAATTATGCATGCTTATTTATAAGGGAGATGTTTGTAATAGACCAAAGAGTAACTAGCCATAGGTTTTTTAAAACTACTATTAATTTCTGTTACAAGTATTTCAACCCAGCAATGTCCCATCAGTTAAGTGGAACTCACTGAAAAGACTTAATCCAGAAAGAAAATCTAACTCTTCCTATGCCTGACCTCTGTTTTCTCACTTCACAGATGGGACCAATTTAAATGAATACCATTGGTCAAATAATCCCATCAGAAACTGGCAAAGAATCACTTAGACACATGCCATCTCTAGAGCTGCTACCTTTCCCTCCCCTGTCCTAAATACAGAATTTAGAATCTTGGTTTCCTAGCCTTAGTACTTTTGATTAAAAAGCAACAAATAATTTACTGTATCTAAAGAAATAGCTAAGAAAAGCTCAAATATACTAATCAAATATATGAATTAAAAGTGCTGTTAATCAAAGTTGTGTGAGTGCATAACCATGTAAAAGACATGGGTAACAGAATGCCCTGTTCTGTAGAAGGAAGCACTGCAGTTATAGATATAGGTCAAATCCCGACACCTCTGTATTAGCCATGTGTGGCTTTACCTCTCTAACCTCCTCCCTTAGTCATTCCAGTCTTCTATAAAATGTGGATAATATTCTATCTCATTAAAATGTTATGGGGAATAAAACAGTATAATCAGTCACTCATAAAGAGTGCCCTATTCCTAAAATTAGAACTACATTTTTATTCTCTTAACTTCTTGAAATTGTTATATAAAAAAGCAGGACTTGCTCTGACCCACAGGCCTAAGGAACCCATACTTTACTGATAATTCATGATACAGTAAAAGAAACCTGGGTTGACAGGTACTGATAATACTTTTTTTTTTTTTTTTTTGGCTACTATAAGAACTTACAAATAAATGCCTTGTTATTGAAACAAACCCTTGAAAATCTTTTGTGTTTGTTATTAAGCATACTCCTAAGCTTTTGGCTGAAAGTGCTGTAGCAAAAAAAATGTATTCAAAAGTATTTCCTGCTGGTGATCTTCACGTAGTTTTACCTTGGTGTCAGTGTACATGTTGCCAAAAAGAACAGAGGAGGTACAATGTATATTCAGCCTAAAGGTTTTACAGAATTCACCATTATCAACAGAAAGAGACTAAATTACAGCTTTTGTTTTGTATTTTAAAACTACTATAGTAATCTCTTGGTCTGCCATGATTTTGCCTCTCTAAATAGTTAAACATGTCTTTCTTCTGAGTGAGTCAAAGGCTAGCAGGAAGATGTCCAGACATCTGCCTAGTATTGCCAGCTAGAGTCAAAACAAAGATCTCTGCTCATTACTTCTGCATCCTAAATTATTTGAAAGGCCTGTAAGCTTCTCTACTTAAATTTGCTCAAACTGAATCTTTTTCAAATTGTAAAATGCTTTTTAAAAGATGTTTTATATTTACAACAGATTTTAAAACAGAAACATGCCTAGAACCAATTTACTGAAGGGAACCAATTTACTGAAGGGAAGGGGAAGAGTTCTCATAGCAGTACTGAACTATTATATATTTCCCATCTCCACCCACTTCAGGTATATTAGAATCCGTTTGGGTACACTGAAAGTAATCTAACCCCTCTGTGCAGGGGTGTGTAGAATCTCTAAGACAAACAGCATATTCTCCAGGACAAGGCTGGCTGTCCCCTATCCTGGTGTCTTGCCAAGAGATCATAAACCCCTTCAGGGCAGGAACTGATTTACAAATGAATTCCAAAATACTAAGTGCTCAGAGCTGAGCCACACGAGATTATAAAGATGAACTGGATGGGACTCCTGCCCTGGATAAAGCATAGCATCTAGAAGAGAAGACTGAAAAATAAACATGTTTAGATCACAGGGCATACGTTCTTAGATAATTTGTGACAAGAAATATCAGCACATAAAAAAGGAATCTATTGATTCTACCTTCTGAGTTAGAAAGGGCGTCACTGAGAATACACTCGATGTAAGCTCCAAAAAAGATTAAAAGATGAATTTTTCAGGATGTGAGCGAAGGACCTTTCAGGCCAAGGGAACAGTATGTTAGAAGCACAGGGGGTGAAGTATTTCTTTTTTAAATTTGTTTTTGTAGAGATGGGGTTTCGCCATGTGGCCCAGGATAATCTCAAATTCCTGGGCTCAAGTGATCCACCCACCTTAGCCTCCCAAAGTGCTAGGATTACAGGCGTGAGCCACCGTGCTCAGAGCGTGAAAAGATTATCACCACGTTTTAAAGAACCTGTGTGATTCATATCTCTAGAACAATGGTGGAGTTAAAGGAGGTATGAATGGAGATATTGGCTGGAGACAAACTGAGAAGGGCCTTGTCAATGAAGTTAAAGAACTGAGATTTTATCCCTTAGAAAAGGGAATACTCTTCTGAGGGTTTTAATAATCTGAGGTTTTAAAACCAAAGAGAAAGAACATATCTGTGTTAATGCTGGTAGCAGTGCAAATGATAGGCTAGAGCTGGGGAGATCAGTTAGAAAATTCTAAGCAATATTCCAGATAGGAGATGACATGAATTCAGCCTCCAGAAATGAAAAAAATGTTGAGACTGACTAGATGTAGGAGATAAGGGAGTGAAGCTGACTGAGGTTTTTAGCCTAGGACACTAGGTAGCGATTTTATGCCTTTTTGTATCATCTACCTGTGTTAGGCATACAGTAAACAACAGTCTTCAATTTTCACAAGCTAAGGCATTGGCTAAAGTGCTCATCTAGGCCCAGGAATATTCCTTGGTGCCCTGGCAACAGGTAAGCTAATTTGCTGGGACTTGATCCATTTACCACCCAGAATGGCTGCCTCAGATGCCTCAGCCATCACTGCCTGTGTTCCCCAGTCTGGCTCCTTCCATCCGGTCGTCTCATTACTACCTGCACCCTACCACGGATGGGGCCCTGCCCTTCGCTCATGCTCTTAGTCTAGTCTAACTCAGTTTACTTTCTGCATTCCTCAAGGTTCACCTTACAATAGCTTGATTTAAAACAAGGTCTTTGACATCTGCCTAAAGCAATCCTTACCTTCACTGGTTTCCACATTATGTGTGGTTTAAAGAGCATACTATATTGTAGAGTCTAGCAAAGTAACTATTCATAATAGAGGATTATTAATATTTTTTGAAAATCTGCTATGTAGCTATTTCCATCTCATTTTCAGTTTTGTTTTGTTTTGTTTGAGACGGAGTCTCACTCTGTCGCCAGGCTGGAGTGCAGTAGTGCGATCTCAGCTCACTGCAACTTCCACCTCCTCGGTTCAAGTGATTCTCCTGCCTCAGCCTCCCAAGTAGCTGGGACTACAGGCACCCGCCACCATGCCCAGCTAATTTTTGTGTTTTTAATAGAGATGGGGTTTCATCATGTTGGCCAGGATGGTCTCAATCTCTTGACCTCATGATCCACCCACCTTGGCCTCCCAAAGTGCTGGGATTACAAGTGTAAGCAACCACACCCAACCTCATTTTCAGTTTTATACTAATTTACTATTAGAATACCTGTGGGGGTGGTTGAGTGGGTATGAGAATATAAGTATCCTGGGTTGAAGAGGGAAACTGGTATAATAAACATTTGTGGCCAACAGTCTATGAGGAGATCATTTAATACTTACTAATTTAGGTCTGAAAATTATGACTGAAAAGGTTAAAATCAATTGCTGACTATAAAGGTTTTATAATGAATAGTGTATAATCCTTTCATGAACCACCATGCAGTGTAGCCAGAATTTCTTCCTTTTACAAGTGTAGTCATGCTTTCAAGTATCAAGGGTCCTTACATATATTGTGGCAAAACATGAACTGTCTTTTCCAGCTTATTATAAGTCAGTCAGAAATGAGCATTTTCCTTCCCAGTATGATTTCCAAGTTTTTCTTGTTGCATCCTCAACTGATGGTTCTAGGTAACTGAAACTCCAGTCTTGCCTGCCACTAACAGCCTTTTGTGTGTGTGTGTTTCTTTTCTTTTTAATTTATTCTAGGCTGATGCACCTAATCCAGGACTCATTCCAGATGCAGATGCAGTAGGCGTAACTGTTGTGCTAATTACTTGTACCTATCGAGGACAAGAATTTATTAGAGTTGGCTATTATGTAAATAATGAATATACTGAGACAGAATTAAGGGAAAATCCACCAGTAAAACCAGACTTTTCTAAGGTAATGTTCTTACTATTCCTTTTTAACTACTTTTACTATGCAATTTTTAAAGCAGTTGCTATTGCAATTTCATAGTATACTATTAAAATGGCTTTGAGATAAAATAAATATGAGGTCCTTATGCCAACTGGGCAAACTAATTATTGTTCCATTACCATGGATGACTTCAAACCCTACCTTCAGATGAGTCATTAGTAATTAATGTAGGCAGACACCTTGAGCATTTCTGGTTTAGAAAAATGAAAGTACCTCTTTTTTTTCTGAGATGGTTTCCTGCTCTGTTGCTCAGGCTGGAGCGCAGTGGCATGATCTCGGCTCACTGCAACCTCTGCCTCCTAGGTTCAAGCGATTCTCCTGTCTCAGCCTCCCAAGTAGCTGGGACTACAGGTGTATACCAACACGCCCAGATAATTTTTGTATTTTTAGTAGAGGTGGAGTTTCACCATGTTGGCCAGGGTAGTCTCCAACTCCTGACCTCAAGTGATCTGCCTACCTTGACCTCCCAAAGTGCTGGGATTACAGGTGTGAGCCACCACGCCCAGAGAAAGTACTTCTTGTAAGACAGGCCTTTGTTTATGGCTTTCTTTATAGCATTTCCCATATTGATTATTCCCATCATGATTCTGTTCATTTCAACCTTTAGGACAAACAAATGCATTTTTGTTGTACTAATTATTCAATGATGATATTTTTGTGTGTAACTCTTCCCAAAATTATGAAAGTTTTATGTTTGTTTTTCCTATGAATACGGTTATCTCAAAACACCTATACGCTTTATCTGCTATTCTTAGAAGTTAAACTAACAGTCTTAAATATTTCTGGTACTGAAAACAGCTTAAATTCTGAGTGAGAAGCTGAAATCTAGGATTCAGCATTCTTAAAGATACTTAGTATTTTCTGATTTTTCACTGGGAACTATAACAGTTTGGTAACTGGTGATTTTGTGAGAGTGCAGAGTAAATGAAGTTGAACCATGCAAGAAAAATTACATGACAATAGAATAGAATGTTCTCATGTTCTTTCTGATAATAAGGCCGGACTATTTTTCACCCTTGTTGTACCTTCCATTGATCCAATTTGTTATCCCTGAAGCACCTTATATAGCACAAAAGAAACAGGACTGTTTCTAAGAATGAGCCATCTTTAAAAGGTGTAGGAAACCATTAATAATAAGTTGTATTTGACAATTTTTCATTTTCCTTTGAAAACATACCAATCTAAACAACATAGTAGCTTGTTAAATAAAGCATCTTCTGAAGCATTCATTTTCAAAAATGAGGAGATTCTTTCTTTTAGAAAACAGAAGTATAGGAGTTAAATAGTTAAAAAGCCAGATGAATCCCCTCAGATTCTCCGTATCTTGTTTCTGTTAATCTAAAATAACTTCTTTGCTACAGCCCTAGTCGTTACATCTTATTAGTTATATTTAAGGTACTTAACTTGAATTATACCTTTGTATATGAACTTAGCCCTTTAGGAGTACTAACATGAACCATTTTATTAAGCTTCTATTTGTATATGGTGATTTAACTTTCTTAGTGTTTACCATTTGTATGTTTCCTTTTTCCTCTAGCTTCAAAGGAATATTTTGGCATCTAATCCCAGGGTCACAAGATTCCACATTAATTGGGAAGATAACACAGAAAAACTGGAAGATGCAGAGAGCAGTAATCCAAATCTACAGTCACTTCTTTCAACAGATGCATTACCTTCAGCATCAAAGGGATGGTCCACATCAGAAAACTCACTAAATGTCATGTTAGAATCCCACATGGACTGCATGTGACCACCTACCATCCCTTTAGTACAAATTAAGCTATTAAAAATACACAGAACTATTTCCCTGAAATTCCGTAAGTACATAGTCAAAACACAATGTGAAGAATTTGTTTAAAAACATCCTGTAGAAAGTTTATAAGAAAACCAGTATTTGAACAAATTGTGGAATATAAATACAACTATTTTTAAGTAATTTTTTTCTCTAATGTGTTATTTTATTTGTTCTGAAACTAATCTGATTAAAGCATATATATTATTTTCTTCTCCTTTATATGTAATGAAAGCACTTATAAAGAAACAGGAATCATTAGACCAGGTTGTAAAGATGTCTTGGCCTCCCAGACAGTCTTTGGACCACTATTTTACTGGCCTTTGAAAGAACAAAGTTTACTTCAACTAAAATGTTTCTTCCTGTGAAGACATATGGTATCATTTTAATTTAAGGGGCAGATTTCCATTCTTTTTTGGCATGTCCTTAAAAAGAGGATTTGAAATCAACTATATGCTACCAAGAACTTTAGGATCCAATTTTCCAAGCCACCGTGAAGCCTCTTATGGCTACTATTATAGTTCATGAGATGTTGGACAGCATTTGGTTTGTTTGGTAAGAGAAGAACAAATATGGCTAATTGTTAATAAGGTCCCCTGGCTATGGTTTTTGTTCTTATAACAGAGTTTAGAATATCAGAGCATTTCTTGAATCATACATCATTATTGTCCAGTGAATTCAAGACCAAATACAATATCGGGAGAAAATACAAACTCCCTGTGTTTAAGAATAGGGGATTACAATGGCTCAAATTGGTTCATTTGATTTCTAAAAATACCATGACCTTTAAAAATTCTTTTAATAGATCATGTTATTGGCAGTATTTATATAAAAACCATGGATTTAGAAAGGTATATTTAGCTTTATTATAATAGATACGTTACTATTTTGGAAATATATATATTTTCACACCTGTAGTACTCTTCCCCATTTCCTCTGACACTCATGCAGAATGAGATCAGGCATATTTGTGGTTGACATACTCTAGATAGCTTTTCCAACAAATCTTTGAAAAGCAATCTTGGAAAGGAATTCATTAACTAAATGGGGTAAAAGGTTTCTTTTTCTTTGAGAGTTAAGTCCTTCCTCAAAAAATTTTCTTATGCTCCATAAAATTGAGGTAGAATATTTTCATTATTCTTGCAGCTAAGCAAGACAGCCATATGATGCAGGTTATGCAGTGCCTTCATATCTAAAACTTTTATACTGCACTTTTTAAAGCTTTTATGTTGAGGAAAGGAAAAGGGCATTTGTCTAAACATGGATTCTGAGTTGTATATATTTCCTATCATTCTAAAAAAGTGAATTTGTGAAGCAAAGTTTTGCCAGATGTTAAACTTTGAATTTAATATACCAGATTATTAAAATATTGTCCATTAACTAGTTCATAGATTTTAAAAGTAAAATACTTCTGACTGTTAAAACTATATAAAGAAAATCTCATTTGTCTAATTGCAATTAAAAGAAAAATGTTAAAATATTAAAATGAAAATAAAAGCATTACTTTCCAACAAAGAGCTCAGTGGTTAATATAATAGGAACAACATATGTGCTTATTAGAAATAAAGCATATACAGCCAAATCACCAAATAAAGCCATTTACTGCTGAGTTTTTATTCTGACTAATTATAACAATCTATTTGTAGTGACATCAAAGGGTTAGGTTTTTGTATCAAGTTGTAAATGGACAACCAATTTTCACTTAAGCTTGGGACATGCGAACCATTACCTTTTGTTATCTTAAATTTTATCACTCTAAGAATTTTTTTAATGACTGAAAATAGATTTAGACTTCAAACATTAGAAACGTAAGAAACTGTAGCACATAAGTTTTTTTTCCACCCGGTCTAGCGTCATTTGCCAATACTGTATCTGAAGAACTATTTTCCACCCTTTTGCTCATAGTAAATAGCTGTGTCCTAAGAATATAAACATGAACCAATGACTTATGCCACTAAGATGGAGGCATTAAGGGTATTATTTGGGCTGAGAAAACATTCCAGAGGTCTGAAGAAGTATGCATGCATTTATTTGCCCATTCATAACCTTATACAACTTTAGGCTCCCATATAACTATACCCTCTAATTTTAGGATTTGGGGTTTCTAGCTTTCCCAAGAATGTCTATGGCAGCAGTTATCAAAACTTTTTACCATAATCCATGGTATAAAAAACTTAGGGCCGGGCGCAGTGGCTCACGCCTGTAATCCCAGCACTTGGGGAGGCTGAGGCGGGTGGATCATTTGAGGTCAGGAGTTCAAGACCAGCCTGGCCAACATGGTGAAACCCTGTCTCTACTAAAAATACAAAAATTAGCCAGGTGCGGTGGTGCACATCTGTAATCCCAGTTACTCAGGAGGCTGAGGCAGGAGAATCACTTGAACCCAGGAAGCAGAGGTTGCAGTGAGCTGAGATTGCATCACTGCACTCCAGCCTGGGCGACAGCACTAGACTCTATCTCAAAAAAAAAAAAAAAAAAAGACTCCATAACAAGTTTATATTTATGTTAAAAAATTTCATGAAAACACATCCTTAGTGCACCTTTACTATGCAGTATTTTGGTTTTTTTTTAATTGTATTTTACTTTGAAAGTGCTGGTTTTGACCCACTGAATTGACTTTTATGACTCTAATGGGTTGCAGTACACAATCTGAAGAAAGGCTAGCGTGGCCCTTTGGGTAGACCAGAAGTAGCAATAACTATTCTATAACCGTAAAATTTATATTCCCTATACTTGTTCTCTCATATTTGGATTATGATCTTTGCATTAAAAAGGAGGAAATGTGCTAATATACTTTTATACTAATTCACTAATCCAGTGAATCAGCAGCAATTCACTTTCAAACTGCCCAAATACTCTGAAATTACCAGTCATCCACTTAGATGGCTTGGACTCATTTCTTGACACTCTACATAATTACTTAGGAAACATTCCACATAATTACTTGGGAAGCATCTTTATTTGTTGTTGGTATCATTTTATACAGAACTCTAGAACACTGGGTCATACGGATTTAAAACGCATGGGAAATATTCTTTATATATTCTTGCCTAGTATCCTGAAGTTTGTCTACCCTTCTCAATTCCAAAAATCCATTCTTGTCAATGGTTAATATACTGTTGAGTTATATTTCAAAACCTGAGACCTCCTTAACAGTTTTCCACTTATACAGGACCATTAATTGGCCATTTTCTGTTGTATGATAAATTTTAAAGTGTTAGTTTCTCATTAGAAATTTGAGCATTCATTAGCCCAATGGAAGTTAATCTGACTCCCTTAACAAGTAGCAAACATTTTTAAAATGTGTGAAGCCAAGGGTCTGTTTTCAGAAGAACAGAAACATTACCCAATCAAAACTGTAAAAATACAAAATAGCATCAAACATATTTTTTAAAATAATTTTTTTCTAAATTCCCTGGGTCACTTTATTTATAATCAAATCTTGACATTCTACCTGCAAAGGCTTTTAAGTGTACTTGCTAAAGAATCATTACAACTTATGAATGAAGCTCCACATTGCAATGATGGAAGTATATTTTCCAAATATTAATAAACATTCCCTACCTAAGAAATTTCAGTAGGAGCTACTGTTGCCTATCAGATTTATGAGCATGAAAATGCCTTAAGCTCTATACCATCTATCTACTTGGTAAAGTGAAATATCCCCCTCTTTAGTTTAACATTCCAGTTGCTGAGTCTTGATAAAATGCCAGATGATACGGACTTTTTCCTGCATAAAAGTATGAAGGTAATCACTAGAGAATGAGAAAATTGAATAGGATTGTTCAAAACTAAGATGCAAAGTGAAGGTGGAGCTTGCAAGATATTTTCTTAGAGCTACCAAAATAACATTGCATATTTCCTTCCATTTTTAGTGGTAACTCAAAAATTAGCTTGAAATTTATCCTATTATAGGTAGTTTTTCATTAGAAAAAACCATTGTGTTAACTTCTGAAGTAATGTTAAATTACTTGAAATTGTCACATACAATACCTGCACTAGTAGATCCAATTCCTGTGGTCAGCACAGATCTTGGTGTAATCTTTGCTGCATATTTGAGGAACTGAGATTTCCCTGTGCCAGGATCCCCAACCAATAAAAGATGAGATTCTCCTAGGAAAAAGCAAATACATGAAGTTTTAAATTTCTATAAAAGGGTCCATTTGGAATGCCAACAAAATATTACATAGTGTTTTTACTGTGTACTTTTACATAGGGTCGTTTGAGAAAGGATTTAACTAGAAAATCTTCAGAAAGTTAACTGTCATAAACAGTCCTTAATTGATTACTCAATGTGACATAGAATCTAAATTCTATTAATAAATTATGTGCTATTTCCAGATGTTCAGGCCTATGTTTAACATTTTAAAAAATATCTGGGGCCAGGTGCGGTGGCTCACACTTGTAATCCCAGCATTTGGGAGGCCAAGGCAGGAGGGTCACTTGAGCCCGGAAATGTGAGACCAGCCTGGGCAAGACTCCATGTCTACAAAAACAAACAAAAAATTTTTGGCTTATAAAGTTTCTGATTTACTCTATTTTTAAATATCAAACTACTATGATTAAATCCTTGCATACAAGTCATATAAGTATTTTATTCTATTTTTATTTAAGCACTTAGAAGTATTAGGGATTTTACAAGTACTTTACAAATATCAAATTATGATTCTAACAGTTAAGTGAAGACCTTTTCATTTATGAAAATTTTAGTAACTTAGTGAAATATGTATCTTAAAATAAGTACTCATTTTGCAAATGTAACATAAATAACGTGCATATCCTATGGTACATATGATTTCACTGACCAAGTTTCTTCAGCAATTCTCAAGTGTTTCCTAAATACATTAATAGGAAACCCCTATTTAAGCTCAACATTTGGCAGAGTGCCTTGCAAAACAGTAGGTGATCAAAACATATAAGGACGCCTTATACTTACTATTCTATACTGTACTATATGGTTTTCGAGTCCCTACTAACAGCCTGATTTATAACAATGCCCTTTTAGTCTTTTGGTTTAATTTTTGGTTATTATGGCCCACGTACAGGGCCGTAATAACCCGTATGCCAGACTCTGGTTAAGTGTGTTAGCTGCAAAAGAGCTTTCTGCCATCTGGACATAATTATACACTTAAGAGTAATCTTTTCTTGAAGGTGTGACCTGCAGCAGCACCCCATGGCAGATGGCACATTTGCTATCTACCAGCAGAAGGAGAATCAGCAGGCAGATGACTGAAAGCAGCAGTCTAAGAGAAACACAGTGACAGCCACAGATGGAGAGACGCTGACTGGAGACATTAAAATACACTATTTCTAATCTTTTTCCTTTTGAAAACAGACCGGGGATCCAACAAAAAACACAGTAATAGAAACAAAGATTTTATTTTGTGGCATCCTTATAGGCTATAGCAAAAGTATATGCCATAGAAAAATGTAACTTCTTTCAGTCTTTCTGGAACTCTAGAAAGTAGCTTCTGATATACAGATGCTAGACTAAGTATAAGATATTCAGACAACTGTCAGTTTTATAAGATTACAATTGGAAAATAAAACCCAACGAGCAGTTTTTATTTGGGAAAGAAAAAGTTCTAGCTTCCATCCATGTGTCAATATTACTCAAAATTTCTAAATAGGTACTAACCTCTGACCCGTGTTCCTGTAGCATCAGTCCTTTGAATCCCACCAGCCAGCACCATGGCCACAGCAAGCTTTACTAGATACATTCCAAACACTTGAGGGCACAAGCTAGCCAATATTACATTCCTTCCTAGGAAAAGCAGAAAGATCAGAAATCAGCAATAATTTTCAAGAAACCCCAACTGAAATTTCCCTTCCTTTCCTATCTGACCATCCTCATTTAAATATACTCTACTATGTGAAGTGATCAGGAGGTCCAATTCCAAATGACCAACAGGATTAAAGGAGGAAATAACTTTGTTTTGGTTCAAAATGTCCTGTTTTTTTGAGACAGGGTCTCACTCTGTCACCTAGGCTGGAGTGCAGTGGCGTGATCATAGCTCATTGCAGCCTCAAACTCCTGGGCTCAAGCAATCCTTCTGCCTCAGCCTCCTGAGTAGTTGGGACAGCAGGTGTGCAGCACCACGCCCAGCTAATGTTTTTTTTCTTTTTTGGAGCAACGTGGTCTCACTATGTTGCCCAGGCTGGTCTCACTCCTGGGCTCAAGCAATCCTTTCATATCAGCCTCCCAAAGTGCTGGGATTACCACCCAGCACTCATGAGTGGTATGAGCCACCGTATGTACTTTCTATGTGACAATTTCAGTAAAATTACTCCACTGCCTAAATAAAAGGAAGGTATTCAATCTCAGAAATAATGAGTCAGATCATACAAGTCAGTAATCTTTAAATACAGAGGTAGCTGGAGCTCATGAAGCTGCTCCAAAGGTATAAGAAATAAGTAAAAAATCCACCCTCCAAGTCAATTCAGCATTTGCTCTGAGCAGTCTGGTAAATTCTGTTTTCTCTGGAACAAAGTTACAGGGGCATCAAGGCATTAAGAAGATCACTGCACACCACAACCCTAGCAGTGTAAGTATGAGATCTCGAATTCTTCTGATCATGTGCTTTAAATAAAAGAACATCACTGTTTGGGGTTCTGTTTTCAGAAATAACGCACCAAATCTGAGAATCTGCCTATCTCTTCCATGAATAAAGCAGGTATTTCATTCAGTCATTGGCCTAACCAACCTATGGAATTCCAACAAGCCATTCCTGAGCCTTTCCACGACTTATGGCCCTATACACAAAGGCTACTTTTTGTAATGAATCAACATTGATTCAGTGGCAACTAATCTATGATGATGTGGCCTGCGATGGCAGAAATGGTGAAGAAAGAAAATCTTTTAGTAAAAAAGGAACCAGAAGATTTAGTAAATCCAGGAAGTTCATTACTTGCTGAAGGAATCCCTCCCTGTTTGGAGTTAGAAAGCCTGGAGAAAAGGTCAGGAATCCAAGCAGATAAGACTTGACAGCAGGTAGGTAAATTGTGACCAGAATCTAGTGATTACATGTGGAAGGAAAGAAGAAACAGCCCCAACAAACAGGTTCAAGAGTAGGCAAATTGATCTGGGAATTACATAAGCCAAAACTTAGAGCCAATTTTACTGAGTAACATGCTGATGGGAAGCATATCCCTGTGGTAAGAGGACAGGCTCTGGTGTCATGTTTGGATTCAAATCCCAGTGCTATTAATTACCAACTGTCTGACCTTAGGCAAGTTTCTTAACCTCTGCCTCCATTTCTTGTCTGCAAAATGGAGATTATAATGGTATCAAGACAGAATTGTTGAGAATCAAGGGAGTTAGTAAGTATACAACACATTAAATAATAACTGGCATATAGTGGGAACTACTTAACTGTAACTGTTAGCTATTTTATTACCTGTATTATTTGTGCATCTTTCTGATCTAAAGATTTCCTCACACTGTGGTCAACACAAAAGACTACAAAGGTAGGACTGGGGTCCCAGAGAGAAGCAAAAAGGAAGGGCCAAATGTGTTGTCTAAGTTGAAAAGCTTGATTCCTTAGATCATGGCAGCAGAAGATCTCATGGCTATATCATGGAAGAAAATGCATTAGCACCAGTACTACCCCCATCCTCACCTCCCTCCCAAATTTCTAGTTCTAGACCATGTCAATAGTGTGGCAAAGGCCTAGTTATCTACTCTTGTGTGGCCCTCAGTTATCTCAATGAAGAGAACTTAGTAGGCCCTTAGTAATCTCAGAATTAAGATAAGTCAGTGACCCCCAAAGAGGGTTCAGATGGCCCAAAACACTCCAACCCTTACATCTGGGTTTCTAACATCTAAGCACCAGGGTCAAGGAATCCCTCAGGTGACAGCAGATCAGAATAAGGCCCCTAGGTTCATCCTAGCCAGTACCCACAGGATCAGGTCTTAAGCAAGTCAACCTCCAAGTGCTGATCAGTGAAGCATTCTCCAGCTTTAGACCAGCAAAATGAAGATGTTCTGTTGGATACAGCTTCCCAACTTCACCTCTCCTCCCTCCAACACACTCACCAACACTCTGAAATGGAGGAATACCAGTACACTGGTGCTGGTCCATAGGAAACTGAGAATCCATTCATACTAACAAGAGAAACACTGCCTTATTTTCTTGCTATCTTCCTACTTATATTTCTCACAAGACTATTATATTTACTTCTGCCTTTTATCCAATAAATGGCTCATGCAACAGTAGCCTAATTAAAACAAGACAGATTCTTTAATTGCCAGCACAAAGCACGTCTGAAGATCTAGTTAGAGTACCATATGATGGCCTTCCCTTCATTGTTAAGAGGTAGAACTGAGCTGTGACACTGTAATAAATAAATAAATAACAGTGGTCCAAGGAAGAGTTACAAATTTTTATAAGGATAGAATCCTAAGAAACCATTTTCAGGCTGTTCAGGCTGGGCACAGTGTAATCTCAGCACTTTGGGAGACGGAAGTGTGAGGATCGCTTGAGCCTAGGAGTTCAAGACCAGCCTGGGAAACATAGCATAGTGAGAACCCTGTCTACTTTAAAAAAAAAAAAAGAAACCATTTTAATTTTAAAAATCATTTAAAAATGTATGATTCTTAAAGTGCCTGCTTCATAAATCTATAATGTAGAGAACTTTTGCTTCTTTCAATACAGATCAGAAAAAAGAAAGATCAGGAACTACTAATGTGCTATACATTTACACACACACACAAAAAAAAAAGAAAAAAGAAAAAATCCCATAAAATAAAACTATCCCTATTTAGGGAAATGGAAGCATTATTATTATTATTATTATTATTATTATTATTATTATTATTATGAGACAGAGTCTCACTCTGTCGCCCAGGCTGGTCTGCAGTGGCGCGATCTTGGCTCATTGCAACCTCTGCCTCCCGGGCTCAAGTGATTCTCCTGTCTCACCCTCACAAGTTGCTGGGACTACAGGTGCACGCCACCACACCTGGCTAATTTTTGTATTTTTAATAGAGACAACGCCACCACACCTGGCTAATTTTTGTATTTTTAATAGAGACAGGGTTTCACCATGTTGGCCAGGCTGGTTTCAAACTCCTGACCTCAAGTGACCCACCCACCTTGGCCTCTCCAAGTGCTGGGATTACAGGCGTGAGCCACCATGCCCAGCTAGAAGCCTTATTTTTTAAAATAATATCTATCTAATTTAGCATGTGATTTAAGAATAAAGTAATCAATATCTCTTAGATTTGAGGGGAGTGTTATTAGAAACGTCTATTACTGGCTTCAGTTTATTTTTCTCAAAAGATGTCTCCATGGAGAAATGAAAACAGGCACTTGAAGATTTAATTGGTGCTTTACACACTTGAGATTTTTTAATAAAATACACTACAAACCCAATGGCTGTGATGTTTTATTCTATGTAATTACACCTGAATGTCACAGTCAAAATTTTTGCTTGTGATGACAAAGCTTATCGTCTGCATCTTCTCTCATCTTTTTCCTAGTTATTCCCTGTTTTAAAATCTTCAGCCAAAATAGTGTAGAGTTAGATCTTTATTATTGAAAATACATCAAAGAAAAACAATGGCTTTAATAGGATGAGGGTTCATAAAAGGATGAGTTTTGCCTTTTTAAAGAACTATATTTTTAATTGATATGATAGGAAACTCTGAAATTGTTTTGGCAGTGTATAAGGTGTTTAAAATAATAGTTAGAAATGAAATATCTCCAGGCAGGTTGCTAAATAGAAGAGTATGGCAGAAAAAGGCTTCAAAGGGAGACTATAGCTAGAGGTAATGACTAATCCTACCCTTTAAACTCAGTCATTGAGTTATGCGGCATATAAGACTGTCAAATCACAGACATCATATTTAACCACTGAATGTAATACCATTAATAATAATCAGTTTTAGCCCTTAAACACAAACCTGCAAAGGGATCGCTCTTATAGTATTCCCAAAAATCTTCGAATTCCTTTTGGACCTCCTCATCCATGATGATCCCTGAGGACTGCTCATTATTTACTTGGATGTAATTTGCTTTCAGGACTATCTCCACTTCACAGCGCACATCTTGCTGAAAGGGCTTCCACCGTTGCATTACAATCCCGTAAATAGTGAGGTCATCACCTAGGAAAAAGCATCAAGTGAGTCCAGCAGTAGCATCCTGCATGCTGAGCACAGACTCAAAATGACAAAGGACCAGAAATTAGAAATAAACCACTCCCTTACTAGAGTTTACAATATGTACACTCATCCAGAAAACAATTCAGGGGCAGAATAGCACCCCAGATTCTTGACTGTTGTCCCCCACAGTCATGTATCTGTAAAGTGAAAAGCTGAAGTCAGTATTTCCTATTTTTCATAACCTGCTACATGATAATCCTACAAAATTATTACTTTTCACTGGGAAAATAGTTTACTGGATGATTCATTCATCACAGTTACATTGGATGAAATGTTCATCCTCTGAGTCTCTAACCATTTAGCTCTCATTTAGAGAAGAGATGTGGGAACTGCAGCCAGAAGGTTAAACTATAATTTGGAGTCAGGAAAAGAGATAACCTTGTGATGACTGGCAGGTAGTTTGGGTTTCTTACATGTTCATTTTTACTTAACTCATTTGCTAATATTTTACTCACTGCCCCCCCACATCTTTTTTAGTGAACCAAAGAAACAATGAACTAAGAAATGAATAAATGCCTGTTATGCTTCAAAGTTCCTTCCCACAAAATATAAAAGCACAAGATACAATCCTGCTTGTTCCTTGCTGATGGTTCTCTCCTACCTGAGGAAACCCTCCCACCATTCCTGGTAGGCAGAAGCAACTTTTATAGATTTTCCTAAGAGGCCCTGGGTAGTTTATAGGCACACTCGCCAAACACTGCCATCTGTACTTGTTACGACATACAATGCAATGCATCAGTTAACAAGTATATACAAATGTTTGGCCTTCCATATTTTGGTACTGGAGAAAGTGGGCCAAAAACAAACATGAAAAAAATCATAATCCTGGTCCCCCCAAATTTTAATCTTGTTGAACACAGGGTGTTGGATGTGCCCCAACCCCAATTCTGGTATTTATATTTTGCATAATAAACACTGTCTCAGAACTAACAGGCAATTCTTCATTTCCAAGCCTTTGTGCCAATTATATGATATGTGCTGATGAAAAATGCCTTTCACTCTCTAAATTTCAATGAGTAATCTGCATAGCTTTTGATTTCCTAAAGGAAAATGCTAAATTCATGGAACTGGTGGTGCCAATCCACAGAATAGAAGGCACATTTCTAGTTTAAGGCAACTTCATACTACATAGTTACAAACACATTAAGTAAGTGCTTTACAAGTTTCCAAGATCTTTCCTAAGCCACTACTTAATGATTTTCAAACCCAATCAGGAATGATGATCATTTACTATATTGTCTGACCCCAAATTTCTAGGTAAAAATGATTGGGGGCAACTTTACATAAGGACATGGAACAATTCTCTATTATGGTCATTTTAATGGATTATGTTTAGGTTGTTTCTAAACTAGTTAAATGAGGAACTTAATGTTTAGATATATGACCCGTAAGTAATAATCTAATGTCAATAAGCAGTGATTATGTGGAAAATACAGAGCACTGAAGCATGGCCAAGAGTACTGACCTCATCAGATTTGGATTTAAATCCCAGCTCCACTGCCCATAGGCTACGTGACCTTGGGCAAATTACCTACCTTTCCTAAGCCTGTTTCTTGAACTACAAAATGTGAATGATTATATTTACATCACAGTACTATAATGAGAATTAGATCGGATAATGTACGTAAATTACTTAATGCAGTATCTAGAAGACGGCAAGTGCTCAGTAAATATTAGCTCTTCTTATACTAAACCTACCTTACATTTGTAAAGTAATTAATACCTTTAAAAGCCCTTCAATATATACGTGTTTTCTTTACTCAAATAATTACTGAATGGCAGATTCATATAATCACCAGAACAATTGTGAGGTATACATGATAGTCCAAGACAACAGATATTCACCTTAAACTTCTGTATTTTTCAAAACTAATGTTATAAGCAATGTTATTTTCAGGAAGCTAAAATTCTTACTTTTCTACAATCCAGTCTCTCTGTGCCCCTATATCATCTGCGGCATCTTTACTACTGTAGCCATTGCCAGTCAGACCCATCTCTCGGATCTCCTGTGGCACTGACATTTACCAGCACACACCCTCCAACTTCATTACTCTGCATGTGCCAAAGTGGGGTTCCTAACTAGATCGTAAATTCCTGAAGGGCAAGGATTATATACTATTTGTCTTTTGATTCCCACAGAGGTTTATAGCTAATGATACATGAAAAAATAGCTGTTGATAGATTGCTTCTATCCATCCTTCATTATTAATGACATTTGAAAGAAAAACAACTTAAGACTTATTTCCAGTACAGAAAGAATTCAGTTTAGATGAACTGCATGAAAAGATCTTATTCTCAATTGATGGATATTTTCATGTTCAGGCTGAGCTTATATAAGAACTGCATTGCTGAGACAGATATTACAGATTTAGGTTAAAATCTAGTCCTATATGAGCAAGGTATTTTGACATATTCTGGGGTTGCTTAGCAGGCAATCCATAATCAAAGCTGTTATCTCATTAGTATACTATTTACACAACTGTACGTTAATATACGTCGGCTATCTGAAACCTAGAAGAGGTCCCTCACCAGAATCCGAAGACACTGGCATCCTGATCTCCAACCTCCAGCCTCCAAAACTGTGAGAAATAAATATTTGTTGTTGAACCCACCTAGTCTATGGTGATTTGTTAGAGCAGCCTGATATAGTTTGGATAATTGTCCCCATTCAAATCTCATGTTGAGATATAATCCCTAGTATTGGAGGAGATGCCTGGTAGGAGGTGTCTGGATCATGCAGGTGGATCCCTCATGAATGGCTTGGGCCACCCTTTTGGTGATAAAGGAGCTCTCACTCTGAGTTTGAATGAGCTCTGTTCATTTAAATGTGTGTGGCACCTCCTCCCTCCCCACTCTTGCTCCTGCTTTTACCATGTCATGTGCCTGCTCCCCCTCTCCCTTCTGCCATGATTGTAAACTTCCTGATGCCTCAGAAGAAGCTGAGCCTATGTCTGCACCATGCTTCCTGTACAGCCTGTGGAACTGTGAGCCAATTAAACCTCTTTTCTTTATAAATTGCCCCGTCCCAGGTATTTCTTTATAGCAACGCAAGAATGGACTAACAGCCCAAAATGACTAAAACATCACCCTTCCACAAATACTTTTAAGTTTGATTTCTTCTTAGTCTCCCCAGTGAGGAGAGGGAACATGATGAGTTGACAGGGACAAAGGAGAACTCAGGACCAGTCTGGTTAGCCTAAAGAGTAAAGCATAAGCTCAGAATGACACTGGAACAATCAGGCTTTCGGAACTCTCAGATTTCCAGAACAGTTCTGAGGCTCAGAAAGTCTTTAAATTGCCTGGAACATTGCAGATTATTATCCAGATCAACTGCCACTGTAGGGCCTAAATCCCTAACAATGTACTGTATATGCTGTGCTTGATTGTCTATGAGAAAAAGAACTCATCACCATCTAAGGCCCATGTTAGACACCTCTAATTATTAGGTATTGAGTCAAAATCTACCTCCTTGTGGCTTACCCCACTGAAACCCAACAGCAACTTCTGTAATTACAATTCTATTTCTATGTGACAGTCTTCTAACTATTGAAAGTTGGCTGTCATGTCCTTCCTCAGGGTTCTCCATGCTAACCATGTATAGTTCTTCATTGAGTATGGGTTTCAAGTACCCTCCCAATTCAGGTATCGGCCAATGAAAACATTGAGGACCCTCAGAAGACAGCAGACTACAATCAGTGACTCCAATCACGGTGTCACCAGCACAGAGCAGAGAGGAATGATGTCCTTTCTTCTAGGCACCAATAAGACACGCAGCAGCATTTAACAGAGTCACATTCTCTAATTCATTTTATAAAAATACCCATTAAATTCACTACATTTTTTAAAGTTCCTGCTGTTAAGCTATAGTGCACTGAAAAGAGCCTTAAATTAGACATCAGTGGTTCTGGATTCATGTTCCAGTTATGCCACTTAACTCTCTAAGTGACCTTAGACAAGTCAGGTTCTTCATTCATAAAACAAGCACCTGGACTAGCTGCTGTTGTATAGATCTAGCCCAGCTCTCTTCCTGCTATCACTTCCCACCTGCCAGTTTCTAATCTCAAGGTGAGCAATTACAGCTCTACATTTCCCTTGCCAGTGATCTTGGGAAAATAAAAAGTGGCTTTTCCTAATCAATACTTTAGGACTACCTACACAAGCTAAAAAAAAATTCCCCTCTTCTTACCAGATTTGCAACTATCCACTAAGTCATCTTCCAGAATAACCTTCATAGATCGTGGAATACTTCCAACAGATAGCCTTTGAACCTAGCAAAGAAAAGAAAACAGATTCTGAGTATGCTTAAATACATGTTAAGTATCCAGAAGTCTAGCAGTACTTGAAATTACTATTTTTATTTCTCTGGTATATCATACGATTTAATTATAATGGGGATTTAAGTAATTTTTCTTGAAAACTATGTCTACTATCAATTTAAGAATTCACTAAATAAAATACACATATGGAAAATATCTCCAAATATGATCTATATAATCTACCTTGCGGGTGGTCAAAGTAAACGTATGCTCCAACTACTAAATTTAATAACAAAGTTAACTTTATCTAGAAAAGAGGGGTATTTCTTTCCTGATCGCTAATCAAAAGACCTGGGACAAATCACCCAGTCCCTATGATTACTCCTTAGTAACAGAACCCTAGTTTTATTCCATGTGGACATGCGCCTAATACAAAGACTGTATTTCCCAGGCTCCCTTGAACATTGAACATAGGTATGGTCATATGATAGAACTCTGACCAATGAGATATCATAAGCAGACAATGCAAGAGACTTCTTAAGTGGAGAATTGGTTAGGTGGTAGGCACTTTTGCCTATTGTTCTCTGACTACAACACACATGTGATGGAGTTGTAGCCAGCATCCTGGCCCACAGCCAATCATCAGAAGAGAAGCCATGTATTAAGAATGGTTGAGGCCGGGTGTGGTGGCTCACATCTGTAATCCCAGCACTTTGGGAGGCCGAGGTGGGTGGATCACCTGAGGTTAGAGGGTTTGAGACCAGTCTGACCAACATCGTGAAACCCTGTCTCTACTAAAAATACAGAATTAGCCAGGCGAGGTGGCACACGCCCGTAATCCCAGCTACTCGGGAGGCTAAGACAGGAGAAATGCTTGAACCCAGGAGGTAGAGGTTACAGTGAGTCAAGATCACACCATTGCACTCCAGCCTGGGCAACAGTGAAACTCCATCTCAAAAAAAAAAAAAAAAAAAAAAAGCAAAGAAAAGAATGGTTGAATAGAAAGACAGGAGTCTGAGTTCTCAACAGTGAACTAGCCTTGAACTGCCTATCTCTTAATTATTTTAGGTAAGAATAAACCTTTGTGTTTAAGCTGCGAGCAAATGAAAATCAGGCTCACTCTTACTTGTTAAAGAGTGTTTACAAATACTTCATTTAGCACAGCAAATAAGAGTGGGTCCAAACTCCATATCTTGTTCACTCCAATGTGATTTTTTTTTTTTTTCAGAGACAGGGTCTCGCTCTGTCAACCAGGCTAGAATGCAGATGCATGATCCATAGCTCACTGCCACCCAGAACTCCTTGGTTCAAGTGATCTTCCTGCCTCAGCTTCCTGAGTAGCTGCGATTATAAGCACAAGCCACCATGCCTGGCCACTCCAATGTTTAACCATTTAAGCATTAATTAATCTTCTATCCCTTAGCTAAGAACATTAATTTTCTTCTATTCTTCAGTTAAGAACAGCTAGGGTGGACTTCTTAAATATTCACTTCTTTAATTTTAATATAATTAAGTCATTTCACTACTTTCTTGTCAATGTTCCACCTAAAAAGGATGATTGCATGGTTTCTAAAGACTATATTCAGATATATGTGGAACAGTTTCGAGCTTGATCTTCCACAAAGTGACAACACAAGTACATTTGTATCCATTCTGTGTTCCCTAATCCTCCCAATGTGCCCATAGCTGAAAAACACTTCTTCAAATTTATTTATCTCGTTTATGTGATTATTTACCTGTTCCTGAATTTTGATTTCCTGGTAATCTCTACACCTGGTTGGAGACGAAGACAAGCCTGAGAGGCAAGTGAATTTAGAGGAATCACAGCTCTCCAAGCTGGGACACGAGGATGGCCGGCAAAAGGTGTAATACTGCTCAAAGTCAGCCTTGATCACAAACACATGCTTGCATTTGTTACACATGTAATCCCGCTCAAACTCCAGAACCTTCACCAGACTTGTTCGAATCACTGTCCCAGTGACAGATAAAAAGTGTCCCACATCCTTGGTTTTAGGTATGTGTTCCCTCACCAGCTCAGGACAGACAGGCAAACCTGATGGAGAAAACAAAAAAACAGCATCAACTTCAATCTTGAGATTTGACTCCAAGGGATATATTCTTCTCCTATTTCCTGAAAGATAAATTTTAATTTCAGGGGGAAAAAAAAGATTGTGTTTTACTAAGAAAAAATCAGATCATCAACTCTATTAAGAAAATATAAAGAATTATTGCAAATAACAGTTATCAGTAGAGTTTTTTTTTAATCCAGATACTGCACAATGAGTAGACCATGTTTTAAAGCAAATAGCTAGAAGTTATAATAACCAGGATTTTAAAAAGGACTTATTCTCACAAGAGGGCTATCTCAGTAGGATCTAAAGTATATAATTTTAACGGCATTTAACAAAAAATATATTGCCACTTGCCACAGATAAAATCAACTGATGATTATTTTAGTAAATCACGCAGCAGACCGATAAAGAGATGGTAGCATGACGACCACAGAGTTCCACAGCGCTAGAAAGTTACTTTTTCAGTCAGACTCAGAATTTATTAATACATAAATATGACAGTGTTTTTGAGCCCTGACTTACCTAGCGGTTTACCCGCAGCATCACCTTATCCTATAAAAGCCTTGTGTTTTTCAACATTAAAAAACAGGCAACAGAAAAGGTGCAAAATGCCAAAGAAAATTCTTACTCAGGCTGGGCACCGTGGCTCACACTTGGGAAGCCAAGGTAGGAGAACCGCTGGGGCCCAGGAGTTCAAGACTAGCCTGGGCAACATAGTGGGACCCCATCCCTATAAAAAATTAAAAAATCAGCTGGGCATGGTGGTGCATGCCTATAGCCCCAGCAACTCGGTAGGGCTGAAGTGGGAGGATCTCTTGAGCCCAGGGGGTCAAGGCTACAGTAACCATGGTCACTCCACTGAACTCCAGTTTGGGGAACAGAGGAAGACCCTGTCCAAAAAAAAAGAAAGACAGGGAGGGAGGAAGGAAGGAGGGAAGGAGAAAGAGAAAAAGAGGGGGAAAAGGGGAGAGGAGGGGAGGAGGAAAATCTTATGTGGAAATTCCCTTTTTCTCATGTTTGGCTACAATGCACCATTGGGGTGGAAAGATGCTGGCTATAAAGGCTAATTCCTAACAGGTTTATTGAAATAGCAACTGTTATGCCGGTTCATGTCTCCTGTCTTGTCCTCAGTATTTAGCGGTTCAAAAACCAGGTAGGTACGCCTACTGAAGGCCCATCCATCAGATTGTCCAGCCCATGAGAAATGCCATAATAGGAATCATTATACCTTAAGTTTCTATGGTCAGCATATTTTCTCCTAGTTGATACATCTATTCTGAAAGCCAATCAGAAGGTAGTTTAGGAAGTATGAGGGGAAAAAGCAAATTAGAGTAACTGAATGTTTAAGGTGCCAGGCTATGTTAACCTACTGTTACAGGTTACAAGTCTACAGATAGACTTGAATTTTCTCTGTTGGTTGGCTGAAATTCTCTCTCCATACACTGTAGAGTGTATAGACAAACAAGGTGGCCATTGCCAACATTTGCCCCTATGACTCTTTTTTCTATGCTTCTAAGACTGACTTGCCCATTTTCTAATGAACATATTCATTATTTACATTAATTCAGATTGCATCACATTTTGCCATTAAGGGAGACACACTTTTCGTTCATATCCTAGAATGTTAAAAAACAAGAAACAGCCCAGAAATCTCTCTCTCTTGTTTACCTGGCCTTAACTGGAATATATATTGTAATACATCTTAACACTGCTTGTAGATTCTCAGTTACATTTATTTTGCTCCCTACATGAATACTTTAAAAAAAATATGAATACTTAAAAAAAAGCAAGATATAATTCACATGCCATAAAATTTACCCTATAAAGTAGACAATTCAGTGGTAATTAGTATATTCACAATATTGTATAACCATCACCACTAATTCCAGAATATTTTCATAATTTCAAAAAGAAACCCTGTACCCAGTAGCAGTCACTCCCCATTCTTCCATAACCCTAGCTGCTGGCAACCATTGATCTACTTTTGGTCTTCATGAATTTACCTATTCTGGAAATTTCACACGTAGATGCTCCGTGACTTACAATGGGGCTACATCTCAATAAACCCATCGTAAATTGAAAATGTTGTAAGTTGAAAGTGCATTTAGTACACCTAACCCACTGAACATCATAGCTTAGCCTACCTAGCCTACCTTGAACATACTCAGAATACTAACATTAGCCTACAGTTGGGCAAAATAATCTAACACAAGGCCTATTTTATAATTAAGTGTTGACTATTTCATGTTATTTATTGAATACTACACTAAAAGTGACAAACAGAATAATTTATGGGTGCTCAAAGTATAATTTCTACTGAATCACTTTCGCATACTCATAAAGTCAAAAAATGTAAGTCAGGGATATCTGAACAAAATCATACAATATGTGGTCTTTTGAATCTGGCTTTATTTACTTAGAATAATGTTTTCAAGATTCATTCCTGTTGTAACATATACAGTACTTCACTCTTTTTATGACTAAATAATATTCCACTGTTTAGATATACCGTATTTTGTTTATTCATTTATTAGTTGATGGACATTTAGGTTGTTTCCACTTTTTGGCTATTATGAATAATGCAACTACAAACATTTGTATGCAAATTCTTGTTTGAACAGTTTTCGATTATCTTGGGCATACAGCTAAGGAGTAGAACTGCTGGGTCACATGGTTATTAAAATAATTTTTTTAAATAATTTTATTTTTATGTTTGCAAACAGTCACTAAGTACTCTCTATTGTACATATACAGAAGGATACTCGAGTGGGAAATATGATAATTAACCCAATTTGCTTCTCGAAATATAAACAGAATGTACCAACAATTACTTCTACGAAGGAAGGTAAAAAGGAGAATAGAAAAAAAATAGGTAAAGAAAATTTGCTTTAACAAAAATTCTTTGGGTTTCTGAAATATTCATTCTCTCTTCCTTGGCCCTAAAGAAATATCACTTTTGCCTCCCATTTCTAGTCCCCTCATCTCAGTTCTGCTTCAGATGCAAATTGATTGTTCAGTTTAAATTATATAGTCAGTATATTAAAACAAGAAAAACTAAGATCAGGAGAACCACATTACAGAAAATGTGGTGTTACTCTGACGTTATGCATGATTGAAGAATGCCCAATGAGATTACAGACTGCCTAGCATAATTTAGAAAAGTCTTTGGATTTTTGGCTGGACGTGGTGGCTCATGCCTGTAATCCCAGCACTTTGGGAGGCCGAGGCAGGTGGATCACCTGAGGTTGGGAGTTTGAGACCAGCCTGACCAACATGGAGAAACCCCATCTCTACTAAAAATACAAATAATTAGCCAGGTGTGGTGGTGCATGCCTGTAATCCCAGCTACTCGGGAGGGTGAGGCAAGAGAATCGCTTGAACCTGGGAGGCGGAGGTTGCAGTGAGCCGAGATCGTGCCACTGTACTCCAGACTGGGCAACAAGAGCAAAACTCTTGTCTCAAAAAAAAAAAAGCAAGAAAAGAAAGAGAAGTCTTTAGATTTTCAATGTGATGAAGTGATGTATCAATGAAGTCTTACATAATATAAACTGTATAGACAGACACTTGTTATTTTTGGCTTAAAAACAAATTCTGGTTTAACAACAAAGCTGTGTAATTTAATTGTAGTTTTATTCCTAGAAAGCTATCTTTAATTTGATAGTGTTTCTTACTGTAAATAGCATCTTAGAATGGAAGAATAAAACACTATATGCCCCATTGCTTCTAGAGTAACCTGAGCAATACATAATGAAGGCCAAATCTCCTTTGCTTTTACCCTTCCATGGCTTGCCACAGATCTAAGAATAAGGTACCAAATCTGGACTGGACTATAGGGCCTTTTGTGACTGGCTTCCTGTTCTATCAAGACTTCTGCGCACTTTTTCACATACAGTGCTCCCTTTGTCTCAGTGCTCTCCTCTTCACTCTGCTCCTCAAAAATGCCCACACTAAGAAGCAATGCAGTGGTTAAGAATACAGACTCAGGCCAGGCATGGTGGCTCATGCTTGTAATCCCAGAACTGGGGAGGCTGAGGTGGGCGGATCACCTGAGGTCAAGAGTTCGAAACCAGGCTGGCCAACATCGTGAAACCCTGTCTCTACTAAAAATACAAAAATTAGCCGGGTGTGGTGGCACACGCCTGTAATCCCAGCTACTCGGGAGGCTGAGGCAGGAGAATCGCTTGAACCTGGGAGGCAGAGGTTGCAGTGAACCGAGATTGCACCTGTGCACTCCGGCTTGGGAAACAGAGTGAGACTCCATCTCAAAAAAACAAAGAATACAGACTCAAGCTAGAATGCTTAGGTTTGAGTCACAACTCTGTCACTTACTAGCTGTGTGACTTTGGCTAAGTTGTAACCTCTCAGATTTCTCATCTATAAAATAACAACAGAACCTATCACACAGGGTAATAAGAAAACTAGAAGAATTCATAGCTTATACCTGTAATCCCAGTACTTTGGGAGGCTGAAGCAGAAGGATCACTTGAGGCTAGGAGTTCAAGACCAGCCTGAGCAACACAGAGACCCCACCTCTACAAAAAAAAAAAAAAATTTAAATAGCTGAGTGTGGTGGCACATGCCTGTAGTCCCAGCTACCCAGGAGGCTGAGGTGGGAGGATCGCTTGAGCCCAGAAGTTAGAGACTGCAGTGAGCTATGATTGTTGTGCAACTGCATTCCAGCCTGGGCAACAGAGTGAGACCCTGTCTCAAAAAAAAAAAAAGAATTCATACATGTAAAGTTTCTGAAAATATTACTCGGCATACAGCAAGCGCTATTTAAACATTAATTCTGGCCGGGCACCATGGCTCATGCCTGCAATCCCAGCACTTTGGGAGGCCAAGGTGGGCAGATCACCTGAGGCCAGGAGTTCAAGACCAGCCTGAGCAACATGGCAAAACTCTGTCTCTACCAAAAATACAAAAATTAGCTGGGCATGGTGGCACATGCCTGTAATCCCAGCTACTTGGGAGGCTGAGGCAGGAGGATTGCTTGAACCCAGGAGGCAGAGGTTGCAGTGAGACAAGATTGCATCACTGGACTCCAGCCTGGACAACAGAGCAAGACTCTGTCTCAAAAACAAAAACAACATACCTTGAGTGAGGCATGCATCACACATAAAAGTTTCCATTAAGCTCCCATACAATAATGCTTAATATATACATACACATGTATCTGTAGGCATGCATACACCATCTGGTAAATATTTGACTATATAGCTGTCTGCCATACAGCCCTGAGTTTTTTAAAGGAGGGAAAAACTATATTCTTTTTGGTTTCCCAAGATCCTAGCAAATGCCTACTGATGTTTTGTTCAGTAGTAACATAATTTGTAACTTACTTTTTCAGAGAATTGAAAAAATAAGCTAAATTCACCTGAAACTGATAGGGTCACTTAGGCAGACAGGATTGTATTACTTAAACTCAGTATGGAAAGGTATCTGAAAATAATGGCAGCCTAAAACTATTTCCTAAATAGCATTTCGACAACATTAACTAAAGTCCCCCTTAATAATCCTTTTGCAAACTTATTAATAGGAAACATTGGCCAGACACGATGGCTCACATCTATAATCCCAACACTTTGGGAGGCCAGAGGAGGAGGATCACTTGAGCTTGGGAGTTTAATACCAGCCCGGGTAACAGAGTGAGACTCCATCTCTAATTTTTAAAAAAGGCTGATGGGGGGGACCCTTTTTCTTGATCCCATCAAGAGATTATCTAGTACCCTGATGCATAATGATTAATACTCTTCATAATTTATCCTAGCAAGTGTAACTGCAGACAATATTTTTCATTTAAATTAAGTATTTGGTCTTTTTGGGAATCTTAACTTGCCTCCAAGAAGTTCTACTATAGTGACTCCAAACCTTTTTGGAATTCAGGAAGCATTCTTATTGATTATAAATCACCACTCTTCTCAAATGTACTATAAGGTAAATATTTATTTATTTATTTATTTATTTTATTTTATTTTATTTTTTGAGACGGAGTCTCGCTCTGTTGCCCAGGCTGGAGTGCAATGGCGCGATCTCGGCTCACTGCAAGCTCCGCCTCCTGGGTTCACACCATTCTCCTGCCTCAGCCTTCTGAGTAGCTGGGACTACAGGCGCCCGCCACCATGCCCGGCTAATTTTTTTTGTATTTTTTGTAGAGACGGGGTTTCACCGTGTTAGCCAGGATGGTCTCGATTTCCTGACCTTGCGATCTGCCCGCCTTGGCCTCCCAAAGTGCTGGGATTACAGGCGTGAGCCACCGCGCCCGGCTGCTAAATATTTATTTTTAAACAAAAGGGTATGTATGTTCTCCAACTTAATCACAGACTGCCCTCAATATTCTGGACCTGCTTTTAATTTTACCAAATCTTTCTTTCATGTAAATAGAATTAATTTGTACCAGCCTTTATTAATTTATACAATAATGGCATAGTTAAATTTTGTTTTAATTAGGGGGTTGACAGGGACTCTAGAAGTGGTTTGCAAGTGAAGAAACTGAGGCTCAGTGAGATAAAATAACTTACTAAGTCTCCCAGGTTAGGCGTGTAGCCTTTAAATCCAATTCTTCTCTTTCGCCACACTATGCCTTCCAAGAAATTACTTCCATGCAATGAACTAAATAAAAATTGTTACACTATAGTGTCACTTTTCCCTAAAATTCTTAAGTCAACTCTATCCATCCTACTAAAAAATCACTTTTAAAACAGAAAGTGAGGGGCAAGGACTCCTAGAGGCAGGAATTCAAGGATACAGCTTTGCCACCCCAAGCTGCTGATTGCTCCACTGCAGTTTCTTAACAATTAAGATGCTTTATCTGTCATGCATTCAACAAAAATGTATCGAGTAACTGGTAGGTAGACTGCACAATGCTAATACTGATCTTTAAAAATAACTAATGTCCTAAAATAGTTCTGAAGATCCCTGGACAAGATCTATCACTTTTCTAATTCTTTGTATTACCAGTTCCTTTATTGTTAGTAACCACAAAAGCTCATAAAGCTGTTTTGAATTACATTTTTAAACACAGACGTGGAAATATATAGACACACAAGTATACTGCTGTCTCCACACATTCTCCCTCCCCTCAGTGGGCAAGACTCATACTTCATGCCCACAGAACACAATTATTATTCTGCTCTAAAAGAAGTGACCATCAACTACACAACAGATATATATTTTAAGTATAAATATCAATTATTTCTTAGTGTTCTAAATCTAGTATATTTTCTCAAAATCTTTCTAGAAGATAGCATGGCAGTAAAATCCTTAAGTGATTTACCTGATATCCTGGCATGAAGATTCTGTTTCATGGAAACAGCCTCAGGCTGAGAAAGGGACTGGAGAATTGTCAAGGCTGACCTTCGCAGTGCACTATCAAAAATTGTAAGCACTTCACTGGGGAACATGTTGAAATATTCCCCGATTTCCATGTTGGTCTCAAACAGAGTCATGGCATTAACCACAACTGGGTAATGAGCATCTTCATCCCTTTCCTTCAAGATTAGAAGAATATCATTCTTATGGTATTCCGAAACATATGACTCAAACACTTGACCAACCAGTGTAACTTGATCGCTATTCATCTTGAATCTAGGTAACTAAAGAAAAAAAAAAGGATCATATTATATATTTGATACTCAAGATGTACACACAATTTAACAAAAACGATTGGTTATAAATCACACTGGCTTTGGGTCATACTATAATCACAAAATAATATCTGAATTCAAATCTTAATGAAATCTGAATTATCTGTTACAGTCACAGTACATGTACTTCAAAAATGAGTGAAGTCAAATGTAAGTCAAAGAACTATGTTGGTACTGATTATCAAAATCCAAAATAGTTCAAAGCATTTCCCATCTTTTCCCCAAATTTCCTTCATATTAACCCTGCATTAATATACAGGCATGCACCTAACAACATTTCCGGACTGCACTTATAATAGTGGTCTCATAAGATTACAATACTGTATCCTTATTGTATCTTTTCTATGCTTAGATACATAGATACCATTGTGTTACAACAACTGCGAACAGTATTCAGTACAATGATATGATGTACAGGTTTATAGCCTAAGAGCAACAGGCTATGCCATATAGCCTAGGTGTGTAGTAGGCTGTATCATCTAGGTTTGTGTAAATATACTCTATGATGTTCACACAAGGACAAAATCACCTAATGACAAATTTCTCAGACTGTATCCCCATCATTAAATGACATATAATGGTATTTATTTTACATAATATATGTAAGAGGCCACATTCCATACACACACATTTGCTCTCAAGTATAAAATCTGAAACATATCTTTTGGCTTAAGTCAGTAACAGTGGAGTTCTTTGCAAGAGTCCTGGTTCTAGCTTTTGTTTATATGAACACAGTGTCATTCTTTCGTGTGCTCTCTCTCTCTTTAGTTATACACACACACTCATGTGTATTCTGCTATGTAACTGAAACACATACCATTAATCAGACTGACAGCCAGTTCTGACATGAATAATTAACAGACTGTCCTTAGAAATTCATACTTGGAAGTGAATTTGTTTCCTTCTTTCTCTTTCTTACCGTAGGAAATCTACTGGGTTCTGCAGAAACAGCTGTCAACAATGCAAAGAAAACAGATAAACATAGGAAGGTGAAAAAACACTGAGTCTTCAAATAATAAAAAAGTATTATTGAAAATAAATACAGCATATACCATTACTTTATCTCATTCCCCTGGCACTCTATTAAAAAGTATGTATCTACAGATAAAAAGCACCTATCCCCATTCTAGTTTCATGTATACAGACGGATAACAAATTACATATGTATAAACCCAATTCAATGTCCATTTCCTAATATCTATCATGTACAAGGCACTATGCTGGCAAATGAAAAGTATAGTAAAAGGTTCTCTATGTCCTCAGAAATCCAAGGGGCAAATAAAACGAAACAGTGCACTACCAGTGGTCAAAAATGCAATATGAATAGGAGTCAAAGGAGAGGGAGGTTAAATTTAAATGAGGTGACGATCTCAGAAGTAGCACTGGACAGTTAGAAACCAGCTGTCCAAATAAGAAACACTTATTTGGGGCCGGGCGCAGTGGCTCACGCCTGTAATCCCAGCACTTTGGGAGGCCGAGGCAGGTGGATCACGAGGTCAGGAGATCGAGACCATCCTGGCTAACACGGTGAAATCCCGTTCTCTACTAAAAAAAAATACAAAAAAAATTAGCTGGGCGTGGTGGCAGGTGCCTGAAGTCCCAGCTACTCAGGAGGCTGAGGCAGGAGAATGGCGTGAACCCGGGAGGCGGAGCTTGCAGTGAGCCGAGACCACGCCACTGCACTCCAGCCCGGGCACAGAGCGAGACTCCGCCTCAAAAAAAAAAAAAAAGAGAGAAACACTTATTTCGTTTGGAAAGAGATTGAGGACTGGAGAAGAGGTGTACTTAAATTTGACTTACTTCATTTGTCCAACATTTATTGTACTGGACTCTACAAATACGAATATTAAAGGAGACTGCTATAAAGTTCACAGTTTATCATCCTAAGTACGTGTTATACACGCTATTTGCTATATTTTGCTTTCTCTGAGAACCTACTATTCCGCAAGGTGTGAAACGTTTAAGAAGTACATATAGCAGTTAGGTCAAGAATCCTGACCACTATAGGAGGCCAGAGTGAGAGTAAGAATGAGTAAATGTATATCCAAAACAATGAGTGGAAATAAATTACGGCCTCCACGGTAATTTGTTTTTGGTTAAGCAATATAAATTCAGCCAAGTGTAAAGCAGAAAAAGCACTTGGGAAGGAATATCTCCACAATGTGGACTTTGCCCAAAAAAAAAAAAAAAAAAATCTGGACTCCCAACAGTGGCTACAAGAGAATCACTATGATTCTATTAAAGCATATTAAGTTTAGAGCCACAAATTTAGCAATTTGAAAAACAGCTCCACACAAGGCAGGAAAAGGGCAGCAGCAGAATTCAACGTTCAAATTAAGGTCAGATTAAATTTTGCCTAGTTAGGCTAGCATTTCTATGGTTATATGGACCATCGTTATTCATTCCCTTTCAACATCTATGCAAAACTGACTAATCAACTGTGTTATCAGCAGTTTGCTAAATCAATAAACGTACCTACTACCCACCCAGATAGACACTGGAGGGACTTTTTGTTTTGAGAAGGGTCATTTCACAACTTTCAAGTTCTCTTTCCTTTTCTTATTGAATATTTGGGGTCAAAATAAAATCATTTGCTTTACTTTGTCCTCTTGACCACAGCGAAGCGTCGAAAAGAAGACAGGAGAGTGCCTAACTGCACTGGCATCCCCCAGCTGTCTCCGGGAATCGCGGCAGCCCCGCCCCGCCCGCCTGCACCTGCCGGGAGCCCCGCCCCCTCCGCGCGGGCTGGCGGGACGCGCGCCCTCGGCCCCGCCCCACTCCCTCCGCCCCTCTCACTGCGGGGGCGCGCCATTTCGCGCCTCCGGGCCGCTCGGCTGCCCCAGGGGCGCCTGGCAAACGTGGAGTCGCTCGGTTTTGGAGGCATGCTTTCCAAACTTTCTAATTCACAGGGTCTTTGCACGCAGCCCCTGCCCCACAACACCTTGGCAGTCTCTGAGACTTCTGGGGCTCTTCTCCCGGGCAGCTCCCGTGCCTGTCCGGTCCCGGAGTTGAATAGTTTTTGAAGTAATGAGACGGGAACGAGACTTGGGACGAACTGGAGAAAAACATAACCGCGAAAGGAGGAGGCGGCTATCACTTACTGGCTGTGTCAGAAGTCGCCGGGAACGCGTTGCTCCCGAGGCCGAAGGGCCCAGAGAGCTCCAGCCAGGCAGCGGGTTCGTCTCCGGCGCAAGAAGGCTGGTGAGGCGGAGTGCGCGCGTGCACGTGGCCGCTCGAGGCGCCACCGGCCGCGGGGACGCGCGGGCTGTGTCGGGCGGCCTAGCGCCTGCGGCTCTGCCGGGCCTGCGCTCTCGACCGACGCCGGGCCGCGCACCGCCTCAACTTCCCTGCCCCGGCGGCTCTTCCGGATGGAGACGAGGCAGCGGGGCGGGGTGGAGCGGAGCGGGCGGATTGGGGCGGAGCCAGGAGGGTCCCGGGCGGGGAGAGGGGCGGGACCCGAGCAGTGACCTCAGGCTAAGTGGCCAGAGCAGGGTTGTGCGGCGGCTCAGATCGGATCTTAGGGTTTGTTTTTTGTCTGTCCAAGGAATTTGCCTAACCCAAGGCCACAGAGGATCTCTTCTGTGTTTTCTGACACAAGTTTTAGAATTTTAGGTTTTATATTGAGGTCTGTGATCCAATTAGAGCTAATTTTTGTCTGTGGTGCAAAGTATGGATCTTAGGTCATTTTTTTGTATGTGAATAGTGTCATTTGTTTAGAGAGCTTTCTTTTTCTCACTGAATAGCTTTTGCACCTATGTTTAAAATCAGTTGTCCCTAAAGCATCAGTTGTGGGTCTATTCTTAGACTTTCTATTCTGTTCCGACAATTTATTATATTTCTCTCTACAAAAATACCACATTGTCTTGATTCCTGTAGATTCGTAAGAGTCTTAAAATCAGATCGTGTTTGGCCTCCAATTTTTTGTTATTTTTCAAAAATGTTCTGGCTCATCTAGTCCCTTGGGTTTTCATATGAATGTTAAAATCAGCTTGTCACTTTAAAAAGTTGGGATTGTGATTGGTTACATTTCGTCTATAGATCCATGTAAGAATAATTTACATGTTAACAATATTTAGTAATGACCCTTAAAGTAAGCCTCTTCATTTATTTAGGTGTTATTTCACTCAGCAAATGTTTTGATCTTTTGTCAGGTCTAGTCTTATATAGTCCATTTTCACAGTGCTAATAAAGACATACCTGGGACTGAGTAATTTATAAAGGAAAGACGTTTAATTGACTTACAGTTCAGCATGGCTGGGGAGACTTCAGGAAACTTAAAATCATGGCAGAAGCGGGAGCAAACCTCCTTCTTCACAGGGCTGCAGGAAGGAGAAGTGAGGAGCAAGGAGGGAAAAGCCCCTTAGAAAACCATCAGATCTTGTGATACCTCACTCACTATCAGAGAACAGCATGGGAATAACCACCCCCATGATTCAGTTACCTCCCACCGGGTCCCTCCCACAACACCTGGGGATTATGGTAACTACAGTTCAAGATGAGGTTTGGGCAGGGACACAGCCAAACCATATCACCCTATGTCAGATTTATCCATAAATCTAAGGATGGGGGAAAAATATACTTCTTGATATTATGTAAATGACATTTTAAATTTTCAGTTGTTCTTTGATAGTGTCTTAGTCTGTGTTGCTAAAAAGGAATGCCTGAGACTGAATAATTTACAAATAAAAGAGGTTTATTTGGCTCACACTTCTGCAGGCTGCTTCTGGTGAGGGCTTCAGGCTGCTTCCACTCAGTGAAGGGGAGGCTGCCTGTGCAGATCACATGGCCAGAAGAGAAGCAAGAGAAAGGGGAGGTAGTGGTCAGGCTCTTTTTAACAATCAGCTCTGGAGGCAACTAACAGAATGAGAACTCATTATGCAATGGCAGCACTAAGTTTTCCTGAAGGATCTGCCCCTGTGACCCAGACACCCCCAACTAGGCCCCACACTTGGGATCAGATTTTAAGATGAGATTTGGAAGGGAGAAATACTCAAACTATGTCAGATAGTGTGTAAAAATATGATTGGGGGTTTTGTTGTTGTTGTTACAGGTTCTTGCTCTGTTGCTCAGGCTGGAGTGCAGTGGTGTGATCATGGCCCACTGCAACCTCTGTCTGCCAGGTTCAAGCAATCCTCCTACCTCAGCCCCCTAAGTAGCTGGGTGATATGGTTTGGCTGTGTGTCCCCACCCAAATCTCACCTTAAATTGTAATCCCCAGGAGTCTGGTGGGAGGTGATTGAATCATGGGGCGAACTTCCCCCTTGCTCTTCTCATGATAGTGAGTTCTCATGAGATCAGGTTTTTTGAAAGTGTCTGGCACTTCCCCCTCACTCATTCTCTCTCTCTGGCAGTTCCCCCTCACTCATTCTCCCTCTCTCTCCCGCTCTGCTATGGTAAGACGTGCTTGCTTCCCCTTTGCCATCTGCCATGAATATAAGTTTCCCGAGGCCTCCTAGTCATGCTTTCTATTAAGCCTGCAGAACTGTGAGTCAATTAAACCTCTTTTTGTCATAAATTGCCCAGTCTCAGGTAGTTTTTTATAGCAGTGTGAAAACAGACTAATACATTGGAATTATAGGTCTGTGCCACCACACCTGGCTAATATTTTGGTATTTTTTTGTAGAGATAGGGTCTCACTATGTTGCCCAGGCTGGTATAATTGAATTTTTAACATTAATCTTGTATTTGCAATTTTGTAAAAACCACTTATGAGTTCTAACAGCTTTTCTTGTGGATTTTGCTAGATTTTCTATATATTCAGGATTTGTTATCTATGAATAAAGACAGTTTTACTTCCTTTCTATTCTGGAGGCCTTTTATTTCTTTTTCTTGTCTTTTTGCACTGACTAGAAGCTTGAGTACGGTGTTGGATAAAAGTGATGAGACCAGACATCCTTTCTTTGCTTCTGATCTTAGAGGGAAAGTTATCAGTCTTTTACTCTTAAATATGGATGTTAGCCCAGGGTTTTTTGTAGATGCCCTTTATTAAGATGTAGGAAGATTTGAGCACTTTTATCAAGAATGAATGTTGGATTTCATTAAGGCTTTTCTACATGTGTGGAAATGATCACTTTGCTTTTTTTTTCTTTTAGTTTCATATTTTATATATAGATTGAATTGTGTCCCTCCAAAAAAGATATATTGAAGTTATAATCCCCAGTCCCTTTAAATGTCACTTGTTTGGAAATAAGGTCTTTATAGAGGTAATTGAGATATTAGGAATTAGGATGGGCAGTAATCCAATATGACTTGTGTCCTTATAAAAAGGATAAATTTTATGGCTGGGCACAGTGGCTCACGCCTGTAATCCCAGCACTTTGGGAGGCCGAGGCGGGCGGATCATGAGGTCAAGAGATTGAGACCATCCCGGCCAACATGGTGGAACACCGTCTCTACTAAAAATACAAAAAAAAATTAGCTGGGTGTGGTGGCATGCGCCTGTAGTCCCAGCTACTTGGGAGGCTGAGGCAGGAAAATTGCTTGAACCCAGGAGGTGGAGGTTGCAGTGAGCCAAGGTCACGCCACTGCACTGTAGCCTGGTGACAGGGCAAGACTCCGTCTCAAAAGAAAAAAGAAAAAGCTTATAAAAAGGAAAATTTGGGCACAGATACACACACAGCAAGAATACCACATGAAGAGACACAGAAAAGATGGCCATCTACAAGCCAAGGAACACCTGAAATTACCAGAAGCTAAGAGAGAGACCTGGACAGATCCCTCCCTAGCACCTTCAGGAGGAGGATTTCCCTGTTGATATTTGGATTTTGTACTTCTGGCCTCCAGAACTGTGAGACAGTAAATTTTGCTTGTTCTGAGCCATTCAGTTGGTGGTACTTTGTTATGGCAGCCCTGGGAAACTAATACATCAATTGATACATGAATGTTAGATCAACTGCGCGTTTCTGAAATAATCTCCATTTGGTAATGATGTATTCATCTTTTTTATATATTGTTGAATTTGCTAACATACATCAATGTTTTTATTATACTTTAAGTTCTGGGATACATGTGCAGAACATGCAGGTTTGTTACATAGGTATACATGTGCCATGGTAGTTTGCTGCACCCATCAACCCGTCATCTACATTAGGTACTTCTTCTAATGCTATCCCTCCCCTAGCTCCACATCCCCTGACAGGCCCCAGTGTGTGATGTTCTCCTCCCTATGACCATGTGTTCTCGTTGTTCAAATCCCACGTATGAGTGAGAACATGCGGTGTTTGGTTTTCTGTTCTTGTGTTAGTTTGCTGAGAATGATGGTTTCCAGCTTCATCCATGTCCCTGCAAAGGACATGAACTCATCCTTTTTACATGATTTTAATTTTGTAACTTCTCCCTTTAATTTATTTTTACAGTTTTTATTGTGAGAATAGTCCATGAGGTTGACAAAAACTCAAGCCATGCTCTCTAATAGATTCCACTCCCCTCCTCAGAAAAGAACTGTCCTCTTTAAACTCAGTCAGTGTTAAGAGGATCATTACTGAATTTACAGATTCATTCTGCATAGATTTGGCTTCCTAAGAAGAGTATTTAAAGGGTGGAGCAAATGGCTAAAAACAAGGCTCTACCAATCATTCCCCCTCCACCCCTTAGGAACACCAAACTTAACAACTGTCTACACAAAGAACACAGTTATAAGAACCAAAAATCAGATGAGCACTCACAGTACCTGGTTTTAACTTCATATCACTAAAAGATCAATGAAGAGGGTAAGAAAGACAGTCTTGAATTGCAGATGCATCCCTCCCCCATACCTGGGCAGTGTCCACATGGTGTGGAGAGAGAATCTGTGCACTTGGGAGAGGGATAGCATAGAGATTATGGGACTTTACGTTGAAGTGAGTGCTTCCCTGTGACAGTGGAAAGCAAAATCAGGCTGCACTCAGCTGAAGCCCACCCGCAGAAGGAGTGTATAAACCAGCACTAGCCAGAGGGGAATCACCCATCCCAGAAGTCAGAACTTGAGTTCTGGCAAACCTCACCACCATGATTAAAGTACTCTGAGGCCCTATATAAACTTGAAAAGCAGTCTTGATCACAAGGACTGCAACTCTTAGCAAGTCCTAGTACAGAGCTGGGCTCAGAGCCATTGGAGTTGTGGGGACACATGACCCACTGAGACAGCAGCCAGGGCAGCTAAGAGAGTGCTTGCACCACTGTTTCCCCAATTGCAGACTGCACATTCTGTGGCTCCAAAAGATACCCCTTCCTTCCACTTGAGGAGAGGAGAGGGAAGAATAAAGAGGAGCCTGTCTTACATCTTGGATACCAGCTCAGCTACAGTAGGATAGGTCACCAGGCAGAGTCATTAGGCCTCTTTTCCAGGCTGTAGCTCCTGGATAACATTTCTAGACCACACAGGACCAAGAGGGAACCCACTGCCTTGAAGGGAAGGACCCAGTCCTGGTAGGACCCATCACCTGCAAACTAAAGAGCCCTTGGGCCCTGAATAACCAGTAGCAATACCCAAGTAGAATGCTGTGGGCCTTGAGTGAGACTCAGACATGCCAGTTTCAGGTGAGATCTACCACTTTCCCAGCTGTGGTGGCTCTGATGAGAGACTCCTTCTGAGAAATGCAGAGGGAAAAGTAAATGGGACTTTGTCTTGTACTTTAGGTACCAGGTTGGCCATAGCAGGGTAGAGCACCAAGTGGGCTTTTAGGGTCCTCAGTTCCAGGATTTGACTCTTGGATGATATTTCCGGACCCGCCCTAAGCCAGAGGCAGGAGAATCACTTGAATCCAGCAGGCAGAGGAGAGCCCACTGCCCTGAAGGGTTAACCTCAGGCCTGTCAGCATTCACTGCAAGCTGACTGAGGAGACCTTTGGCCATAGGTGAACATTGGTGGTAGCCTGGCAGTACTACCTGTGGGAATGTAGTGGTGGTAGCCACAGAGTGAGGCTCCTTTGCCTGTGGAAAGGAGAGGGAAGAGTGAGAGGAACTGCATCTTGTGGTTTGAGTGCCAGCACAGCTCCGGTACAATATCACTCGAGGTAGATTTCTAGGGTTTTTCACTCCAGTCCCTGGCTCAGGGACAGGATCTCTGGACCCACCTGGGGCTTGAGGGAACTTGTCGATACCCTGAAGGGAAGGATGCAAGCCTGGCTGGCTTCACCTACTGCTAATTGTAGAGCCCTAGGACCTTGAGCAAACATAGGCAGTAGCCAGGTAGTGGTTACTGCAGGCCTTGGCCAAGCCCCAGTGCTGTGCTGGCTTCAGGCCTAACCCAGCATAATCCCAGTGGTTGTGGCCACAAGGGTGCTTGTGTCACCCCTTCTCCAGCTCCAAGCAGCTCAGAACAGAGAGAGAGAGAGAGGGAAAGGAGACTCTGTTTGTTTGGGAGATAGTAAGGTAAAAGAATGAGAGTCTGTCTGGTAGTCCAGAGAATTCTTCCGGATCTAATTGAGACCACCAAGTTGGTATTTCTGTGAGTTTGCAAGAACTATAACATTACTGGGCTTGGAGTGTCCCCTAATGCAGATACAGCGTAGATCACAACACCCAAGTCCTTTCAAGTATCTGAAAAGCCTTCACAAGAATGGGTGCAAACAACCCATACTGCAAAGACAACAATAAATACCTAATTCTTTAATGTTCAGACACTGACAAACATCCACAAGGATCAAGCCCATCCTGGAAAACATGACTTCACTAAATGAACTAAATAAAGTACCATGGACCGGCTGGGCGCAGTGGCTCACGCCTGTAATCCCAGCATTTTGGGAGGCCAAGGTGGGCAGATCACAAGGTCAAGAGATCGACACCATCCTGGACAACATGGTGAAACCCCATCTCTATTAAAAATACAAAAATTAGCTGGGCCTGGTGGCGCACACCTGTAGTCCTAGCTACTTGGGAGGCTGAGGCAGGAGAATCGCTTGAACCTGGGAGGTGGAGGTTGCAGTGAGCCAAGATCACACCACTCCACTCCAGCCTGGCAACACAGTGAGACTCCATCTAAATAAAATAAAATAAAATAAGGTACCAGGGACCAATCCTAGAGAAACAGCTATGTAACCTTTCAGAAAGAGAATTCAAAATAGCTATTTTGAGGAAATGCAAAGAAATTAAAGATCACACAGAGAAAGAATTAAGAATTCTGTCAGATAAATTTAATGAAGAGATTGAGATAATTAAAAAGAATCAAGCAGAAAATTCTTGAGTTGAAAAATGCAATTTACATACCAAAGAATGCATCAGAGTCTTTTAATACCAGAAATGATTAAGCAGAAGAATGAATTAGCTTGAATACAGGCTATTTCAAAAGAGACAGTCAGAGGAGACAAAATAAAAAAGAAGAAAAAAGCATAAAAAGAATGTAGCATACCTACAAGATCAAGAAAATAGCCTCAAAAGGACAAATCTAAGTTATTGGCCTTGAAGGGAAGTAGAGAAAGAGAGGGGCAAAAAGTTTATTCAAAGGGATAATAACAGAGAACTTCCCAAATCTAGAGAAAGATATCCATATCCAAGTACAAGAATGTTACAGAAGCAGATTTAATCTAAAGAAGACCACCTCAAGGCATTTAGTAATCATACTCCCAAAAGTCAAGGATAAAGAAATAATCTTAAAAGCAGCAAGAGAAATGAAACAAATAGCATACAATGGAGCTCCAATACATCTGGCAGCAGATGTTTCAGTGGAAAGCTTACAGGCCAGGTGAGAGTGTCATGACATAGTTAAAGAGCTGAAGGACAAAATCTTTTATCCTAGAATACTATATCCTGTGAAAATATCCTTCAAACCTGAAGGAGAAATAAAGACATTCCCAAAGTCTGAGGGATTTCATCAACACCAGACCTGTCCTACAAAAACATGCTAAAGGGAATTCTCCAATCAGAAATAAAAGGATGGGCTAGGCACGGTGGCTCACACCTGTAATCCCAGCACTCTGGGAGGCCAAGGTGAGTGGATCACTTGAGGTCAGGAGTTCGAGACCTGCCTGACCAATGTGGTAAAACCCCAACTCTACTAAAAATACAAAAATTAGCCAGGTGTAGTGGTGCCCGCCTGTAGACCCAGCTACTCGGGAGGCTGAGGCAGGAGAATCACTTGAACCCAGCAGGCAGAGGCTGCAGTGAGCCAAGATCATGCCACTGCACCACTCCAGCTTGGCAAGAGAGAGAGAGTTCGTCTCAAAAAATAAGAAAAATTTTAGAAAAAGAAATAGAAGGATGTTCGCCTGTAGTGCCAGCATTTTGGGAGGCCAAGATGAGTGGATCATTTGAGGTCAGGAGTTCAAGACCAGCCTGGCCAATATGGTGAAACCCTGTCTCTACTAAAAATACAAAAATTAGCTGGGCATGGTGGAACACACCTGTAATCCCAGATACTCAGGAGTCTGAGGCATGAGAATCACTTGAACCTGGGAGGCAGAGGTTGCAGTGAGCCAAGATCATGCCACTGTACTCTAGCCTAGGTGACAGAAAGAGACTCTGTCTCAAAAAAAAAAAACCAAAAAAAAAAAAAAGGATTATAATGAGCAATAAGAAATCATTTGAAGGTACAGAACTGACTGGTAGTAATCAGTACACAGAAGAACACAGATTATAACACTGTGATTCTTGTGTGTAAACTACTCTTAAGTAAAAAGGCTAAAGGATGATCCAATAAAAAATAAGTACAACAACTTTCAAGACATAGAAAGTACAATAAGATATAAATAGAAACAACAAAAAGTTAAAAAGTGGGGAGACAAAGCTAAGGTTTGGAGTTTTTTATTAGTTTATGCAAACAGTGTTAAATTGCTATCAGCTAAATTTAATGTGTTATAGTATTTGCAAGCCTCATAACTTTGAATAAAAAAATTAGTAGATATGTAAATAATAAAAAGCAAGAAATTAAATCATACCACTAGGGAAAATCACCTTCACTGAAAGGAAGACAGGAAGGAAGGTGGAAAGAAAGAGAAGACCACAAAACAACCAGAAAACAAATAACAAAATGGCAGGAGTAAGACCTTACTTACCAATAACAACATTACATGCAAATGGACTAAACTCTCCAATCAAAAGACATAGATTAGTTAAACAGATAAAAAGATAAGCCCAAAGATCTATTGCCTACAATAAACACAATCCACCTATAAAGACACACATAAACTAAAAACAAAGGAATGGAAAAAAGATATTCCAGGCAATGGAAACCAAAAAAGAGCAGGACTAGCTATACTTATATAAGATAAAATAGATTTCAAGACAAAAACTATAAGAAGAGACAAAAAGATCACTATATAATGATAAAGGGTCAATTCAGAAAGGGGATATAACAATTATAAATACATACACATTCTTTTCCTCAGCACACGGATTATTCTCAAGAATAGACCATATGTTAGGTAACAAAGCAAGTCTTAAAACATTTTCAAAAATTGAAATAGTATCAAGCATCTTCTCTGACCACAATGGAATAAAACAAGAAATCAATAACAACAAGAGGAATTTTGGAAACTATACAGACACATAGAAATTAAACACTATGGTGCTGAATGACCAGGGGTTCAATGAAGAAACTAAGAAAACTGGAAAACTTCTTGTAACAAATGACAATGTAACACAACATACCAAAACTTATGGAATGCTGTGAAAGTAGTACTAAGAGGGAAGTTTATAGCTGTAAGTGCCTACATCAAAAAAGAAGAAAAGCTTTAAATAACCTAGCAGTGCATCTTAAGGAACTAGAAAAGCAAGAGCCCTCAAACCCAAAATTAGTAGAAGACAAGAAATAATAAAAATCAGAGCAGAAATAAATAAAATTGAAACAAACAAAACAGTACAAATGATCAACAAAACTAAAAGTTTGTCTTTTGAAAACATAAAATTGACAAACCTTTACCCAGTCCAAGAAAAAACAAGAGAAGAGCCAAATAAACAAAATCAGAGATGAAAAAGGAGACATTACAACTAATACTGCAAAAATTCAGAGGCTTATTTGTGGCTTCTATGAGCAACTTTACACCAACAACTTAGAAGATCTAGAAGAAATGGATAAATTCTTAAACACATACAACCTACCAATATTGAGCCATGAAGAAATCGAAAACCTGAACAGACCAATAATAAGTCACATCACAGGACTCTTTATAGACATTTTCTAGCACCAGTCTGAAGCCTGATAGCCCTGCTGGGTGGCTAGACCTAGAAGGGCAATAACAATCACTGCAATCAGGCTCCAAGGAAGCCCCATCCAGGAAGGCAGAATGCACCACATCAAGGGATCACTGCATGGGACAAAAGAATCCGAACAGCAGTTTTTGAGTTCCAGATTTTTCCACTAAAATAGTCTACCCAAATGAGAAGGAATCAGAGAAACAATTTGGGTAATAGGACAAAACTAAGTTTCATATCACCCCCAAAAGGCCACACTAATTCCCCAGCAATGGATTCAAACGAAGAAGAAATCTCTTAATTGCCACATAATTAATTTAGGTTGATTATTAAGCTACTGAAGGAGACACCAGAGAAAGGTGAAAACCAACTTAATGAAATAAAAACAAAAATACAGGATATGAATGAAAAAATCTCCAGAGAAATAGATATTAGAAAGAAAAAACAATCACAACTTCTGGAAATGAAAGACACTCTTAGAGAAATACAAAGTTCACTGGAAAGTGTCAACAATAGCCTAGAACAAGTAGAAGAAAGGACTTCAGAGCTCAAAGAAAAGACTCTCAAATTAACTCAATTGACAAAGACAAAGGAAAAAAATGAATCTTAAAAAATGAACAAAGCCTCAAGAAATTTGGGATTATGTTAAATGGCCAAACCTAAGAATAATTGGCATTCCTGAGGAAGAAGAGAAATCCAAAAGTTTGGAAAACTTATTTGAGGGAATAATCAAGGAAAACTTTCATGGCCTCACTAAAGATCTAGACACCCAAATACAAGAAGCTCAAAGAACACCTGGGAAATTTATCACTAAAAGATCATCATCACCTAGGCACATAGTCATCAGGTTATCTAAAGTCAAGATAAAGGAAAGAATCTTAAGAGCTGTAAGGCAAAAGCATCAGGTAAACTGTAAAGGAAAACCTATCAGATTAACTGCAGATTTCTTAGTGAAACTCTACGAGACAGAAGGGATTGGGGTCCTATCTTTAGCCTCCTAAAAGAAAATAATTGCCAGCCAAGAATTTTGTATCCAGCAAAACAACTTCATAAATGAAGGACAGATAAAGTCTTTTTCAGGCAAACAAATGCTAAGAGAATTTTCCACTAGTAAGCCAGGACTACAAGAACTGCTAAAAGGAGCTCTAAATCTTGAAACAAAACTCAAAACACACCAAAATAGAATCTCCTTAAAGCATAAATCTCACAGGGCCTATAAAACAATAACACAATAAAAAAAAAAACCCAAGGTATTCAGGCAACAACTAGCATGATGAATAAAACAGTACCCCATACCTCAGTACTAACGTTGAATGTAAATGGTCTAAATGTTCCATTTAAAAATATAGAATGGCAGAATGCTATCTTCAAGAGACTCGCCTAACACATAAAGACTCACATAAACTTAAGGTAAAGGGGTAGAAAAAGATACTCCATGCCGGGCGCAGTGGCTCACACCTATAATCCCAGCACTTTGGGAGGCTGAGGCGGGCAGATCATGAGGTCAGGAGATTGAGACCATCCTGGCTAACACGGTGACACTCCGTCTGTACTAAAAATACAACAAGTTAGCCGGGCATGGTGGTGGGCACCTGTAGTCCTAGCTACTCGGGATGCTGAGGCAGGAGAATGGTGTGAACACGGGAGGCAGAGCTTGCAGTGAGCAGAGATCACACCACTGCACTTCAGCCTAAGTGGTAGTGCGAGATTCCATCTCAAAAAAAAAAAAAAAATTCCATGCAAATGGATGCCAAAAGCAAGCAGGAGTAGCTATTCTTATATCAAAAGCAACAACAGTTAAAAAAGACAAAGAGGGCATTATATAATGATAAAAGGATCAATCCAACAGGAAAATATCACAATCTTAAATATATATGAACCTAACACTGGATCTCCCAAATTTATAAAACAATTATTACTAGACCTAAGAAATGAGATAGGTGGCAACACAATAATAGTGGGGGACTTTAATACTCCACTGATAGCACTAGACAGGTCATCAAGACAGAAAGTCTAATGGATTTAAACTCTACCCTAGAACAAATGGACTTAACAGATATTTACAGAACATTCTACCCAACAACTGCAGAATATACTTCTTTTCATCAGCACATAGAACATTCTCCAAGATAGACCGTATGATAGGCCACAAAAACAAGTCTCAATTAATGTAAGAAAATCAAAATTATATCAAGTGCCCTCTCAAACCACAGTGGAATAAAATTATAAGTTAACTCCAAAAGGAACCCTCAAAACTATACCAATACATGGAAATTAAATATCTGCTCCTGGATGACCCCTGAGCCAACAATGAAATCAAGGTGGAAATTAAAAGTTTTTGAACTCAGTGATAATAGTGACAAAACTTATCAAAACCTCTGGGATACAACAAAAGCAGTGCTAAGAGAAAAGTTCATAGCATTATATACCTACATCAAAAAGTCTGAAAAAGCACAAATAGACAATCTAAGGTCATACCTCAAGGAGCTAGAGAAACGAGAACAAACCAAACCCAAACCAAGCAGAAGGAAAGAAATAACAAAGATCAGAGCAGAATTAAATGAAATTGAAACAAAAAATGACAAAAGATAAATTAAAAAGCTGGTTCTTTGAAAAGATTAAAAAAGGTTAGACCATTAGCGAGATAAACAAGAAGAGAGATCCAAATAAGCTCAATTAGAAACAAAATGGGTGATATTGCACCTGATATCACAGAAATGCAAAAGATCATCCAAGGCTACTATGAACGCCTTTATTTGCACAAACTAGAAAATCTAGAGGTGATGAATAAATCCCTGGATATATACAATCCTCCTAGATTAAATCAGGAAGAAATAGAAACTCTGAACAGACCAATAACAAGTAGTGAGATTGAAACAGTAATACAAAAATTTACTAATGAAAAAAAGTCCAGGACCAGATGGATTCACAGCTGAATTCTATCAGGCATTCAAAGAATTGGTACCAATGTTACTGAAACTTTTCCAAAAGATAAAGAAAGAGGGAATTCTCTGTAAATCATTCTCTCTTTTCTCTTCCCTCTTTTTTTTTTTTTTGGAGATGGGGTCTCACTCTGTTGTCTGGGCTGGAGTGCAGTGGTGCAATCTCAGCTCACTGCAACCTCCACCTCCCAGGCTCAAGTGACCCTCCTGTTTCAGCCTCCCAAGTAGCTGGGACCACAGGTGCGCACCACCATGCCCGGCTAGTTTTTTGTGTTTTTGGTAAAGACAGGGTTTCACTATGTTGCCCAGGTTGGTCTCAAACTCCTAAGCTCAAGCAATCCACCCGCGATGACCTCCCAAATTGCTGGGATTACAGGCATGTGCCATGGCGTCTGGCCCCTTCCTAAATCATTCTAGGAAGCTGGTATCATCCTGATACCAAAACTAGGAAAGGACATAACAAAAAAAGAAAACTACAGCCGGGCACAGTGGCTCACGCCTGTAATCCCAGCACTTTGGGAGGCAGAGGCAGACGGATAACGAGGTCAGGATATCGACACCATCCAGGTAACACGGCGAAACCCCATCTCACTAAAAATACAAAAAAATTAGCCGGGCATGGTGGCGGGCGCCTGTAGTCCCAGCTACTGGGAGGCTGAGGCAGGAGAATGGTGTGAACCCGGGAGGCAGAGCTTGCAGTGAGCCGAGATTGTGCCACTGCACTCCAGCCTGGGCGACAGAGCAAGACTCTGTCTCAAAAAAAAAAAAAAAAAAAGAAAGAAAAAGAAAAGAAGAAAGAAAACTACAGACCAAAATCCCTGATGGACACAGATGCAAAAATCCTCAACAAAATACTAGCTAACCAATTCCAACAGCATATTAAAACGATAATACAGCATAATCAAGTGGGTTTCATACCAGGGATGCAGGGATGTTTTAACATACACAAGTCAATAAATGTGATACATCACATAAACAGAATTAAAAACAAATATCATGTGATTATCTCAACAGATGCAGAAAAAACATTTGATAAAATCCAGCATCCCTTTATGATTAAAACCATCAGCAAAATTGTCATAGAAGGGACATACTAGTAAACCAAATTCAGTGTGATACATTATATCAGCAGAATGGAAGACAAAAACTATATGAACATTTCAATTGATACTGAAAAAGCATTTGATAAAATTCAGCATTCCTTTATAAGAAAAACCCTCAAAAAGTTGGGTATAGAAGGAACATCCACCTCAACATAAAATCCACATACAACAGACCCACAGCTAGTATCATACTGAATTGGGAAAAACTGAAAAAAGCCTTTCCTTTAAGACCTAGAACATGACAAAGATGCCCATTGTCACCACTGTTATCCAACATAGTACTGAAAGCCCTAGCTAGAGCAATCAGACAAGAGAAAGAAATAAAGGGCATCCAAATTGGAAATAAAGAAGGCAAATTATCCTTGTTTGCAGATATGATCTTATATTTGGAAAAACCTAAAGACCCCAACAAAAAACTAGTAAAACTGATAAACAAATTCAGTAAAGTTGCAGGATACAAAATCAAATAAAAAATCAGTAGCATTTCTATGTGCCAAAAGCAAACAATCTGAAAAGGAATCAAGAAATTAAGCCCATTTACAATAGCTACAAGGAAAATTAAATTCCTAGGAATTAACCTAAGCAAATAAGTGAAATATCTCTGTAATGAAAGCCATAAAACATTGGTGAAAGAAATTGAAGAGGACACACACACACACAAAAGGAAAGATATTCCGTTTTCATGGATGGGAAGACTAAATATTGTTAAAATATTCCTACTACCCAAAGCAACCTATGGATTCATTGCAATTCCAATCAAAATACTTATGACATTCTTCACAGAAATAGAAAAAAAAAATCTTAAAATGTGTATGGAGCCAAGCAAAAGACCCAGAATAGCCAAAGTTATCCTGAGCAAAAAGAACATAATTGGAGGAATCACATTGCCTGACTTCAAATCATACTACAGAGCTATAAGTAACCAAAACAGCATGGTACTGGCATAAAAACAGACACATAGACTAATAGACCAGAATAGAGCATGCAGAAACAAACCCATACATCTCCAGTGAACTCATTTTCAACAAAATTGCCAAGAACATACATTGAGGAAAGGACAATCTCTTCAATAAATAATAGTGCTGGAAAAATGATATACATATTCAGAAGAATGAGACTAGACAACTACCTCTCACCATATACAAAAATTAAATCAAAATGGATTAAAGACTTAAATCTAAGACCTTGAAATATAAAACTACTCCAAGAAAACATTGAAGAAACTCTGTAGGACATTGGAGTGGGCAAAGATTTTTTGAGTAATACCCCACAAGCAGAGGCAATCAAAGCAAAATTGGACAAATGGGATTACATCAAAATAAAGACTTCTGCACAGCAAAGTAAACAATCAACTATAAAGTGAAGATCCATCCCACAGAATAGGAAAAAATGTTTGCATACTATTCATCTATCAGAGATTAATAACCAGAATAGATAAGAAGCCCAAAAAAACTCAATGGGGAAAAAAATCTAATAATTCGATTAGAAGATGGGCAAAAGATCTGAATAGACAAATGGCAAACTGGCATATGAAAAGGTGCTGAACGTCACTGATCGTTAGAGAAATGCAAATCAAACAACAAAGATATCATCTCACCCCAGTTAAAATGGCTTTTATCGGCTGGGCGTGGTGGCTCAACGCCTGTAATCCCAACACTTTAGGAGGCCGAGGCAGTGGATCACCTGAGGTCAGGAGTTCAAGACCAGCCTGGCCAACATGGTGAAACCCCATCTCTACTAAGTCTCTACTAAAAATACAAAAAAATTAGCCAGGTGTAGTGGTGCACGCTTGTAGTCCCAGCTACTCGGGAGGCTGAGGCAGGAGAATCACTTGAACCCAGGAGGCAGAAGTTACAGTGAACCAAGATCATGCCATGGCACTCCAGCCTGGATGACAAGAGCAAAACTCTGTCTCAAAAAGAAAAAAAAAAAAAGGCTTTCATCCAAAAGACAGGCAATAATAAGTACTGGTAAGGATATGGTGAAAAGTGAACTCTTGTACACTGTTGGTGGGAATGTAAATGAGTACAACTACTATGGAGAACAGCTTAGAGGTTCCTCAAAATTTAAAATGTGATCCAGCAATCCCACTGCTAGCTATATACCCAAAAGAAAGGGAATCAGAATATGGCAAGGATATCTGCACTCCCATGTTTGTTGCAGCACTATTTACAACAGCCAAGATTTATGAGCAACCTAAGCGTCTATCAACAGACGAATAGATAAAAAAATGGGGTACATATACACAATGGAGTACTCTTCAGCCATAAAAAAGAATGTGTTGCTGTCATTTGCAACAACATGGATGGAACTGGAGGTCATTATATTAAATGAAATAAACCAGGCACAGAAAGACAAACTTTGCAAGTTCTCACATATTTGTGGGAGCTAAAAATCAAAACAATTGAACTTGTGAAAGGAAAATCTTAGGGCCCCCAAATTGCTAAGCTAAAGGGAAAAGTCAAGCTGGGAACTGCTTAGGGCCAACCTGCTTCCCATTCTATTCAAAGTCACCCCCCTGCTCACTGAGATAAATACATATCTGATTGCCTCCTTTAGAGAGGCTCATCAGGAACTCAAAAGAATGCAACCATTTGCTTCTTGTATCTACCTATAATTTGGAAGCCCCCTCCCCACTTTGAGTCTTCCCGCTTTTGCTTTGAGTTGTCCCACCTTTCCAAACTGAAACAATGTTCATCTTGCATATGTTGATTGATGTCTCATGTCAAACTGTGCTCTGACCACCTTGGGCACATGTCGTCAGAACCTCCTGAGGCTGTGTCACAGGTGCACGTCCTTAACCTTGCCAAAATAAACTTTCTAAATTAACTGAGACTGTCTCAGATTTTTGGTGTTCACAAACTCATGGAGATAGAGTTTTCTTGGAGTAGTTTTATAGTTCGAGGTCTTGGATTTAAGTCCTTAATCCATTTTGATTTAATTTTTGTATATGGTGAGAGGTAGGGGTCTCGTCTCACTCTTCTGAATACATATATCATTTTCCCAGCACTATTATTTATTGAAGAGATTGTCCTTTCCCCAATGTATGTTCTTGGCAATTTTGTTGAAAGTGCGTTCACTGGAGATGTATGGGTTTGTTTCTGCATTCTCTATTCTGTTCTGTTCGTCTATGTGTCTGTTTTTACGCCAGTACCATGCTGTTTTGTTTACTTATAGCTCTGTAGCATGATTTGAAGTCAGGTAATGTGATTTCTCCAGTTATGTTCATTTTTCTCTGGATAACTTTGGCTATTCTGGGTCTTTTGTGGTTCCATACACATTTTAAGATTTTTTTCCTATTTCTGTGAAGAATGTCATAGGTATTTTGATTGCATTGAATCCATAGGTTGCTTTGGGTAGTAGGAATATTTTAACAATATTTAGTCTTCTCATCCATGAAAATGGAGTATCTTTCCTTTTTTTGTGTGTGTGTCCTCTTCAATTTCTTTCACCAATATTTTATGGCTTTCATTATGGAGATTTTTCACTTATTTGTTTAAATTAATTCTGGCTGGGCACAAATCCCTGTTAATTCTCAGGAGCCCCAAATGTGTAATTTTATGGAGCCTACACACCTACCCACCCACCCACTCAATACTGGGAACTGGAACTCCTGTTGCATAACTCATTTTATTAAACATCTAAAAGTGAGTAAATTATAAACATTTTAAATTACTAGAACACTTTAAATTTGATTCTGATTGCTAGACTGATCTTTGTGGATGGATATCAGACCTGATGCGTGCCTAGCTGTCATAGTCAATAGAAGGATGAATTTCCTCTATTTGCTGACAACATTCTTTTTTTTTTTACATGAATGTTCATAGCTTTATCCATAAGAATCAAAAATTAGAGACAACCCAAATGTCTATCAACAAGGAAATGGATATACAAATCATGGCATATCTGCAGTGAACCACTACTCAGCAAGAAAGAGGAACCAACTACTGATACATGCAACAATTTGGATGAATCTCAAATGCATTATACTAAGCAAAAGAAACCTTACATAAAAGAGTGCAATCTGAATGGCTCTTTTTGTTCCTTCAACTTTGGGGTACATGTGCAGGATGTGCAGGTTTGTTACATAGGTAAACATGTGCCATGGTGGTTTGCTGCATAGATCATCCCATCACCTACGTATTAAACCCGGCATCTATTAGCTATTCTTCCTGATGCTCTCCCTCATGCCCCCCACCCCCGACAGGCCTCAGTGTGTGTTGTTCCCCAACATGTGTCCATGTGTTCTCATTGTTCAGCTCCCAATTATAAATGAGAACATGCAGTGTTTGGTTTTCTGTTCCTGTGGATAACATTCTTTAGAGCATAAATTGTGGTCCTATTTTTAAATTATTAGTAGAAAAAAGTGGCTTAACATAAATTACAAATGTATTTTCAATAGTAACTGGTACATACTAGTTATTCAATAAAGTTACTAAACGAAAATAACATCAGTGACTTTTTCACAATCTATAATTGGTTTATAAGATTGCCACCCAGCAATTGAATTTCAGTTTTCTGGAAGGACATTTTGCAACTAAATCTTACACCGGCAAGTCATGCAGCTCTACAATGATGCTTTGGGGTGCATAACTAGGCTCTTCTTTGGCCATGGTAGATGATATCAACAGCTGCCTTAAAAATGTTCCAGCCAAAATTAGTTCAGCCCTGATTTATGATGTGGAACTCTGGAAATACAGCAAAGAGGGCTTTTTAGAACTAAAATAGATTCAATTATTATAGAGCAGCTTTCTGAGGAAAACTTTCATTTTGCTTGAAATGAAATGGTCAGAGAAGATGGCAATAACATAGCTTAACTCTGATTTCATAATTTGATGTCGTCTACTATTTCCATATGGTTCTATCACCAGAAATATAAAATAGCAGCATTACAGGTATTATTATTAATAACTTGCCAGATTGCAACCTCTGTTAGCCAAAAGCCCAAGAGAAGTGACATTTAAGGAAGATTGTCCAAGGGGCTTTTCATTTCTTTATTCTCAATTTTATCCTTGGATCACATTAGGCCACTAGACAGCTACTACTTACTAGTCTGGCACATTTTGCCGACTCTTACATTGAGTTATTCTTAAATGCTGTAATTTCCCTTTTTATCAAAGGTTACTTCAAGAAACAGCTTTGTGAAACCGCAGCTTTTGTTGTAAAAATAATTAAGAATATCAATCATGACATCATCTAAATGTCTTCTATTAAAAAGTCCTAAATGAGGAATTCCTTTTAGAATTCAAGGCTAGGAAAGCTTTTTCTCCTGAAAAATCCTTCCGCTTTTCTGATAAGGGTCATCTAACCATACATCTTTCACCCTAGCTCAAAGATGCATGGAGAAAACACTGAAGTTGAAGCCTGGTTATGTTGGCCTTCAATTACACATTTGTATTCTCCTTTCAATTAGTCCTAATTTTCCACAACTATTGGTAGTTTCAATAAAGAATATACACTTTTAGTGTCTTCTGTGTCGTCATTTGTAAACCTTTTTGATTAAAGCAGTGTATGAATTTTTCACATGTATATACATATACATTAAATATAAAATGGTAATAAACTTAAAATTTAAAGGAATTTATCTATCTACAATCACATACACAAGCATGCATGTGGACACATACACATGGCATCAGTTTTTCTGTTAAAGATACATACCTGTTTCATTCAATTAATCTAATAACCTAGTAGGAATCAGGCACTGTAGCCTGGGCATGGTGGCTGCATCTAGTCTGAGTTCCATGAGGACAGGGATACATGTGTTTTGTTCAATTTATCCCAACCACGTTAAGTAATACCTGGCACCCAATAAATATGTTGAATAAACAAATAGCTGTTAAGTAAGTGCTATGGGTGCACCTAGGAAGGAATGTATAATTCAGTGTGAAGGCATGAAAAAAGCCTTCACAGAGCCTCAAAAACTGGGAGATAAGTGTGAATGCCTTGGAGTCAGGCATGGTGGTATGTGCCTGTAATCCCAGCTACTTGGGAGGCTGAGGCAGGAGGATCACATGAGCCCAGGAGTCCCAGACCAGCCTGGGCAACACGGCCAATAACCCATCTCTAAAAAATAATAAATAAATAAAAATAAATGCCTTGGTAATACTGAAGATAGAACCCATAAGTTGGTCTGTACATGACACTCCCCTGGCATCTGAGGTAATCTTAGGTTATTGTTCTCCGTGTATTCCAAGCACCTTCTGTTCAGATACTGCTACTTAAACATATGCTGAGGTACCAAATAGCAGAACATTCATACAGAAAATGGCAGGGAGAAAAAAGCAAACGGAATGAATCTTAAACAGGAAAGATTTCACTTTAACTTGTAAATATAACAATTTATAATATAACTTAAGTATTGTATTTATTCAGAATCCAATGCAGAGTCGCTAATACCCCATTACTTAGCCCTTTTAAATTGTGGTAAAATACATATAACTTTAAATTCCCATTTTAATCATATTTAAAGTATCCAATTCAGTGGCATTAAGTTCATTGATAATGTTGTGCAACACCACTACTATCCATCTCCAGAACTTTAAAAAAATAATTCCAAACGGAAATGCTGTATCCATCAAATCATAACTCCCCTGTCCTCCCAACTCAACCCTCGGTAACACATACTTTTCTTTCTATCTTTATGAATTTGCCTATTCAGGTAAATGGAATCGTACAGCATTTGGCCTTTTGTCTGGCTTATTTTATTTAGCATAACATTTTCAAGGTTCATTCATGTTGTAACATATATCAGGATTTTATTTCTTTTTAAGGCTGAATGACGTTCCAATGTACGTTTATACCATATTCTGCTTTTCCTTTCATCTGCTGACAGCCATTTGGGTTGTTTTCACCTCTAGTCTCTTGTGAATAATGATGCTAGCACCATTAGTGTACAAGTATCTGTTTGAGTCCCTGCTCTTGGGTATATACCTAGAAGTAGAATTGCTGGATCATATGGTTATTCTATTTAGTTTTTTGAAGAACTGCCTGTTTTCTACAGGCAGTTTTTGCCATTTGACATTCCCACAAGGGCTCCAGTTTCTCCATATCCTTAGCAACATTTGTTATTTTCTGCTTTTGTCTTATTTTCTATGAAAGCCCTCCTAATTAATAAATTATAATGAAGAATCTTCTCTAATTGTGATTTTGACTTACATTTTCATCATAACTAGTGATGCTGAGCATCTTTTTGTGAGCTTATTGGCCATTTGTGTTTCTTCTTTGGAGAAATATCTATTCTTTTGCCCAATTTTGAATTTTGTTGAGTTTTAGAAATTCTGTTTTTTTTTTTAAGAGACAGGGTCTCGCTGTCACCCAGGCTGGAGTGCAGTGACATGATCATAGCTCACTGCAGCCTCAGACGCCTGGGCTCAAGTGATTCTCCTGCCTCAGCCTCCCTAGTAGTTGAGACAACCAGTGTGTACCATCACATCCGCCTAATTAAAAAACAAATTTGTAGAGACGGGGTCTTGCTATATTGCCCAGGCTGGTCTCCAACTCCTGTCCTCAAGCGATACTCTGGTCTCAGCCTCCCGAAGTGTTGGGATTACACGTGTGAGCTGCCACACCCAGGCAGGAATTCTTTATGTATCCGGGATATTAATCCCCTGTCAGTTATATGCTTTGCAAATATTTTCTCCCACTTTTAGGGTGTCTTTTCACTCTGTTGATAGTGTCCTTTGATGCACAAAAACTTTAAATTTTCATGAAGTCCAATTATTTTTGCTTGTTGCCTTGCTTTTGGTTTCAGATCTACAAAATCATTACCAAATCCAATGTCATCCAATGTTTACTTCTAAAAGTTGTATAGTTTTAGCTTTTATGTTCAAGTCTTTGTTCCATTTTGAATTTTTCTACATAGTGTTACAAGGCGAGGGTCCAACTTCGTTCTTTTGCGTGTAAATATCATTTTTCCAGCACCATTTGTTGAAAAGACTGCCTTTTCCGAATTGAATGGTCCTTTCACCCTTGTTGAAAGTCATCTGGCCATATGTGAAGGTTTATTTCTGTGCTCCGTAGTCTAGTTCAAACAGGTTTTGACTACTAATAAAAGCAAATCACAATTATACTGTTAAAATTAAATATTGCTACCTTCAGAAAATTGCAGAGATAATATTCCTGGGATTACCAGTGGTGGTTAACATGTAGTAACCTTCAAACCAAAATATGGTTTATGCGATCATGCAGTATCGCAATGATGTCATGTGACAATGTTAGACCATTTGTGATAAAATGAAAGGAAAACGCAGTGGCATATGCCTGTAATCCCAGTACTTTGGGAGGCCAAGGAGTATTGCTTGAGCTCAGGAGTTCGAGACCAACCTCGGCAACATGGCAAAACCTCATCTCTACAAAAATTAGCTGAGTGTAGTGGCATATGCCTCTAGTCTGAGCTACTCAGGGCCCTGAGGTGGGAGGATTATTTGGGCCCAGGAGGTTAAGGCTGCAAGTGAGCTGTGATCATGCCACTGCACTCCAGCCTGGGCGAGAGTGAAACCCTGCCTCAAAAATTAAAAAAAAAAAAAAAAAAGAAAAATTAGGCATTTTATTATTTTCAAAGAATATCTCTGTTTCAAATTATGTTGTTGATCTTGTTAGAAAGATAGAATATGTTCTTTGTTTATGAAAATAAATAAGAGACTGCCTATGGATAATTTTTAGCTGAACCCAAAGCCAGACATTGCTCTCAAATGTTTTCATATACTTTTATCATTAACACAGTTTTGGAATCTGAATACTTAACTAAGAAATCTGATTGTGATATCTTTCCAAATATTTAATTTGTATTGCTTTTTGACAAACTTTTGTATATGGTTCCTGTGGACATGAATAAAGTATTTCCAACTATGTTGTATTTAACATTTTTCCTTTCCCATCCTCTAATCCACATTAACACTCTCTACAACGTAACAAAAGACACAGCAAAACAAACGAATTGTGGTTTAGCTCATCAAGATGCCCTCTTTCTGCTTGAGCTGCGGTACAGAGTACTGTATATACAAAGAAAATATTTTTTACTGTTTACCTCTTAGGACCTATCTCTTCACTCCAGATTTAAAATCATAGTGTTTGGAGAAAAGCCACGAGTTAGAAACTCAATGTTTTATGATGATGAAAAGGTAAATATTTTAAGATACAGTGTTAGTGAAATTTAATACCTATGTATAATTGGTTATGAAGGATTAATAGAATGAGATAAGAACTAAGCATCTTGACCTATATGTAAAAATCAATTTGACATCTAAGGTAATGCAATTAATAGTATCTGCTCACTGTGCTTTTACTTCTAAAATCCTAGCATAAAAGTAATCAATCAGGCTGTTATAATGATATTTACATTATCACTTCTCTGCAAAAACCCTGGGTCCCTTTTACCTCTCTCCTTCTATTATCCAACACTATCCTAATCCTGGTAAGTCCAAATATCCCTTTGTATATACTTGCTGCTAGTAGCTGAAGATGGTCAAAACCCACAGTCATTCTGCTGGGTTTCAATAGAAATATATAGTCTGTGATCTCAATTATGCCTGATAATCCTTTTACAGTTTTCTAATACATTTGCTCTTCTACTTTTCAAGACAACAACTATTTTCTCATCTGTAGCAATTTATACCTTTCCTAAGACCTTTCATAAGCTATCTCATATTATCTTCTAGGAAGGTAGGATGGAAGGTAGTATGTATTATATAGCCCAGGAGACTGAGTCACAGAGGTTAAGACACTTGATGGCACAGCCAGTGCTACCCTCAGAGAAAGGAGTTTCCTATCACTGGGAGTATAAAAGCTCAGTCAGGGATGTTATGAAGAAGATTCAGGTATTCTATGGGCGGTTCATCCCCTTCTCCTCCTGTCCTTTTAATTTCTCTCTCTGTCCTCCAGCATGAAAGCATGATAAAGTCTCCTAAAGACACAAACAAAGCCCATCTTGACCCTTCCCAGTCTATGACTTTACTTTCTCTTTCCTCTTCCCTGTATTACTAAGTTTTTTTCAAAGAGAAGTTTTTACTCACTGTCTCAACTTCCTTGACTTCCATTTCCTTCTTTCCTAGAATCTGGCTTTTGTTGCCACTGTTACCCTGAATCTGCTTTTGCTAAGACCATCTTGTAGTTGTCAAAGCCAATGGACACTTTTCATTTTTTCCCTTTTCTGACACCCATAGCATTTAACATTGTTGGCTGGCTGCTGGGTCTCTCTGAAACTTTCTTCTTCCAGGACACTATGCTTTTTTGGATCTGTAACTCTACTTCTCATTCTCATTCAAGCCCTGTCTGTTTCTGACATGTTGGTTTCTCCCAAAGTTCTATCCTCAACCCCCTTCCTTGTTGTTCTCATCCACACTTGTGGATTTCTCTATCTCATACATGCCATGTTCCAAAACATCTGTAGCCCAGTCTTTCTTTTCCTGAGCTCCAAACCCCTATGTCTCACTCCCTATTAATTACACCAATTTAGAAAACTATCAAACTGGCCTTTAAGACAAATTAAAATCAAATTGACTATTTATTCTTTACCCAGTGACTTTTGGCCATAAAACATAGTATTAATTATAGATACTAACTGTACTAAAGTTCTAGATCTCAACTATCAAAACTGAAAAAAAAAAAACCACCTAAAAGTCAACAGTATTTTATACACTTGAAAGTCCACAATTTACACAAGCACTTTCATTCTAGCTTTGTAAATTTAGAGAACAATTTAGTTAAAATTACACATTGTACTGGAACAAGAGTTTCTATTTCCCTATCCTGATTCTATTATGATTACTGAAGTCAAATAATTTGATATGACATGATTATAATGCAGTAAAACTTGTTGACAAGTCTTACCTGGAATTAAAAAATATTTAAAAATTAAAGCAAACGTAGAAAAAAATAAAAAGCATTGTTTGATTCTAACAAAATTTATTATGCAGTAATTACAAAGGTTAAAGACTCTTCCATCTCAAATAAAAATAACAGTTATAATTACACACATAATATAGTACCTTATAGAATGATTCCAATAAATATCACAGGAAATACAGTGCATTTTCAAGTTGGAGAGACAAATACTTTCTCATTCACAGTGTTTGACATAGGAAAGCCTATTTACATAACAATCTGTATAAAGTCATGCTCTTAGTAACAGTCTATACAGAGCTGTGCCAACACAATTCTTTCAGAATGTGAAGTACCGGGCAAACCACTCCTGGCGCTGGGGATCTGGAGAAGCCACTGGAGAAGCTTCACTCTGAGCAGGACTGAATTCATAAAAAGAGAGACATGTAACCCAGCATTAAGTCATTTTGCAAAATGAAGGCAAAAGCACATAAAACATCAGCATAGATTACCACAACGGGTTCCCCATGTTGTAAGTCGTGTTTTAAAGATTTGCTACCCCCTCTATACTAGAATCGGTTCTCCACTCCATGAGAGCATAAGAGTGCATCAGCAGCTCAAATGAAGTCAGTTAAGGAGGAGCCACATCACAACAATCACAAAGAACAAAAAACAACTGCAAAAATGTCACCTTCTTTGAATAAAAAATTCAGTAAGAATTGTGGGAAACGAGAGAATAAAATAATGGTCCTCTCTTTCAGCACCTTTTCTCTTTTAGCTGATCGTACAGATGTGTCCTTAAATATAACTAAAGTAACTACTAGTATTTTTTACTATATGCATTTTACATTAAATTTTCATTTCATAATTCCCTATGCAAATACTCCAGGAAAGGGAGAACACTAAAAATATAATTTCCCCCGTTATTGATGTTATATAGTTTATACTTTTCTTAATTCTAACTAAAGATTCTTTGGGCTACTTAAGAAAACAAAAGAATCCCTACCGTCTTTGGGGAAAATTACAAGGCACGCAACAATGTGTAATGGAAACTCCAGTAGTCATGTTCCTTGAGCTCATGCACATGCATCTTACTGATACCTGAACATACCCATGCACAAGGGAAAATAAGCAACACAAAATATTTAGCAGGAGACAAATTCAGAGGTGTATCTGACTAATTTTCATTCTTGCTATTTTTTTTGTTAATCATTAACTATGTCACTAATCACTTAGCCTAAAAAAACCTGCCTACTTTGTAAGACTATTACTAGTGACACTGCTAAGATTTAGTAAGAATAAGAAAAAAAACATAAAGCAGCAAAAAATCAGTAATAGTAAGATGAGCATAAAACAACAGTACTTTCTGACTTTATCTAATGGCTAAATTTCTAATGAAATTTGCATTTCATTCAAAATTTGCTAATACATTTAATCAACAACTGCAAGGTAAAAAATTGGAATGGAAATTTTTAAAATTATTTATTTTTTCTAAATTTAGTTTTTGCATAAGTATATTTAAGTTCCCAGAGTTTACGTATGTTTCTATTTTGACAATAAGCATATATATATATATATTTATAAATAATCTTGGTAAACAAGAAAGGGAAAAAAATAAACATATATAAAAAACAAAAACCACTTAGTAAACAAAAAATTATTTTAAAGTTCTACAATAAGGATGGATTGTTAATTTAAAAATTGGTGACAATACTAAAAATAAAGTAATTGTGCATAATATTAAAATTCTAATGATATAAATTACATTAACACCTCTTCAAGTACTTAGAAAATTGACTGATGACCACAAATTAGAAAAAATCTTTTTAACACAGTCAAAAGGAAGTTCTCTAGAGAGGGGATAAATATACTTTGAAGAAAATATTTCATAGTAATTTTTCTTAGGTTGTTCTTAAAGTAGTGATTTCTGCAATGTAAGAAGGTAAATTTCTCAAGTTAAAAAAGAAAAGAAAAAAACATTGGTGAGACGGGTCTCACCTCAAAAATGTCTTGGGCCCTTTAGGTGGCACTGGCTGTGGAAGTGGTTTGCTGCTGTTGAACTCAATATCGTGGACTGGAGAATTAGGAATGGGATCCAGGCGGTTAGGATGTCCATTGCCCACTCCACCAGATTCCAGAGCACTTAGATTGGGAACACTCACAAACCTGTTTGTTGGTGATTTATCATTCTTCTTCTTTTGCTGCATTAAAAATAATACATGTGAGGATAGTCCCTGCATGAGGACAAATGAGAAAATAGGAATGGTAGAAGATAGAAATTTGGCATGGGAAAATTTTGGAAGCTTTATGTTAAATTAAAATGTTAATTAACCAGTGTTACCCAAACTGTGGTCTGGGAATCCTTGGAGGTATTTTTTATCTACATGGAATCCTCAAAGACAGACATGCTACCAGGGCAGAAAGAATGAGGAAGAAACATTTAGGAGTCATTCACGAGGAATGAGAGAGAAGGTAAAAAGAGTGCCAAGGGGTAAAGAATACCCTTTTGGGAAGAAAAGGGAAAAAGGATTAGGGGAGAGAGCAAGTCTTGCAGATAGAAGGTTAAATGGATTTAGGCTAAAATTAGGAGAAGGGGTAAAGTTAAACATAATTTTAAAAGAGAGTCCATGAAATTTAGCCATCTGTCAAAGGGAGGCAGTTCTTGCCTGGAAAAAAAAAAAGGAATGAGAAAATGCTTGGCAATGTAGTTTGAAACAAATTGCACATTTCTACTAAAGACCTAAAGCTGACTTAAGAGAAATAATCTGGTTTTAAATTCACTGTGACATCTATCTTTCTGAAGAGAGAAAGTTATATCTGCATAATTAAGTCTAATTTCCATATTACTTGGCAGTATCATTAATTGGCTCATATTTTTTAAACTTTAAAGGTTACAAAACAATAGTAATCAGCTGATTTTTTAATGTGTCTTTAAAATTAAGAGATAAAAAGACAAATTCCACTGCAGATTATCAAAATCTATCAGCTTGCAATTCACTAACTTTAGTCTCAAAGTATTTTATTCACATCTCTAGAATCAATGATCATCATCTTGCTATGAGAAATAAAAATTAACATGTTACTAGATATTTAGAATATTCTCATATTTTACTAATTAGATGTATACCAATTAAATTTGTAAGCTTTTTAGGGAAATAACTCGAGTTTGGGAAAAAATGCAATTAATATACAAGATGGAACTTTTATTTTTATTTATCTCATTGTCTAAACATTTTCCTCTGTCATATTCTGTGACTTGTAGAGTCTCTGATGAAAATCCTATTTTAGCATAACCAGAAAAAGAAAATAATAATAATACCTTCCTCAGAACTATTTGTGAAAACTAAAGTCACTATTAGGAGTCAAAAGTAGTTTGAAAGTTCTTACAAAGATGTATCTTTTGCATTTTCTTATTCTAGTCACCAGAGGGCATAATTAAACCTACTTAAGGTTTCTATTTTAAGAAATCAAAAGAATACTGGTAAAGTTCTACAGTAATCATTTTGCAGCTAAAAAATTTAATTCCAATAAAATAAATAAATGAAAAGGAGTATTTTTAGTATATCTTTTTTTCCACAAACCTCATAATCTTGCTTTATAATTAAAATCTTATTTCACCCTAAATTATGAATTAAAAAACTAAAACTAATTATAATTATTCATTCACCAATTATTTACTCAGAGCTTTCTATCTGCCAGGCAGTATTTTAGACTCTGAGATACAGCTACATGCCACTACAGTCATTCTATTTTAGAAAACATTCAAGTTTAAAGTTTGGAACACTTTAACTTGTAAAGGAAGGATAGATTCAGTGTTCTTAATAGAGAAGTTTTACGAGCTGTGAAAGGAAAGGAAAATTTCTGGGTAAAGTCCTAATAAAAATTAGGCATGACGTGAAACTTAATAAAATCTGAATTTGAAAAACAGCTTTGGAACTATCACTTTTATTTATTCTACTACTGATTTCTGCCATAAGATTCATAATTCCTATGAAGCCAATATATATATATATGTATATATATAATCATTTATTCTTTATGACTTCCTTTATTCACAGAATAATTTGTGGTGGCTTATAGGGAATGTGATGAAATTTTGCAACTGAACAAATATTTACTGAATACCTACTATACCCAAAACATGATTGGAGCCATGGGAAGCTAGGGTACAAAGATTTATAAGACTTGGCCATGTCTATTTCAAGGCTCTTCTTTTTGTCCCAAGAGAGTAACAAATATCAAAATAAGTCATACTCAATTTTAATTAAGAACGGTCATAAAGCTGGGCAAAGTGGCATACACCTGCAATCCCATCCACTCGGGAGCTGGAAGCAGGAGGATCGCTTGAGCCCAAGAGTTTGAGACCAGCCTGAGCAACGCAGTGAGACCCCATCTCCAAAACAAAAACAAAAAACCAAACCAAACCAAAAAGAACGGTCAGAAGGCTGAGAGAAGTAAAGCCCTTCTCTGACGATTGGTAGGCAACAAAATACATGTCCAACCCAAGGTCCATTAAGATGTTAGGCCTTAAACCAGGAACAGCTGTTGGGTATCCAGGGCTGGAGTCTCTTTCTGGACCATAAGCAGAAGATTGTGAACAATAAGAAAACAACAAGAAATAGTCTTAAGCAGAGTCAGAAGGTTAGTTTTCTTCAGAAATATGAAAAAAAGGTAGAATCAAGTTTTATAATATTGGTAAAATATATTTAAAGGAATATGAGTAGTATTCAGTTTCATTCTTAAAATGAACATATAAATAATTCATAAGTTTTAGTGCTAGATTATTAAATAGAAGAAAACATTTTTTGGGAGCTTTATCTAACTATGCTGCTCCAAATATTTTCACCAAATTTTTAACCAACTTTTAAACCACATTCCTATTCTACAGTGTTTACGGCACATACCTTAGCCAATGGATTAATAACACCAACAGTAGGACTTGAGTTAAACACTTTGTTGAAGTTAGTTTCTCGATTGACTAATTCCAGCTGATAAAACTTATTATCCTCCTATGCAAAAGAATTATAAACATCTTTTAAATATTTTCTATGGAATATTTTAAAAACATAAATGTATAAACGCCATTTCATTTAAAATTTACTATAAAACCTGAATGAAGATTTAGATACTTTGTTTAAAGATTTCTTGACATGATTGCTGCTGTCTTAAGGAATGTTGGGGGATAAGTTTTCAACACCTTTTAAACCCCATACCCGAGCACTTGACCCTTTTCCTTCAAAAGTGGACCTAAATGTTTTATTTGGTCCTAGCTGTTTCACAGGGCTGACTATGCAGTTTGGGCAGGTTTACAACTTACATTCATGGGGCTCTGGGCATGACTGAATTGTTTCCACAGATAAGGATGAAACTATATCATTAATCTTTATTTCCATTTCTTTTTATAGGCATGTGCCACCATACCCAGCTAAGTTTTTTTTGTTTGTTTTTTTTTTTTTTTTGGTGTGTGTAGAGGTAGGGTCTCACTACATCATCCAGGTTGGACTCAAACTCCTAGCCTCAAGCAATCCTCTGGCTTCGGCCTCCCAAAGTGCTGGGATTATAAGCATGAGCCATCATATCCGGCCTCATTATTCTTCAGTACTGTAAATAGATTCGATTGCATCTAATATGAGATATTAATCTATGATAGCAATGGTAATCAAAGAACAGGGAAAAAGTGATTGCCCACATAGAGATAAAACCTTTACCTTTGGCTTCACCAACAAGATGTTCTAATTGAGTAAGCAGAATGTGGGAAGGCCATAAGTAAATACAACAGTGTGTGGGAGAATGCAGGGCTGTGCTCTAGCAGAACTACATTCTAGTGAAATCTAGTAGAATTCTTTATGCCTCTCTTAGTCACCACTGTCATTCAAATCACTAATCTTGACCTATGTGCCTCACAGTCCACGGAATCAGGCTGTTGTGGAAGGAGTATGGAACAACCCTTGCCTACAATCCTGGCTCTTCCCTGGTGAGCTGTGCTGCTTTCGAAAGTTGCTTTACTGTATTTGCTGTGAGGACAAAATACAATTATAACACCTCCTCAGTAAGAACTGGGAATTAATAGCTATTTATATGGAACAGAGTTTCAATACATTTACTATGCTTGCTGATTTCATGTGTGAAATATAATTTTCCATGAGTCTGCTGCTACCAGATGCAGCAATCTATAAGGCCTGTGCTCATGTTCACAATATGTAGAAAATTGGGTGGCTGGTGGATTGAAGCAGCACACACTCATCTCTCCAAAGCCTGCTCCTGGATTCTACCTGTGATCCCCAATCTGCTACCTGTTGCTTTCAGCAGGAACTTCTAGTCTCAGACAACAGGCTGCCTCTCCTAAATGCAAACAGAGATGCATTAAGGAAAAAGGACTTCAGAAATACATGTTGCTCTTATGCTCTTTTTGCATGCTAAAGTCCAAAGTCTTCAGCTGAAGATATGAATGGTTAAAGAGTATATTCATTGTTAAATCCGTATTTTCTTAGCTGATAAACTTCAGAGCCATTAAGAACCCAGTGTTACTGACTTTCCAAGAGAGAACCTCAGTGTTACTGACCGTCCAAGAGAAAGCATGCAACTTTTCTGTGGCTAGATTATGGAACATTTTTTTTCTATAGAGTAAAAATTTTGGATTAGTGTTTGCTAGGACACATTTTAGGAAATCAATATGCTCAACCTGTTAGTGTACAATACAGGCTAATGCATGAATGTGCTGGCTTTTCTTTGCTAGCCAATCCTAATACTACATGTGCAACACACATACATACACACACTTCAATGGTATATTAATTGTATACTGGCAGTGACATATTATTAAACATTCAATATGTATCAAAAAGACTTTCTTTTAAAAAAAATGAAAGACGTACAATTCCCTTACCCTAATGCCAAATTTAAATTTTAAAAATTACTTTATTCATAAACATTTCAATGAACTTTCAATCACAATGCACATGTTCTGTGTTTTCTATTTTCACTTAGCATTACTTAAAAAGATTGTCCCATATTTTCCCAATCAATATCTATTGATTACTAACATGGTTAGACTAAAACCAAAATATCTTACAATTAGTTTCTTTATGATCTGGTCTCTTTCTGTAAGCATGGCTTTTAATTCTGTAATCATCTGTATATCTTCTGGTTTTGATTCTCTCATTAGATATTTTTCTTCCATTTCTTCTAATCTGAAAACAAGAAAGACTTTAGCTCATTGATATCACTCAGATACATTCTTCTGTAATACCTACATTAAAAAAATTAGTCTAGTTGAACACACACAAAAATCTGAAACAAAACTTCTTTTTTCCTTAAAACTTTTAAGCATAATGACATGACTGCTTCAAGAGCAGTAGTTGCATTAAAGGAGTTAAAGGGGTAGATGGTACTATGAAAGGCTTTGCAGGTTACTTCTGAAGAAGTCACTCATTTTAAGTCATTCCAGAGTATTTGGAGAAAAGGTGAGCAGTATCTGGAGATAAGCTCTGCAGAAGAAATTATATGTTGAATGATACTAACCTGACAAATAACAGGTTTGATACTAGAAAGGCAGGCTCACTATTACAAGTGCTTATCACAATACAATACTGTGTGATAACACAAGGCTTGGTAACATATAAAAAGGACAAGAAACAAATACAGATGAAAGCAAAACAAAGGACACACATGTATGACGTCATTTTTTCCTGGTTTATAGAAAAGAAAGTTTAAAAATTCTATATTATCAGCCAATACATACAAACTGAAAAAAAGTTTCATCAGGTAAGAGAAGAATTATGTTCCCTTCTAAGCCTATTCTGTCCTGAATGATATGAGGTGGTAATAGGCCTGAATGCCTTGAACGTTAAAATATAGGCCACTTTTTATAAGCAGGTGACACATCCTGCTGAGTCTAAGAATATAGGATGGGGCAGACTGAAGAGAATACAAATGGAAACTGCTGGCTTAGTTTCAGAAAAAGCACTTTCAATTTTAGAAAATGCAAATACTTAGAACAATTTTAAAAATCTTGTTTTCAGGATATAAAGGATAGAACTTAAAATTTCAATAACATTATTCAATAAAATTATGGTTAATAAAGATTCTTAGAAAAAATTATTCACTCATGAATACTGAGTAACTTGTAGATGATCTATCTTCCAGAAATCAGTTATACATTCCTATTCCCACCCAAAACCCTAGAGAGGTACCTGAATCTCAGTGTATTTGAGTACCATAAAATCCCTCCAAAAACTCAGCCTAAGCTAAAGATTTGGAGATAACATATTAGGCCCTCTATCCAGTCCCCTGGCTAAAGTTCTCAATTAGAGTGTTGGGAGGTATGAAGGTGATGAGGAAGTGAGGAAGTGATTGTCTCAGGATCAGCTAGGACTTCATCAGATCAGTGCGAGGTAAGTTGTACAACAGGGGTGTCCAATCTTTTGGTTTCCCTGGGCCACATTTAAAGAATTGTCTTCGGGCACACAAAATACACTAACACTAATGATAGCTGATGAGCTTAAAAAAAAAACTCAATAAAAAAATCTTATCATGCTTTAAGAAAGTTTACGAATTTGTGTTGGGCCACATTCAAAGCTGTCCTGGGCTGCATATGGCCTGCAGGCCGTGGGTTGAACAACCTTGCTGTACAATGTGTTAAGTTCCACTATCTTTAACTTTTGTTCTTTTGTGACAATAGAGACCAAGTGAAAAATAATGTGATTTGTTAACTCAAATAAAGTGACCTTGCATTTTATCCCAATATGGCAGAGTTAACTCTTAAAGTATTTTATGGGCAAACATTAAGAGTCGAGAAATACTAAACTAGTAAAAGAAATGGCAATTTGGGTTTTATGTTGGAGAAACCACAAGAGGTCACTGGAGCACTTTCTTTTATCATTAAAAGCAAAGTACAAGATTTATGAACTGCTTCCCGCAGCTGAGCAAGAATACTTGGTATAAATGGTAGCTAAACAACTAAATTTAAAGCCTTATTTAAAACTATTATTTCTATTTTTTTGTTAATTGAGAAGTTAAGGTAAAGTGAATCTAAAGCAATCAGTTACAATCTCTGAACCACTTTTTTTTGCATAATAAAGGTCTATCCCTGAATCCAAATTGCAGTGTTTTTATTTAGCTTAAACATCCTTTGCCTACAGAATTATTATCAGTTAATCTTCTCTATAAAATATCTGATATAGTTTGGCTGTGTCTCACCCAAATCTCATCTTGAATTGTAGTCCCCACAATCCCCATGTGTCATGGGAGAAACCTGGTGGGAAGTAATTGAATCATGGGGGCAGTTATCCCCATGCTATTCTCATGACAGTAACTTCTCAAAAGATCTGATGGTTTTATAAGGGAAAATCATTTCCCCCCTTGCTTGGCCCTTCTTCTTCCTGTCACCATGTGAATAAGGATGTGTTTACTTCCCCTTCCGCCATGATTGTAAGTTTCCTGAGGCCTCTCCAGCCATGCTGAACTGTGAGTCAATTAAACCTCTTTCCTTTATAAATTACCCAGTCTCGGGCATGACTTTATTAGCAGCGTGAGAACGGACTAATACAATATTTTTACATCATCAAAAATGTTTAATAAGAAAAACACCTGGATATTAAATAGGAAAATATAATTGATTAAATAGAAAAAACATAATCCATATAAACACAAACAGGAAAGCATTAAAGGAGAGAACAAGTAAGTAATATGATATAGATTTAACTTGCAAATATATTTCATTAATTACTAGTCTTTCAAAATTTTTACAGAAAGAAAACTTGATACTATTCCGATATCCATTTCAAGCCAAGACTAGTCAATATTTTTCTTTTCTTCAGTTGCCGCAGGCAGCTCTCATAACCAGCACTGCTTCTAAAATTTAGTCCAGGTGTGAACAACTGGTGATACAGTTTTGTTTTGTTTTTTAATTATACTTTAAGCTCTGGGATACATGTGCAGAACATGCAGGTTTGTTACACAGGTATACATGGGTTTGCTGCACCCATCAACCCATCATCTACATTAGGTATTTCTCCTCATGCTATCCCTCCCCCTGCCCCCCACCCCGTGACAGGCCCTGGTGTGTGATGTTCCCCTCCCTGGGCCCACATGTTCTCCTTGTTCAACTCCCACTTATGAGTGAGAACATGTGGAGTTTGGTTTTGTTCCTGCATACACAGCTGTTTTTAAGTTGGTTCTTTAATCTTTCTAATCACAAGAAAAAAAAATTGTTTGGGTGTATATATATATAATATATATATATATATTTTTTTTTTTTTGAGATGGAGTTTTGTTCTGTCACCCAGGCTGGAGTGCAATGGCACAATCTCAGTTACCTGCAACCTCCACCTCCCGGGTCCAGGCGATTCTCCTGCCTCAGTCTCCCAAGTAGCTGGGATTACAAGTGTCTGCCACCACACTCGGCTAATTTTTGTATTTTTAGTAGAGACGGGGTTTTACCATGTTGGTCAGGCTGGTCTCAAACTCCTGACCTCAGGTGATCCGCCTGCCTCGGCCTCCCAGAAGTGCTGGGATTACAGGCATGAGCCACTGTGCCCAGCCGGGTCTGTATATCTTAAATTGCCTTCATAACTTATGTTCATTACTCTATTTCACAACACTCAGGCAGGACTTCAGCATAAATGCTAGCTAGAATCTAATAACATTGTTTTATTTTCACAAAATTTACATTCATATAATTATAGCTTAGCTTTTATTTAGAATAAAGGATAAAATTTTTCAGTAGTGATAAATGTTCTACTGTAGTGATATCAAGTTTTCCTATTAAATATTTAAGTTAAAATAAGTCAATTAAAAATATTAAGAAAATAATATACGTAGCCAGAAATGACCCAATTCCCAAGGATGTATATGATCATCCCAAGGATGATTAAAGCCTGGGAAATGCCGCCTTGAGAATACCACACAAGTGTAGCCTTTTACTCAAATTTTACAGATTTCCATTAAAAGTAATAGAAGAGAGAAGAGAAAGGGGGAAAAAAGGAGAAAGGAGAAGTAGAACATATAAAATTACTAATTAGGGCCACTGATGGATTCTCACCAGGCATGCATGCCCTGCTTTCTTTGGCTCTGACAATATACAGGTCAATGTCTGTGATTCATGGACAACAGGCCTAAATTACAAATGCCTAAAAAGCTGTATACAAAGTTTCCAAGTTATAGTCTTGTTAAGAAAAAGAAAAGGATAAAAAAATAAAATCAGTGAATTTTAGAACCAAAAATGGTATACTATTGTTTCATAACCAAACAATAGTATATTATGCACACATATATCCTATAACTTTGATTTTATAAAGATGAAAAAACTCCTATATCATCATTTTCTAAACTCTTAAATAAAGGAAATATAGCAATTGAAGCACTTTAACGCTGAACCTTTCTTTTCCCATAAATTACGCACAGACTCTGATTTGTGACAAGACTACTTCCGTACCTCACAAAGCTTACAACCATACCTGAATGGTAAATTAAAAATCAAATGACAACAAAAACAAAAGTTATTTGGGTATTATAGATGAAAGGACTCAAAACTTAAACAAAAAATTAGTAATTCAGGTGTGGCGGAGTGCTTCTTTTCAATTGGGGATTACTGATCTATTTAAAATCTAAGTATAGAAACTCAACATTTCTCTCAAGAAGAAATCATCTTTTGTGAAATAAACCTAAACAATCAGTAATCTCAGAACCATCTTTTTGCATATTAAAAATCGGCCATGACCTCAAGTTGTAGAGAATGTTTTCATTTAGCTTGAACTTTCTTTACTTACAGAGTAAATCATTCAGATAAAAAAAAATCAAACAGCCCATTTTCTCATTTGTTTCTAAAAGAAACCAGAATCAGGACATTTTTATTAGATATAAAGTTTTTACTACTATATCACTGAAAAATAAAATTTCTATAGAACTCTCTGAAAAATCTAAAACTTTAACTTCCAGCACCAAAGCGGATTTGTAATAATCATCATCCATAAGCAATATAGAACTCATCACCACTTCTACAATACTTACAGACTTAGAGGGTATTTCCCATCCTTTACATGTGTTGCCCCACCCTTCTCTCTCCAGGAAGGGAGTTCAACAGGATTTGGGGCAGGAGCAGAAGCAAGAAGCTGCCTCTGCCCCCAAGCTTCCTCAGTGGCAGGCTGTGGCCTGTCAGGCTGCACCATGTCCCTTCAGCCCCCAGCACCACTGCCTTCCAGGAATCCACAGGACTCTTCTGATTTCAAAGTTTTAAAGCCAGGGTGCAGCTGATTAGGAACTTCAATAGAATCCCCTAGTCCTTGGGAACAGTACAGATACTGTTTCCCACAGCTCCATAAGTTGGAACCAACTCTCCCTGCTCACTACCTGTCTAAATCCAAACCATTCAGCAGATCCAAGCAGGCTGCATTTAAGGATATGAAACAGAAACAACCAATTGTCTAAAACTATGTTTTCCAACATTGTAGCCATTAGTCTGCATATGGCTATTTACATTTAAATTAATTAAAATTAAATGAAATTTATAAATTCAGCTCCTCAGTTATGCTAATCACCGTTCAAGCATTCAAGAGCCATTTTTAGCTAGAAGCTACTAACCTGGACAAAGCAGATACAAAACATTTTCATTATCACAATCTATTGGACAGTGTTGGTCAAATATAAATTTGGTGTGTGTTTGTTTTTAACTAAAGGAGTAAACACCTAAAGCTAGGGGGTAATTACCTGGTGGCAGTAAGTTTCTGGTGAAAAAAGAAACATAATTGGTTAGCATGGACCCAAGTGGAAGCATTAAAATGAAAGGAGAGTCTAGAAAAGCAGGTAGTTTACTTAAAAGCAAATACTAATTCTTTGATTATTAAAAATGATCATAAAATCAAAAACTAAGTTATTTGCTACCTACTGAAGATTCATAATGTGCAAAACCATATGCAACAGAATAAAGGAAAAACAAGGACACAACCTTTACTCTTTGTAAATTAACATTCCTAAGGAGACAGGACACACAGACAGACTGACGTTATTCTTTCTGTGACTATGTTTTTTCGGAGCATGAAGTGGGGGATGCCAAGATTTCAGTCTCTGTCTGAGGAGTACCACTGAGGCCAGGAAAAAGGACAGCCAAGGAATTGAGGTCTATTGTAAATCATTTCTGCAAAAGTATGGGGTTATGAGCTGTTATACAAGGCAGATACCTGAGCTCATACTTGGCCCAAAAGGATTTAAAAATCACCTCTAATAACAGCAAACACCAAACTCAGAGTGACCAGGGAAGTAACACAAGTTTCCTCACCATTTCAAAGGCAACTTCAAAAAGTGGTAAATATGATGGAGAAAGAATCATAAAATTCATTCATGAAACATTCACTGAGTGCTTAACTAATGTAACGATTCTGAATATGCCCATCAGAAAGAGCACCTCATCTCACAGCATACTCAAGTAAATAACAACTGGGGACCTGTTTTCTGCTGTGGCTTAAGTGAATACATGTGTGTGCATGTGTGCGTCTGTATGTGTGTGTTGTGGTGTTGCCTATGTATGTAACAATCTTTACCGAAAGATTGAATTGGTCACATAAATCAAATAAAAGAAGATAATTTTTAGATTTGAGGACAATACTTAAAACGGCAACAACACAGGAGGTTATTCTAGACTGTAGAGGACAACACAGGAAACCAAGAAGGTCCACTAGGCTGATAAAAAGACAGAATAAGAAATAAGGGTTGCTGTTGGATGATGTAGAATAAGGCACATTGGAGCTGTTAAGTTTACATTTGACTTTGACATGAAGGATAATGGGATTAGTCACTAATTGTGACTTTACTGAAGTATGTGGATATATATATATTTGATTGGAAGAGGAGAGACTAAAGGTGAATAAACTACTAGCAGCAGCTTAGAGTAGATTAATTCTGAAATAACTTATGTTGGACCAGGGTTTAGGCCACAGAGATGGACTGAGTACAAACTGCATTAGCTACATCAGTTTACAAGCATCTAGGAAAGGAAGGGTTATTAAATGTTTCCAAAGAACATTAAATAAGAATTAGAAACTTTGGTTTTAACAATACTGTAGTTACTATGTATGAGCGGTAACTTTATTTGTAATGTTTTCCCCTTTATTGATTTTTAAAATCATAAGACAATTAGATGCTTCTTGTAGGAATTTAAACAATATGTAAGTGGAGTATATAAAATAAAAAGAAAGAATTGCTCTTTCTCATCTCCAGTACCTCCTAATCCATTCTCTTGAGGGAACCATTACCATTAAAATTTGGTATTTGTTAAGATATTTTGATATTTTGGTAAAATATACATTATTAGTGTGTATATAGGATCATAGTATTCCTATTGTTCACTATATATTCTTTTTACTTAACATTATATATAGCCATATTTTCAGTTTTCACCATGGCATGATAGTTCATGATCCTAAGGAACATTCTTTAGATTACTGTTCTAGCAGAACTGGTGCAGTCTTAGTTGATAAAACATCATCATTCAACTGCCTCATCCTAATTAAAGAACATATAGCACTGCAATTACCATCTGTAACACAGCACTAAAATTTTCTTTTTAAAGTATCCTTTTTATTAGAGTCAAAATAACAGCTAATCTGAGGTTAAACACAGTGCTCCTAAATTTATTATCCACATATGAATTTTCTTATATAATATGACTTACGACACTTGTAAAGCGGCATTTATTTCCTTGAGTAGCTCGTTAGTCTTATTAAAATCTGCCCGCATGATATTTTTCTCTCTGAGGTGGTCTGCTGTCATGACATCCAACTCTTTTTCAAGTCTCTTGTTTAAATCTTGTTCATGCAACCTGTTTGATTTATTTTTAGTTAAGAAAATGTTATTCTGAAGTCAAGCTTTCAAAACTTTCTATTATTCTACCAGATTTGAAATGGTTTTTGGTATAATATATAGAAAATTTATGTAAACAGCCTAAATTAAGCTACTTACTTTCTGCTATAAGCTTCTGGCTTTGTTAAAGTTGTCTCCTTTAATGCTTTTTCAAATAACATTTTAAAAAGAATTCAGTTAATTATATACAATTTCCAAAGTGAATGAATACATGTTACATCATTCAAGATATAAACATTTCATCTGTGTTCTAGATTATAACATAGTCATCAAATAAAGTAAAAAGAGGTCTTCAATATTTTACTAGAGAGCCAGTCTAGTCACAAAATTAGCATAGATTACTAAATATCAGCACAACAGTTTTTCAGATGACACTGCATATTCCTTCTGTTGTACTTAATGGCATACCTTATCTGTTGGTTAGATTCACTTCGTATTCTGAGAATTTCTTTCCCCTTAAATTCCAGTTCTTTGGTTAGGGCACTTATATTCTCATGAAGGTGCTGAACCTCCTTATCCAATTCAGAGATGTGATGCTCTCTGTGTCTTAATTCCTCTTGTAGATCTGTAATTCTACATATGTGCTCCTTACTCTGTTAAAAAAAAAAAGTCATTTTTAGAAGTTTTCTACATATTTGATTTCTGTGTTTATCTGCGGGAAAGAAAATGACACACTGGAATGTCAAATGTAATCATTCTGACATTGCTTCTTCAAAAGCAAACTGCTGAAATGAGAAAACCTCAAGGCCTGTTCTCTTTCCACACATATAGTGTGTATATGGATATAGCTTCAATAATGTCAGATTACAAAGAACCCAAAAGGTCAAAGGACATCTCTCTCATTTTACAGATGAGGAAACCAATACCCAAAGATGATTTATAATCAGTGGATTAGTTGAGATTAGAACACAGTGCTCTTACATCCTCAGTAAGTTTTACATGATTTTGAAGAATAATTGTGGCACCACTGCCTATAATCTAAAGAGAAAGTGCATCTAAGGAGGCCCTCCTAAAACACACACATCACATGGCTTACAAAGCAGACTTAGTTTAGTGCTGCTCTAGCAGTTATCTGACAGTTAAGCTCCCTTCTGTGATTGTGCCACTCCACTCCAGCCTCAGTGACAAAGCGAGACCCTGTCTCAAATAAATAAATAACTGAATCAAATAAAGCTCTTCAATATAAATAGAATGTGATAACTAGTGAAAATAAGTTATTACAAAATAATTTTCAGGAAATTATGAACATTCAATCTATTCAAATTTAAGAAATCATCAGAGTACAGAATACTCTTACTTACCTGTCTTCTGCTGATGTCTATGCTTCTCTCTAATTCCATTTTAGCAGCTGCCAATTCTTGATGATGATTATGCCGTAACAAATCAATTGCAGCTGCATGTTGATGGTTGAGTTCTGAGCGCAAGGAAGCTGGAATTGCAAGGCAAAAATACATTTGGCACATTTAAAAAATATTATCAATACTTTAGATAAAAATTATAGAAGTAAAAAATTATTTCAAAAATTAGAACACTTGTGTATGTCCATTAAATTAATAGATTATAAACTATGACAAATTTAAATATTACAGACTACAATATACTATCATGAATTTAAAGTTAATGTAGCTTTGATGAGGATATAAAATATTTCAAATGTTTAAGCGGATCAAGGTATTTTTATACATGCTTTCAGTATGCAGGTAAAGTGCTAATGGAGATGAAGTATTTTTAATTCGTCTCTTTCACTATTAGGATAATAAAATTTGGTCAAGCACGGGGGCTCATGCCTATAATCCCAGCACTTTGGGAGGCCGAGGTGGGTGGATCACCTGAGGTCAGGAGTTCGAGACCAGCCTGATCAACATGGTGAAACCCCGTCTCTACTAAAAATACAAAAAATTAGCCAGGCATGGTGGTAGGTTCCTGTAATCTTAGCTACTCAGAAGACTGACACAGGAGAATTGCGTGAACCTGGGAGGCAGAGGTTGCAATGAGCCGAGATCACGCCATTGCACTCCAGCCTGGGCAACAGAGTGAGACTCCATCTCAAAAAAAAAAAAAAGAATGAAATTTTAGAGTTTAATGGTACCATAACAAATATTTAGGAGGCAACTTCTCACCCAAATAAGAATTCTTCAAAAATATCCCTAAAGGAGCCTGGCTGGTCAATGTTCTCATGATATTGAAAAATGTTCAATATCATGAGCCACTAGGAAAATGCAAATTAAAACCAGAATGAGTTATCACACATTCCTATCAGAAAGGATGAAATATAATGACAACATCAAATGTTGGTGAGGATGTGAGCAAAATTTATATGATGCTAGTAGGGATGGAAAATGGTACAATCACTCTAGAAAATGTTTGGCAGTTTGTTACAAAACTACATATGCAGCTGCCATATGACCCAGCAACCGCACTCCTAGGCACTTATCCCAGAGAAATGAAACTTATGTTTATATGAAATTTGTACGTGAATGTTTATAGCAGCTTTATTTGTAACAGCTAAGAACTAAAAGCTCAGGTGATCTTTAACGGGCAAAGGACAACAAACTACGGTGGATCAAAACCACTGAATACTACTTGGCAATAAAAAGAAACAAACTGTTGATACACACAATAACCTAGATGACTTCAGATAATTATGCCGAGTGAAAAAAGGCCAACCTCTACATGTTAAATATTGTTGGGTGTGGTGGTTCACACCTGTAATCCCAGCACTTTGGGAGGCCGAGACCCGTAGATCACTTGAGGCCTGGAGTTTGAGACCAGCTTGGGCAACATGGTGAAACCCTGCCTACAAAAATTACAAAAATTAGCTGGGTGTGGCAGCACACACTTATAGTCCCAGCTACTTAGGAGGCTGAGGCAGGAGGATTGCTTGAACCCGGGAGGTGGAGGTTGCAGTGAGCTGATAGCACACCACTGCATTCTTAACCTGGGCAACAGAGTGAGACCCTATCCCTTCTCCCCAAAAAGGTTAAATATTGTATGATTTCATTTATAAAATTAGAGCATTCTTAACCTGACAAAATCATAGAAATGAACAGGGTAATGGTTGCCAGGTGTTATAGGAGGGGAGGACTGGGAATATAGGTGTGGCAATAAATGAACAACATGAGTCATCTTCATGGTAATGGGAATGTTCTGAATCTTGACAGAATCTTCGTCATTGTACTGGTTGTGATACTGTACCATAGTTCTGCAAGATGTTACCACTGGAGGAACTAGTTAAAGAGATCTCTGTAGTATTTCTTAAAACTGCATGTGAATCTACAATTATTTCAAAATAAAAGTTTTTTTAAAGACCCAAAACTCTTTTTGTCAACAAAGACATATTTTATTTATTTATTTATTTATTTTTTGAGACAGAGTTTTGCTCTTGTTGCCCAGGCTGGAATGCAATGGTGTGATCTTGGCTCACTGCAAACTCGACCTTCCAGATTCAAGCGATTCTCCCGCCTCAGCCTCCCAAGTAGCTAGGATTACAGGCATGCGCCACCACGCCTGGCTAATTCTGTATTTTTAGTAGAGATGCAGTTTCACCATGTTGGTCAGGCTGATCTCAAAATCCCGCCCTCAGGTGATCCACCTGCCTCAGCCTCCCAAAGTACTGGGATTAGAGGTGTGAGCCACCACACCCGGCCAACAAAGACATATTTGAATCATGTTTAGTGGAGCATGTTTCAATGGACTAAACAACAATAGTTCCAACACTGGGACTGTTTTTGCCTGCCCTGACAAAGCTGTGGAATGTGTATTCCCTTTTGGCCACATTTCTATAAAGGCGACCTCTACATTTCACTACAATTCCTGTGCAAAGACAGGGCAGTAGTTCATTTTTTAATTCTCCTTGCTCAGCAATCTCTAGCACATGAAAAGGCTTTTCACAAATCTTTGACAAATGTCTAAATTTAATCTGATTTTCATGCTAGCAGTCATAGTGGGTTTTAAAGGAGGAAGAGGAGAGCTTTAACGACTTGGTCTGGGACTCCCAGCAACATTATCGATGAGAAACAGGGTCAGACGGCTTTCCCTTTGAGGCCCAAAATATTGATAACACTTCAGTCTTCTTTGCTCCAAATTCCTACTTGGAAAGAGTGTGCCACTGAAGTATGACAACATGTTAAAAATATTAGCATAATTTGGAATAAAGCCAAACAGAAGGAAAATGAGATGGTAAGAATAAAAAGTTATTGAATGACATAAAAAACAAAACCCAAAACAAATCTTTAAATACATATCCAGTTTTTCTTCAAAACTCAACCTACCTCCTTATAAAAAGTAATGATGTGAACACCTCATAGGTAGAAATCTCAAAGAAATATATACCTCAACAGAAGAGTCAGACCTAATACTGACTTTTCCCATTAAAACAAAATCTTGAAGTGTAAAAAACCATATGACCATGCAGTCTAAGGACATGTGGCTCCATGTCCTTTCTACTGAGCAGTGATTGATTTCTGGGACACCTCAATGTCCTGAGTCCACTTAGTCCAAAAAGGACAGATTAGAGTACCAGTGGTGTTGCTTGCATAGCTGGAGTACAGAGAGAGCTGAGGGGAATTCACTTTACTGTTTGTGTCCTGCCTATTCATGTGGTAACTTCAAATAAAATATGCAGTACACTTAGATATTCATTTTGACGTTTCAAAATTTTAAAATAAAACTTGGTGATTTTATGTTGAATTTAAAAAATGTTAAAAATGTACATATGAATATGACAAGATTGTAATCTTTTCAAAATACCAAGCATAGCCTTTCCTTCATCTTCTAATTCAAACCGAAGAGTCTGAAGTTCCTGTTCCATTTCTATCCGGAAGCCCTCCATTGACTCTCTGTGTGCATCTTTTAGTGATTGAAGCTCTGCAGAATGCTTCTGTTGTAAATGATTTTCAAGAGCCTAGAACAAGACAAATTCAAATTATTATGCTAGAATATAGGAAGGAAAATGCAAACAAAATAGAAAACAGTTACTAAAACTCAGTTATTATTTAAGAAATACAAAATGTTTTAGGTTCATTTTCAAGAAAACTAGACATAAGATAATCAACATTAGAAAAAATAATTAGGGTCATTTCAGTAGAATAAAGAAATCATCATGAAACCAATTTGATTCAATGTATTTTGTCTATATATTGAACAGGCTGGGCACAGTGGCTCACCCTTGTAATCCCAGCAGTTTGGGAGGACAAGGTGGAAGGATTGCTTGAGCCCCAGAATTCAAGACCAGCCTGGGCAACATAGCGAGACCCTGTTTCTACAAAAAAAAAAAAATTAAAAAATTAGCCAGGCATGGTGGTGTGCGCCTATAGTCCCAGCTATTCAGGAGGCTGAGGTGGAAAAATCACGAGTCTAGGAAGTCGAGACTGCAGTGAGCCATGATTGTGCTGCTGCACCTCAGCCTGGGTGACAGAGTGAGACCCTGTCTCAAAAAATAGAAAAAAAAATTTTTTTAATTTGAAGACTAATTATTATTAGGCAGTTGGGTTACATTTGAACGTATGTCACATAAAACTTACTCTTTGCTCCTTTTCCTTTTCCTCTTCCATAGTTTGAAATGCAAGGACATGTGCTTCTTTTAATGATTTGTGTCTTTGCTGATGTTGCTCCTCTAATTCTTCAAGCTCTTGCGTAAGCCGCTGTCGTTCTTGCGTAAACTGGGCTTGCAGTTGTTGCAAAGAAGTCTGAGACTGGGAAAGCTGTATCTCCAGATTCTGTTTCAGCAAGGAAATCTATGCCCCAGAATGGTACACAATGAAGAATAAATACAAGGCATAGTTCACAAACTACCCAGCAAAGGGGGAAAAGCATTTCAAAGATATTAATGATAGTAAAATAACTGCCTTAATGTTTCCATTTAAAATATTCTAAAATATATCATAAAAATAACCATTTAATATCACCATTTAAAATTCCACTTTCTGTAATTATTCTGAAAATAGTTTAGTTATATTGTTTATAGACTGTCTAAAGAACACTGCAGCCCACATTTAGAATACAATGAATATCTGTCTTAAGTTTCAATAAAAATTCATAATATGAAATAAAAACAGAAGACAACTAACATATTCATTAGGTTATAGTCACTTTGAGGAAAGAGTATGTTAAACCACTTATTTGTAAAGTAGTAAAGTGAAATAGGAGTGTGAGCTCTGAGTTAAAATCCTAGCTCTGTCACTTGTTAGTATCAACACCTCACCAGGCTATGTTACTACATATAGCTCACTTTGAACAGACTCTGGCATGTACTAAGCATTCAACAAATATTAGCTAAGATTATTTGAGAATTAAAAACCTACTGTTTAAAAGATACATCAGTTTATAATTTAGAATCATCATGTAAATTTTTATTTTTCATTTAACTCAAAGTTATTGAAAACCTTTAAGTTTCTAAAATGTCTCAAACGTCCCACAATCTTTTATTCAGCCATTATAATAATGTCAGGTGCTTTTCTTTCACTATGGAAAACTGATTTGTCACTCCTTTTGAAAACAGACATCAGCCTCAGTATGTCTGTATCACTTCTAGATGTCTTAATATACTTAAAATTAAGTATTTTGGGAAGAATAAAAACATAAAACAGGTATATGTATGTATTATATACGTTCATATATGCATTTGATAAAACCATTTAATTGACCTATTTCTATTCTCATACACAGGATATTGTAACTTGAAACTACGTATCTGTATTCTAAAAGAAGTCTAAATCTAAGAGGAACTTAGGAGAACCAGATACAAAGTTGTAAAATGTGTTCCATAAGCAACTTAAAACACTCTATGCTTTTATATACTGGTAAAACAGTTTCTGCGGCCAAAAAAGCCAATGAAAAGAGGAAACTTTAAAGTGAGTTTTTGTAAATGGGAAAATACTCTCTTTTAATTGATGGAAGGCAGACATAAGTTGCCTCACATGCGTCACAAAGAAAGGTACCTGGGAAAGAAAGAGAAAAGGCGGGGAATCACTAGACATGCAAGAGAAGAACGGAGGAAAGAATCATTAATTGGAAAAAGAAAAGGTCGAAAGCAAGCCACCATATCCCTTTAAAAAGCAGCAGGAACAGTCACAGACTGTAGTGAGCTTAGGGTGATGATTAGCCTTCCAGAAGGGTTCTGGACAAAGTTATCAATCAGAGTTAGTTATAAAGGTTAGCATATGGCTTTATGGAAACAGTCAAGCACTGGTGAGAAATCGTATGAACAATCTAGGTGTAATCTGTTTTAATGTATTTCCGAATAAGTGACTCCACCTGTTCAAACTTTATGAATTCTGCTTATTAATTTCTACAAAAACCTAAGGTTTCAGAGGTTATTTTAAAGTTTTGGAGCCAAGGTGGAACTGCAACCCTCTGATACCAAATATCACAACTCCTTATACCTCTAAATGGCAGCAGCACCCACGACTTACAGACTGAAATAAATCCTGCAAATGTGAGAATGTGATATGCGCATAAGAATCTCACAGCCACAGCTAAGGCCATACTTGTGGAATATGATAAATTATACCACATGACTTCTCACCATTTTATGCAATGAAAATCAGGATAAAACGAATATTGAAGACAGCCTAGAAAGAAAAAATAAACCACAAAAGGGTAACAAGAACAAAAATAGACATTTGTGAACACTGATTTGTAACCGGTAGAGCCGTTCTCTTCCCAGCAAGTTGGTTCTTGAAATAGAGAAAGCACCTACCCCCTCTCTTTGGAAGTTCAACCCTAGTCCCAGCCTAAGCATGGGGACCCATGGGACTGCCTTTTTTGTTTCTGAGGATAACTTGTTGAAATGTATACGGGAAAGCTGGAAAGGGTGTGTCACATGCAGAATAACAATATTCTCAAAGCTATTACTTGGCACCTGACCAAGTGGGGATTAAAGTCTACCCAGCATTCTGCTCACCAAGCTGTCTGCCCTGGTACAGATCTGTGTCCATCCAAAAAGAATGGACATGTTTTTCTGCTTTGCACAAAGGTGCCATATAGGCTAGCAGTGGCCCTGGATCCCATCCTCAAATTTAGTGTGTACTTCAATTAGTAGGAAACCAATCAGCTCACAGTGGTGTTTCTTATTTTCTGCAATACCTACTTCAAAATTTGCTGAATCGACAGACCTCTCATACGTTAATTTGACTCACGTTTGACCTATTAACAGATGAAACTTATGAAGAAATGCAATATTTAAAGTGAATGACTGGAAGTACCACAGTGCATAATAGTTACATATTTAAAATCTACAGAGTTTTAAATTTCTCCAGCTAAAATAAAATACACTTAAATATTTTACATTGTAATATACTTTACCTTGAAAGAACTCCAAAATAGTACTTTCCATCTTAGGATATGTGATTAATCTTTGTATCTACACTCAAGAAAATAATATAAACTATGTGCAGAAAGATATGATCATGCAATTTAGTGTTCAAACATACTTAGATATTTTGTATTCTTAACTTTGAAAGCACATCAAAATAATATTAAGGCCATCGAAAATCTTTGAATTCATGCTCAAGACAGTAATGTGAATTATATGCAGAAAGCCTTAATCATGCAATGCAATATCAAAATTTATTTTGTTCTTTTTAAAAACAAGTTAGCAGAATTGCAATAAATAGCTTTTATTCAGCATGAAAAGTACATGGCACTTTAAAAGACAATGAGCAAAGTAATGTAAAGTGAATTAATTTTTATAGCTATAATTTAAACAGCTGAGTTTAATATAATCAATAGAAATACATATTAATGTAAAACTTTAACTCAAAAGATAAAAAACCTCTGCTTTAAAAGGTTTAGGCAATTTTGGTAAGTATTTTTATTACAGAATTATAGAATATCTAGAAAGGCTTGTGTTGAATAAAGAATGAGAACAAGTAGTTGCTTCAAACTATATATTATATTCAAATTATGTAGTGCACGGTATTAGTTTCTATACATTCGTTAAAATTTAAAAAATTCTATTTCTTATTTTGTTTAAATAAACCAAAATATTTTATTTCAGAAAATAATTTAATCTTTAGTTTTTAAATTCTTAGCATAGCAATTTAGATATGAAATATATTCTACTGGTTGATAGGTGCCAGACATTTTAGAGACAATTTTAAAGGTCAAACTGCACTGATAGTAATTGCCACCTCCTGTCTCTACCATTTAAAAAATGATTGTCTTTTTGAAAATAAAGTTTTACAGTCTTTTTGAAAATGGAATATTAAAGTTTTATAAAAATTTCAAAAAGAAAAAATTAAAAATATATGGGCCGGGCACGGTTGCTCATGCCTGTAATCCCTGCATTTTAGGAGGCCGAGACGGGTGGATCACCAGAGGTCAGGCATTTGAGACCGGCCTGGCCAACATGATGAAACCCTGTCTCTACTAAAAATACAAAAAATTAGCCGGGAGTGGTGGCGGGCGCCTGTAATCCCAGCTACTCGGGAGGCTGAGGCAGGAGAATCACTTGAACCCGGGAGGCAGAGGTTGCAGTGAGCCGAGATCGCAGCACTACACTCCAACCTGGGCAATGATAACGAAACTCCATTTAAAAAAAAAATATATATATATATATATATTTATATATATATTTATATTTATATATATTTATATTTATATATATTTGTATATTTATATTTATATATATTTATATATATGGCTCACTGCAGCCTCAACCACCTGGGCTCAAGTGATTCTCCCACCTCAGCCTCCTAAGTAGCTGGGACCGCAGACATGCACCAACTGATTTTATATTATTTCTAGAGATGAGGTATCACTCCACTGCCCAGGCTGGTCTTGAACTCCTGGGCTCAAGCGATCCTCCTGCCTCAGTGTCTAAAAGTGCTGGGATTACAGGCATGAGCCACTGTGCCCAGCCTACTTTTTACAGACCAGTTTCACAAAGACTCTGTACCTCTATAATGGTGTTTGTGGAAGAACTCTCTCAAAACAAAAAGTGAAACATCAAATCTGAGGTACTGGGTATGACAGAATGTCAATATGAGACATGTCATTAATTATCTACATCTTACCTACAACCTTTGGTTTTTGATGCAATATCGGTGTTTTTTCTTCAAAAACCATTGAGCCTTGTTACAAAAGTGAAAGAATACAGAAAGTATACAAATGATGTGTTCTCCAAATAAAGCATGTCTTGAGATAGTAAACGTAATCTGTGATTCTCAAACCTGGCTGTGTATCAGAATCATCTCTGCAGATTTTCATAAAGACAGTTGCCTGTGCCCTGATCCCTTGAGATTCTGATTTAGCAGGTCTGGAATTGGGCCCAGGCTGCCTAAGATATTTTTATTCCTATTTATCAAAGTAAAAAGTGGTTCGTTATGAAAATTTTAAAAATACAGGAACATATAAATAAAAGGAAAAGTCTCCTTCATTCCCTTTCCTCACTTAATCCCTAAGGGTAACTGGTGTTAATATTTTGGTATGCCTTACTGCAGACTGTAATGGCTTAGGTCTCTCTTGATATAATTCACCGTTTTGTTTTCTTTTGCTTTCTTACCTAGATCATGTGTAAATGGCTAGATGATTTTACCAAATGTAGAGATATATCTGATAAAATGCTGGCTATGCCTTATATACAAAAGTTACAAAGGCTCCAGGGCACACCTCAAAAGATCAGTGCTTAATGTCCATAGCAGCTGAAACAGAGACACCTGGGGCAGCTGATGGGGACAGACATCCTGTAAGTATCACATAGAGAAACAAACACCACTTCAAATGTGAAACCATGAGAGTGTCCTGACCTGCAGATGTGGATGAGGTGGTTTTCACACACTCAACTTTATATATCTTCCAAGATGAGTACGCCAAGGGATTTAATGATGTTTAATAATTTTTCCAGTAGAGGGGCCAGCCAGTTTGTGTTTTTGTAGTTTTTTCCTTCCCTTCAAAGTGGCATTTATAAGGTACTCACGATATTCAGATATGACCCATTCCTTTTAATAACCACATAGACTTCCTAGGGCTGGCACTGTCCCTCACTTCTACAACAGCTGTTCTCCCTCCTTCCTTTCTTCCCAGTTGGCTGCCTGGGTTTATTCAGGGATTAAATGGAAATCCCTGGAAGGTAAGCCCCTCTCGTAGCACCTACAGATGAATTATGACTGGGACAAGAAAGTAATCTAATTCTAAAGTATTAACTCCAATCCTTTCAAATATATAAAACATTAAAAACTGCTAGCCTATCAGTCTGAGCAGATCTCAGGAAAAAAACTGCTAACCTAGGCTTAGTAGAGGACAGTAGGAATAACTTATTATTATGCCAATGACTTAACGAAAATGGTCATGTAAAATGTTTAAAGGTGCTCAAATATTTTAATTATATGATTTATTTTTCTTCTTTAATCACTAATGTGCTATTACTGAGGAGGCTAGTTAAGAAAAGTAAATTTGGCCTGGCGCGGTGGCTCATGCCTGTAATCCCAGCACTTTGGGAGGCCGAAGCGGGCGGATCACGAGGTCAGGAGATCGAGACCATCCTGGCTAACACGGTGAAACCCCGTCTCTACTAAATATACAAAAAATTAGCCGGGTGTGGCAGCGGGCGCCTGTAGTCCCAGCTACTTGGGAGGCTGAGGCAGGAGAATGGTGTGAACCCGGGAGGCAGAGCTTGCAGTGAGCCGAGATTGCGCCACTGCACTCCAGCCTGGGCGACAGAGCGAGACTCCGTCTCCGAAAAAAAAAAAAATTTGTGGAATATGTCCCCAATCATCCTCTTATTATTAACTAAAACTAATTAGAAAGTTATCTATGAAGGACAGATGTATCAATAACAGTCACTTGTTTTTGAATGTGCTAAGCACTGAATTCTTGTATGGAAAGCTGGGGTACACACCATGTACAGAGGGAGTGGGCAGGTGCTCATCCTGCAGAGCACGGCACTCTGACAAAGTCATGTTTTGCTGTGGATGATGACAGAGTAAAAAGGTGATCCTCAATGACTATAATGTTATAAAAGAGATTTCATTGTGTTACCAGCCCCTTTTACTTTTTTTGTAGGAGATGAATCAAGGCACTTTCATTCTAGTTATTAATAGGCAATTTCAATAAGGTGGTTTTTGTTTAATGAATAAAAAGTACAACTGTTAAAGAAAATGTGACTGTGCTGTCACAAATATTCTAAAGTATAATTCAATTAATTTTAAAAATAATCATATCCTATTTGGGTTCTTATTTCTATCCCAATTAGCACATATGTCAAAATGTCTATATTGATATAGCTATCATGCCAAAATTTGTACTATGCTCTATGTCACTGCTAAAAAGAATTTCTAAATATAGCCTATTTCAGCAACACTGAGATAAATGTTTGTTGTTTCTTTTAAGAGATGAAAGAAAATGCTGCTAAATGTATTTGCATATTTTAATTATTTTTTACATAGAAAAAAGACTGAATATGAAAACTAGGTAAAATTTTTATTTTCTTGCATAGTAGGAAAAACTTATGGGGTATGAGGAAATAGTTTCATTCCAGGAGTATCAGAATTTCACAGGACATCTCTAGGCTCAAAGCTTTGATTTCTCTAGGGCTGGCATTAGTAAACTACAATCTGTTTTTGTAAATTGTTACTGGAATACAGTCATACCTATTCGTTTACATACTGTCTATAAGTATTTTCACACTACAATGGCATAGAGTTTCTGCCACAGAAACTGTCTGGCCCACAAAGCCAAAAGTATTTACTATCTGGTCCTTTACAGAAAAGTCTGCTGACTTCTGCCTTAGGACATCAAGAAAAATATTCAACAATGTTCAATTCTGTGTCATCTAATTTTAAAGGACAAGTTGAGTATGGGTTTGGTGTGAAAATAAATCTCACTTTTTCTTATGATATACAAAGAAAAATGTTTTTAAATGAGTGTTAAATGGAATATTATTTTGAAGATGAATTTCTGCATACCTGAGTGTACATAAGTAAAGAGTGATCACTTTGTCAATGCTTAGGAAAGGGATTTACTCTATTTTGCTTTTCATCTGTTGATAATTATAACATTACAATGTATAAAATATGTTCTAATTCCCATAAACCTTCATAACAATCCAGTACTTTTAAAAAAGGAAGTCACTAATGCTAGTTTTTCAAAAAATAAACTAGTTTAACAACAAAAAAATTTTACATTTATTTCCATTTTTATGATTCAACTAGTTAATAGTTTTTCAAAAATATTACTATATCTTTCAAAGTAAACATAAAAATAATGAAATTTATGTCTGAGATATAAAATCTCAATTGGCTTTATAATAAATATATGCTTATTAATACATGTGGTAGATGTATGCATACACAAATGAATGACTGAAAGTTAGAAGCTTTTATTACCCATACACAAAATATATCTTATTGAATGCCAAACAGTATTTTTTATATAAGTTGAAGCTTTAAAGCAGTGATGTTGTTTATGCAAAATGAAAAGTGCAACATGCCCTTGTGTACAAATTGTAAGTGCCGCTCACTTACATTGCTGATAGATTTATGCAAAGCTTCACCCAGAGACTGCCGCTATGAAGAAAAGATTACAGGAATAAAGGGAAACATTCAGAAATCAACTAAGTGAAAGAAAGAGGAATAAGAAGGGAGAGTAAAACACAGAACATTAATTATAATGTGCTCAAGAGAAAACAAGTTGAAAACAGTTCTAAGAAACAAACTAAACAAAAAGAAATTAAAGACACACAGTCTAAATTATCTATAATCCCTTAAAACAATGTCTGATATATTTGTGGGCTTGCAGACTTACCTATACAAACTACTAAAGGCTAGGCCATATAAATCAGAGTTCAGTTTAAAAGATGATGGTTACTGAGGGACCAAGAGGGGATATTACTGTTCTAAATTCCTCCCAGAAAGCTACAAGATAACTATTCAAAGCATTATGCCCACTTTGCTGTAGGTTCACGGAGAATTTCTCTTAAGAGAAATGAGTTGCGGTGAAAACCGCCAACACTAACTTGACTGACCATATAATTTGGAAGCCAGAAATAAATATGACATAATCACTAGAAATTAAGGATTTAATAATAATCTGGTTTTATATTAGGGGGAAAGGAAGAAGAGACACCCTTATATCTTTTTAATCCTATTTCCTAGGATATATTTGGCAAAATTATTTACAACATAGGCTCATTTTTCAGAAGTTCATTGAAATTTTATGTTGATACACCATTGGAAAAACCTACATACCCCTCCCTCCTAATATGGGGGAAAATGAAAATGTAATTTCATTTTCAGTCACCTCATATTTTTACCTTCCAAAAATACAAAATGATATTTTAAATTTATATTGCTAATTTAAATGGAAAAATTGCTTTAACATGGTTTTTACTCTGGACATGATTTTTTTTTTTTTTTTTTTTTGAGACGGAGTCTCACTCACTCTGTTACCCAGGCTAGAGTGCAGTGGCACGATCTCGGCTCGGTGCAAGCTCCGCCTCCCGGGTTCAAGTCATTCTCCTGCCTCAGCCTCCCAAGTAGCTGGGACTACAGGCGCCTGCCACTGCGCCCGGCTAATTTTTTGTATTTTTAGTAGAGATGGGGTTTCACCATGTTAGCCAGGATGGTCTTGATCTCCTGACCTCGTGATCTGCCCACCTCAGCCTCCCAAAGTGCTTGGGATTACAGGCGTGAGCCACCGCGCCCAGCCTGGACATGATTTTAAGTGATAAACCATTGGAAAAACCTACATACCCCTCCCTCCCTCCTAATATGGGGGAAATGAAAATATAATTTCATTTTCAATCACCTCATTTTTTACCTTCCAAAAATACAAAATAATATTTTTATTTATATTGCTATATTTTTATATTTATATTGCTAATTTTCAGAAAGAATGCAATTTTCTTTTGTTTCCATTTTTTGCATATTGCAATTATTTCTTCAAGTGACACAATCTAAAGATAGTTTTTATTGGAAAATAATTTTTACTAATAACTTAGACTAAGATATCCAATGATATAACTTATTAAAGTTGCAAATATGAGATAAAAAGATTAATTTTCTATGTTGACTTCATAACTTCTCAATCTCAACTTTCTCATGCTTTTATGTACATCACTAGTTAATTTTACTTTTTACTTTATTCTTTCTCATACTCAATATTCTTTATACAATAATGAGAGACAACTTCTCCAGACTTCACAAAACTTAAGAAAATTGGAAGAACTTTTAGTTGTAGTATTTTTACATTTATTTATTTATTTATTTATTTATTTATTTATTTATTTATTTTTGAGACAGAGTCTTGCTCTGTCACCAGGCTGGAGTGCAGTGGCGCGATCTCAGCTCACTGCAACCAAAGCCTCCTGGGTTCAAGCCATTCTCCTGCCTCAGCCTCCCGAGTAGCTGGGATTACAGGTGCCCACCACCATGCCCAGCTAATTTTTGTATTTTTAGTAGAGACGGGGTTTCACCATGTTGGCCAGGATGGTCTCATCTTCTGACCTCGTGATCCGCTGGCCTCGGCCTCCCACAGTGCTGGGATTACAGGCGTGAGCCACAGCGCCCAGCCAACATCTTTTTATTTCTTAGAACTGATGTCCTAGTACTAGAAGTTAAACTAAAATTTATACCATTTACTTATGAAGTAGATTTTATTTTCACTCTTTAAGGTGTCATCAGACAAAATATGTATGTTATTTAAGATTCCTGAATTATTTGATAAATTAGAATATGCCAAATCAGAGTGACATGCCAAATCATCCCTTCCCTAGGTGTAGATTTGGGGCTTTATATGACAGAAATATATTTGAAATCTAAACTCATATGGTCACTACCTCTGTCCACACCCAGTTGCAGGCCATGAAAATATTGAATCCAATCGGTACAGTGCCCAAGCTGTGACCTCAAGTGAGCTTACATCACAGACCTGGCATGGCAATTGGTAAAGGCATAGTAGTGCTGCTGGGTGGCAATACCACTGTTTGTTAATACATAACTGAAGTAACCTTTTTCATTTAAAAATACTAATTAGGCACATGGTGGCTCACACCTGTAATCCCAGCACTCTGGGAGGCCGAAGCAGGTGGATCACTTGAGGTCAGGATTTCGAGACCAGCCTGGCCAACATGGCGAAACCTCGTCTCTACCAAAAATACAAAAAATACAAAAAAAAAAAAAAATTAGCCAGGAGTCATGGCACACACCTGTAATTCCAGCTACAGCTACTCGGGAGGCTGAGGCAAAAGAATAGTTTGAACCGAGAGGCGAGGGTTGTGGTGAGCTGAGATCACACCACTGCACTCCAGCATGGGTGACAGAGTGAGACTCCAACTCAAAATAAATAAACAAATAAAAAATTAGAGTACTATTATGTTCCAGAAAACATCCTAAGTGCAGGGTGAGATACAGAGTTGAGTAAGATGTATCAACTTATTCAACTATGTATCTCACCCTGTATAAATTTTATACATTTATTTAAAACAAATGTATAAAAATTAAAAAATAAGGAAAAAAGTATTATGATTTTTAAAAAGGCTGGTGTGATAGGGAATGACTGGAGGAGATATTGAGTTGATGGTAAGAAAAGATATTTTATTTTATTTTTTAATTTTTTTTTTTTTTGAGATGAATGAAGTCTTGCTCTGTCGCTCAGGCTGAGTGCAATGGCACGATCTCGGCGCACTGCAACCTCTGCCCCTTGGATTGAAGCAATTTTCCTGCCTCAGCCGCCTGAGTAGCTGGGATTACAGGTGTGTGCCACCATGCCCAGCTAATTTTTTGTTTTAGTAAAGATGGAGTTTCACCATGTTGGCCAGGCTGGTCACGAACTCCTGACCTCAAATGAGATCCACCTACCTCGGCCTCCTAAAGTGCTGGGATTACAGGTGTGAGCCACCGTTCCCGGCCAGAAAAGATATTTTAGAAGTGTAACATTTAAACTGAGGTAAATGCAAATAGGAGATAACTTTGGGGAAAGAGTACCTGGCAAGTGGATCAGCTAGCACAAAGCCCCTGAAGGTGAAAGCAAGCTGGGAGCAAGTGGGTGTGGGAGCGGAGAAAGGGTTAGTGAGGGACAGTTAGCTGAAATGAGACAGGAGATACACAAAGGGGCCAGCTGGCTTAAGGTTTAGTAGGACAGTGAGAGTCGGAATAACGGAATAACAGCCTGGATTCAATGGGGTGCCCCTGAGAGGACTTTTTTTTTTTTTTTTTTTTTTTTTTTTTGAGACAGAGTCTCACTCTGTGGCCCAGGCTGAAGTGCAGTGGTATGATCTCGGCTCTCTGCAAGCTCCGCCTCCCGGGTTCATGTCATTCTCCTGCCTCAGCCTCCCAAGTAGCTGGGACTACAGGCGCTGGCCACCACGCCCGGCTAATTTTTTGTATTTTTTTAGTAGAGACGGGGTTTCACCATGTTAGCCAGGATGGTCTCGATCTCCTGACCTCGTGATCCGCCTGCCTCGGCCTCCCAAAGTGCTGGGATTACAGGTATGAGCCAGCGCACCCAGCCTCCCTGAGAGGATTTTAAGCAAGGGAGTGGCAGGATCTGATTTACATCATGAAAGATCACTTTGAGTGCTGTAAGAAAAGTGAAATTGATGAGGACAGACAGGAGACAGACCTTGGTAACAGTGGCTTGGACTAGTGTTTACTAGGGAAGATGAAAGCAAATAGAGCTAGAATATGTTTTGGAGGTGGAATAAATAGGATTAAAGGATTACATGGGAAGTAAAGGAAAGACATATGGATGGTATTTAAACCACAGACTGGTTGAGATCCCCAAGCGCTGTGGACTAAAAGTGTTCCCTTAGCCTCAGATTCATGTGTTGAAAGCCTAACCTCCAGTGTGAGGATAATAGCAAGTGCAGCCTTTGGTAGGTGATTAGTTGATGAGGGCAGTACCCTTGTGAATGGATTTAATGTCCTTATAAAGAAATCCCAGAGAGCTCCCTTGGTGCTTTTACCACGTGAGGACATAGTAAGAAGATAGCTGTCTATGCACCAAGAAGCAGGCTCTCATCAGACACCAAATCTGCTGGCACCCTGATCTTGGACTTCCCAGAATCCAGAACTGTGAGAAATGAATTTCTGTTGTGGGCAGGCACAGTGGCTCATGTAATCCCAGCATTTTGGAAGGCCGAGGCGGGAGGACTGCTTGAGCTCACAAGTTCAAGACCAGCCTGGGCAATAAAGTAAGACCCTGTTGCTACAAAAAAACAAAAACAAAATTAGCTGGCATAGTGGCATGTACCTGTAGTGCCAGCTACTCAGAAGGCTGAAGTTAGAGAATCACTTGAGCCCAGGGGGTCAAGACCACACTGAGCCATGACTGTACTACTGCACTCCAGCCTGAGAGACACAGCAAGACCCTATCTCAAAAAATCATAAAGTAAATTTTAATTAATGAATTTTGTTTTAAAGCCATCCAATCTATGGTATTCTGTTATTGCAGTCCAAGTGAAGACACCATGTCTGCTTAAATAAATACTGGATAAACTAAACATTTGTATGTAAAAATACTTATTTGGGAAGCATTCTATATGAGTAAGATCCATGTTAACAAAAAGATGGCCTATATAATAGTCAATTTGTTTTAAAGCATCTTAAATTTCTTGTTAATTTTTGAGATTCATGAAAAGAGCCTTAAGAGAGCCTTTTCAACTGAGAAGACTTGGAGACTTCAGCATAGTGAGTTTACTGAATGTATTTCAGGAATTCTATTATTGAAGGATAGATATAATGAGACGTTGAGATAAGTGAGGAAGAAAATTTACAATAACTAAAAAAAGTTGCTGCAGTTAATTAGAAATTTAGCACTTGGTACATAAAAAACAATGTTCTTAGTTATCTAATTGTTCTAAACCTCAGTTTAATCATTTAGAAAATAGGACAAGGTTTTACATGCTTGTAATTTGCAAACATGTTATTATACAAATACTGAAATCCATTGAATTGTAAGCTTTTAGAGGACAGAAGCCTGTCTTATTCACATTCTGCATCCAAACTGGTGCCTGGCACAGGGTAAATGATTAACAAATGTTTATTCAAAAACTTAATGAATGATATGAACTCTTAACATTGATTAGTTTTTGCTACTCTCTAAATTAATTCTCTCCTAATAATAGCAGAAAGAGAAAATTCTAGATTGCTAAAAAGAAAACATATTATTTGTCCGGAAAATATAAATCTGAACACAGAAAGGCTTCTAAGAGGAAAGCAATGTTCATTGAGTGACACCTAGCTTGTCCTACCTTAATCTATTCTCCACACTGCAGCCAGTTTTGAAATCACAGTATTTGAATATTTCACCCTCCTGCTGATCAAAGCCCTTCAACAGTTCACTGCTCTTTGGATAAAGTCCCAAATCCCTAACAAGGCAAAGAAGGCCTGGCGTGATCTGATCCTTCTTACCTCCCCAGCTTCCTAGCTCTCACTCTCCAGAATAAAGGTGTCATCAGGGCTTCCTCAGGGGCTGTGCACACACTGCCCGCTCTGCTCAGAATGCTGTTCTTCTGGCCAGGTCTCAGGTAAAGAATTCCACATTTAGAGACGCCTTCCCCAAGTTACACATGAATGTTTACCACAGTTGCAATTTAACACCCAATTTGCAGTTCAGATTGTAAGCTCCAGGAAGGCAAAGATCACTCTGAGCCAGTTACTATTCTGGCACAAGGCCTAGCATATCAGAGGCACTTCATTTTGACTGAATAAATGGATAAATGCATGAAAGAACATGCAAAAGTAATTTCTTACTACTGATTTCAATACCTCGAGTTAAAATAAATAAATAAATAAATAAATATGGAGGTGATGTGGGCCAAGATTAGAGCCACTTAAAAAGCCAGAGGGTTGGCCGGGTGCGGTGGCTCACACCTGTAATCCCAGCACTTTGGGAGGCTGGGGCAGGTGGATCACAAGGTCAAGAGATTGAGACCACCCTGGCTAACATGGTGAAACCCTGTCTCTACTAAAAATACAAAAAATCAGCTGGGCATGGTTGCGCGCACCTGTAGTCCCAGCTACTTGGGAGGCTGAGGCAGGAGAATTGCTTGAACCCGGGAGGCGGAGGTTGCAGTGAACCGAGATTGCACCACTGCACTCCAGCCTGGGCAACAGAGCGAGACTCCATCTCTAAATAAATAAATAAATAAATAAATAAATAAATAAATAAATAAATAAATAAAAAGCCAGAGGGTTATCATCACACAAAGCCTTTGAAGCCACACTGAATACTGGGAGTGGGAAATAGGAGACACCCAGAAGACTAATTATAATTTATCAGAATCACCATACTATTGTGTAATCAGAGCAACATTGCCATAGGGCTTAATAAAAAGCACTACTAATGCTTTACACGTACAAGATATTACACATGCATATATCCATGAATTTCCATAATTGTTATTGCTCGACTTTCAATTCTACTTTGAATAAGAAATCTGAAGCAATAGAAAGGAATTCTCATTACTGACAAAACCTGTGTCATTTAAAAAATTTCTAACTTCCTTGAAACAATATTGATACTAGTCTTACATTGTAATTCAAGTAAAATACATTAAAGTTTTAAAAAATTCCAATTTCAGGCCAGGCATGGTGGCTCATGTCTGTAATCCCAGCACTTTGGGAGGCTGAGGCAGTGGATCGCTTGAGCCCAGGAGTTCGAGACCAGCCTGGGTAACATGGTGAAAACCTGTATCTACAAAAAATGCAAAAATTAACTGAGTGTGGTGATACCTGCCTGTAGTTTCAGCTACTTGGGAGGCTGAGAAGTGGGAGGATCACTTGAGCCTGAAAAGTTGAGGGTGCAGTGAGCCATGATTGTGCCACTGCACTCCAGCCTAGGCAACAGAGTGAGACCCTGTCTCCAAAAAAGAAAAAAAATGTCCAATTTCAACATTTAAAATACAACACTATAACTTCTCAAAGCAAATTATGTAAACTCTTTTTCTAATGTTAATTTCAAGTATACTAATATCTAGAGGAAAGCAACAAATTAAGATACAGAAGTGGGATTCAAAGCTCTGAAAATTTCCCAAAACAAAAAGTCACAAACTGTTGTTCGATATTTAACTAAAATTCAATGACATGAATTTCATTCATACAAATAAAATGAAGGTAGAAACAAGCTAATGTGTTAGGTTATGCTTAATACTTTTTCTCAGAGACTCGGTCTAACATAACTTCATAATCATATGATCACTGAACCCTTTCAGATTGAAAATATTTTAATTATTTTTAGTATCTCATCACATGAAAGAGAAACAGATTAAGTTGATTTGTTACTATAATGCTGTCTAAATGTTCTTAAGCATTTTTTAAGTGTGTCCTGGGCTGCAGCACCTCTGAAGTCACCGACTGTTCTGCATTTCATCACAGGTGTTACTACAGTACTTCATAGAACAGATTTTGCTCAGTATTCATTAAAGACTGCCCAGTATTCTTAACGCACACTCTCTTTTAAAGCTAGGTACAGATTTCATAGTTCCATCTCTTCATTCTCTTCTCCTAAAGGTGACAATTTAAGAACTGGATGGACTTAAATTCTAATAAGGGAGTTTTGGGTAGGGAAAAGAAAATTAAATATTAATTCATAATAAAATTATTTAGATCAATTCAGAAAACAATTTAGCATCATTTATCTTAGAAGAAAAAATCTTAAGAGGAAGAATACTAACCACATAAGTGTGATAAAAGAGGATATAATGTAGCCAAAGTAATAATGTCATTCAGTTTTTTGATTGAAGAGAAATTAAAAACTTTCATATTTAAAGGAAAATATCACCAATTAACTTTGAATTCAGGACTTGGCGTAGGAAAAATAAGGATGATGGACTTGGATTGGTTTTGGTAGACTTTAATTCCATTCCACATTTTCTAAGAAAGTGAAATTAGGTCATGCCAGCTATTCTCACTTTCCTTTCTAGCTGGCTTTTCTCTTTTCTTCATACACTATTTCTCTTTAGTCTTTTTGTTTCTCTCTCCTATGACTTTCCCTTATCTTACTCCAGCCATCTCTTTCCCCCAGGGCTCTGAATGTACATTCAACATAGGTTCTTGCTTTCCTGACGGCTAGAGAGAGGACTCAGAGCCTTCAGGGTCAGCTTCACTATCTGCTGTCACTGCTTAGGGAACCTGTCAAGGAATCTGACTGAGTTATCTTAGGAAGAGATTTTATTTTTGAGACAGAATCTCACTCCATCACCCAAGCTGGAGTGCAGTGGTGTGATCTCGGCTCACTGCAGCCTCTGTCTCCCGTGTTTAAGCCATTCTCATGCCTCAGCCTCCCAAGCAGCTGGAATTACACGTGTGCATGACCATGCCTGGCTAATTTTTTTTTTTTTTTGTACTTTTTGTAGAGACAGGGTTTCTCTATGTTGGCCGGGCTGGTCTTGAATTCCTGGCCTCAAGTGATCCACCCACCTCGGCCTCCCACATGCTGGGATTACAGGCGTGAGCCACCAGACCCAAACAGGAAGAGATCATTATTCTAGGTATCTTGCTATTCCCTCTACCTCAGAATCTACTTCCATCTATTCTTCCATTGAAAGTTGAAAGGTAGTGGTATGGCTGGGCGTGGTGGCTCACACCTGTAATCCCAGCACTTTGGGAGGCAGAGGTGGACAGATCACTTGAAGTTGGGAGTTCAAGAACAGCCTGGCCAACGTGGCAAAACCCATCTCTACTAAAAATATAAAAATAAGCCAGAGGTTGCAGTGAGCCAAGATCACCTCAAAGCACTCCAGCCTGGGTGACTAAGTGAAACTCCATCTCAAAAAAAAAAAAAAAAAATTAAAAGAGACAGAATACATTTCTTGCTAACATAATGAAAATTCAAAGCTAAGAAAAAGAATAGCAGCCGGGCGCAGTGGCTCACACTTGTAATCCCAGGACTTTGGGAGGCCGAAGCAGGTGGATCACCTGAGGTCAGGAGTTCAAGACCAGCCTGGCCAACATGGTGAAACCTCGTCTCTACTAAAAATACGAAAATTAACCAGGCAGTGACATGCACTTGTAGTCCCAGCTACTTGGGAGGCTGAGGCTGGAGAATCACTTCAACCCAGGAGGTGGAGGTTGCAGTGATACAGTGGGCTGAGATTGCACAACTGCACTTCAGCCTGGGTGACACAGCAAGACTCCATCTCAGGGGAAAAAAAAAACAAAAACAACAGCAGAATGAGTACTGAGCTCTAATGCCAAATTTAGTCAATATTTTCATGATCTAGATAGTCTGCATCAGTGCTCTTTAACTGAAACATGAATGTGAGCCACATGTACAATTTAAAGTTTTTCAGTAACCATATTTAAAAGAGCAAAAAGAAAGGATACTTACTATCATATTGGATAGCATTGGTCTAAAAATCAGAAAGCAGTTTACAACAAACCTTACTGAAACTGGCTTTTCAACTGCTCTTGATAAAGAGCATTTATTTTAATGCTGTTTCTTAGTCTAGTCATTGCCCTTTCCTACTGAGTATGAAAAATTCTAAAATACTCTATGATTGTAAAATCAATACATCTAAGAGAAAACTTACCATCTCATCTCCCCAGTCACCCACACCCCACCCCAAATAAATAGCTCATCTTGACTTCCTTGTCTCAGATGATGATTTCCTTTCTGTCTGGCTCAAACCCAAGTCAACTTTAATATTTTCTTCTCTTCTACCAAAGCAGATGATTGATCCTTTTACAGTTTCTCTTGCACTTGCAGTGAGATAAACTTAATCCAGGTCCTAATTGGGCAGAATTATTTGTATTTCATGTATCTGAAAACGTCTTTGGTCTCTGTGCCTCATTCTGTTCACTCTATTCAACAACTGCCAAGTGCTTACTATGTGCCAGGAACAGTTTTAGGTGCTGGGGATACCCTAGTGAATACCACAAAGGTCCAGGTCTCGTGGAACTTACATGTGAATAGGTGAGAGAATCAATATATACTGTGTAGAAGTAAATGTTCTGAAGGAATACAAAGGAGAACAAAGCATAGGAGGCTAGTGAATGATGATGGTGCTATTTTAGAGAAAGTAAGTAAAGAAAGCTCTTTTTGTGGAGTTAAGATTTGAGTAGATAACTGATTAAGTGAAGGGAAAAGCTGTGCAGATCTCTAGAAAGTGGGTTCCATGTGGAGGGACTGGTAGGTGCAAAGTCCCCAAGATGGGTTCAGCTTGTTGTGTGTGTTCCAAGAACTGCAAGGATCCAGCATGGCTGTAAAAAAGAAAGGGAGAGAGTGACAGGAGATGATGTTGGCAATGCAGCCAGAGACCAGATCATGAGCGTACTAGAGGCTATGGCATGAGTGTGGACTGTATTCTAATTGTGGTAGGTAGTCACCAGGCATCTTGAAACAGGATAGTAATATAATCCAACTTAATATTTTAAGAGCATCACTTTGGCTGGTTAGAAAATAATCTGTAGGTGGTAAAGAGTAGAAACAAGGTAACAGTTGCAGTACAGGAAAGAACTACAAGTGTCCTGGAATCAGATGGTGGTAGAGGTAGTAGGGAGAAGCAGGATCTATTTTGAAGGTAGAGCAGTGGGGACTGCTGATGAACTAGTTGTCTGGTGTACAAGACAGGAGTCCAAGATGGCTGAGCAGTAAACAGTGAACGGACGCTAGTTCTAGAAAGAGCAGTTTGGCTGAGGTTGAGGGGAGCTGGCGGTACATGGTATCCATTCAAGAGTTCAGTTCCAAACACTTTAATTTAGATATTTAAATTGAAATGTCTCTATTTCATTCTTACTTCAATATAAAAGTCATATTAAGCTTCCTAAAATAAAATTTTCAACATGTTATTCTCTTTTCCACAAACCTTTGACAGAATCTCATAGTTTACCAAGTAATCTTTAAACTCCTAAGCTTGGAAGTCAAGGTTTTCCACAATAACCTCTACCCAAACTGCCCCCAACACTGTTTTTCTTATTACTGTATTCCTCGTAATGCCTGGGAAATATACACATATGTTTAATAAAATGTTTACTAAGTGAATAAAAACCTTTATATTTTTGTCACTCCTCTGTGTTCATCCTTTGCCCTATTCATGAGTCCCACTAAAGCTGGCCTCCTCAATGAAACCTTCCCCAAGCACACTGGCTATATTATACTGTTTCTTGACTTTATACTCCTGACCAGTTGTATGCTGGTAAATGTTTAACAGCTCTCTGAAAAGCAATGACCCGATTTGTAGCATTTGCTGATATCTGTGATATAAATGCAACTACCACAGGAGACTGCAAGTCATCAACATGATGTCCCCCAATGTGGTGCTGGTAAGAGAGGTGCACAATTAGCTATGATGAGCTGGTAGGAGCCAGCACCAACACATCATTACTCAGTACAAACTGCTTGGATCATTTTTAAAGTCACCTACTGCACAGTGACTTTTAAGTACCTATATATAAATCTTCCTATTAGATTGTAAATTTGTGAAGTATAAACATTGTGTCAGATACAGGGCTATAATCAGCTAAATGACTTTGTCTCAAAGTTCACATCTACAAAATGGAGAGTCAGACTCAAACTGTAAAATTCCATAGTTCTGTGTCTCAATGGTCTGTGCATCTCCCTTAATTTTTCAGTCCAATGCTTTAAGGCTGAATAAGTAAATCATTATATTGGACCCAAAATAAAATCTGCCTTAAAAAAGATGAAAGAAAGGAACAAGTGATGGCATTTTAAAATCACAAATAGAAAATATGATCACAGAAAACTCTATATAATCACTTTTCCTTGGATAGAGTTGAAGAATAAGAATGTAGTTTTTTCGCTTTAAAGAATTCAAATGTATACACTGATCAACCCAAGAAGCATAATTAGCCTTGGACTAAAGTGTAATCATTGGACAGAAAGAGAGAACACAATGAAATATTAAAAGGAAACTAAAAGATACAAAATTGACTGAATCGTAGCACAGAATGAAAATAATAGCTTTTGGAAAATTCCATGAAGTGAAAAACATCTGATTCAAGTAAAATGAAAATTTTATGCTTTTAATGCTCATTTTTAGATAGGCAGCCCATGATGGCCGGCTTAAATCTAATTTAACTCTCAAGAGATTCATAGGAAAGACAAGTTATTTCACTCCTTTCCTCTAAATAGGATGAAATTCAGGTATGTTAAGGTATAAAAATCTCATGTTTTTCACTCAGAAATAGTTAAAATATGTGAAAACGCACATCCTCTGATACTTTTTCATAGCATATGCCTCTGCCTAAGCCCTAGCCACTCCAATTCTATTCCTGTCTTACTCCTTTAATATCATGAATCCCAAGCCATGTCTGTTTCCCTTATGTGCTGAATGCTGCTGGCCTTGCGGGGCTAAAGGAAATGAGTGAGACCAGTAGGAGTGAAGGCAGTGAAAGGGTCCTAGGGGTAGGGCTGGGGGTGGAGGTTATGGGGAACAGGGCTTAGCAGCAGGGGCAGGCAAGTAGAAGGTGGTAGAGGGGCTTTAGAGCACAGGCTCTAGAAATCCATCCAAAGGAGTCGAGACAACAAGATCCAGAGCCAAGAAGGAAGGTTTTGTCCATAACGACGTTCCATTTAAAAAGAACCACTGGTCCTACTATAATTTTTTGTCATCTAGTATGCCTAGAAAGGATGAAACCTTGATAGCATCATACCCATTTTTACTTTAATGGGGCATCTTTTTGTGCACTTGTTTTCTTAATTTTCTTCAGGCATAGACAATCCTGGAGTGCAACAGCTACTTGCCAGTTTCTCTATGGCAATGCGTGTGCCTAAACAATTCAGAAGTGTGGAAAAAGGAAGATATTATAATCTTGGAAATGGTCTGATGGCATGGAGCATCACAGAATAGTTTTACCTTTGGAACCAATTAATTCCCGGTTATCTTGATATTTATGGTTAATCTGCTTTGAAAATTGATTTAGAAATTCTGTAAAGCTGGCAAAAACTGGAGCTAATATGTAATACATTATTTTATGATATACAGAACCACAAGATGCAAAGCATTAGGTCCTCTCAGGAAAGAACTGCAGAATAGACACCCAAAGAAAAAAAGAAGAAAACAAAATTCAGAGATGTATGGATGGCATCTGACAAACTAATACAAGAGATTAAAGGAATAACAAATAAAACAATTTGATAGAAAATCGGCAGGAGAAGCGGTGGGCCACTTTACAGTGCAAACCCAGCCGAAAACTGTCTATGTTCAATACTTTCTGGTTGAAAAAATATATCTCTATTAAATAATCAAAGTAATTTAATCTTTCTACGGGCAGAATCTTACTACTCGTCTAACAATAGGGGATCAGTAGCACCCTACCCAGTAAAATCTGTCCTTGTGGGTCCCTAAAAGGAATGTAAAATAAGTCTATCATAAGCAATGCTAATGTGGTGTCCAAATTCTAGTAAAAGTTGTTCCCTTGTTCTTTTTTTTGTCTGAGTTTCAAGTGACTGACAAAAGCTCATATATACACAAATGTAAACATACATATGTATTCTCTCTTTTCAGAGTAACATTATAATTATGAGATACTAGACACAAATTGGCAGGCCCCAAGTATTCTTGAAAGACACTGCATGTATGTAGCTATGTAACAAATGATCTTACAAAAAGTCTATCCTATTTATTTTGAAATTCATCATGCTCACAAATAGAAAGATAATGGTAGGTTTCTGGAACTACATTATTGAGCTGCTTCTTGTCTAAGTTCTGCACTTGCTTATCAACTGGTGATTCATGCAGTTAATCCTATTTAATGACTTGCTCTGCGGAAGAATGTTAAGAATTAATAAATTTAAAAGTTGTGTAAATGAGTGAAAATGTGCAAATTCTTTTAATTACAGTTACAAATGTTATGGAAATAAGCAAGCATAACATAAGAACACAGATTTAGGAATACTACCACCTTTTGTTTATGTTATACTCTAAGGGGCTTAAAGCATTTTGAAGGATAGCAGGCAACGCTCCTTTGGTGAGAAAAGTAAGCTGTTCATTTTTGGTAAGTGGTTTTAGGTAATCATGATACATATAATAAATTCTACCCTCTGTTGCCCAAACAGTATCTAAGGACATGAAAAAAGATTTTATGCTTTCAAAACATAGGTAACTTTCCCATTTAAAATCTTAAATATATTCAGGTCAAATATTAAACTAAAAAATCATAATAAATTCTTCTCGGTATTCAGACTGCATATATAACAATGATTTAGCAAAATGTTTTATAAGTTTATAAATACATCTTCCTGGTTTTATGTATTTTTAGAAGTTTTAAGTTTGTCCCATGAAAAATAACAAAATTCAGTGAATTAACAGAGTTTTACAATATTTGCCTAGCCAGAGAATGTCAAGGGAGATGAAACTTCATCATGTACACATTATTAATTACCTGGTTTAAGAGATCTTCTACTTTCTTCTGCCATGAATCTCTTGCTGCATTTTTCTCTCGATCTTTCAACTGCAAAAGTTGAGACATTGCTGACTTCTTATCCTCTTCATGTTGAAGCCTTAACTCTTCACGAAGTTTAGAACACTCTTGTCTAAAATAAAACAACTGCATTTACTTTGTAAAGAGAATTATTCCTTTCACTGACTGTAATAGAGTCTACAGGTTTTTTAAGCGCTTAATTAATCCTCTTCAAAAGTCTATGATGCTGAGGAAAGCAGATTATTTACTTAAGGGCTGTAAAGTAAATTGGTAACTTACCCCAATATCACTCATTTATCAATTTATTAACAGCAGAATAGGTACCAGAACAAATAAGTCTTCTGACTTTAGGTTAGTTTACTGCCTATTTTATATTCAAGGAAATGCAAAAAGTAAATCTGAATTCAAACGGAAAATAAATCCAATTTCTCTGTCTCTAATCACAGGAAATTTTAATTTAAAATACTGCTACTATGTCTTTAACAATAGGATAATGTGAGTCATACAAGAGAAAAACTTTCTTGCATGTCTTTATTGATAAGATTACAGAATAAAAAATGTACCTAAGATTTTCAGTCCACTTAATTTCTAAGTCATGGGCCATTTTGTCCACTTTGAGCTTCTCTTCTTCTTTCATGGCAGCAATTGTTTCTTCATGCTGTTGCCTTTCTTGTTCTAGCTCACCCTGAAGAATAAAAACTTTTCAATGAAGACTAAACTTCAAAAACAAACACTGCTGGTTATTTTAAATAAGTAAAGTGCTTGTATTAAAACTTTTAATTTTAAATTCTTACAGCCCAATACTTGATAATGCTATCTGTGAAAATGACTCAAGATTTTCTGAAAATAAAATATGTAAAACAAATTTTATATTTTACATGTTCTTGTCTAAACTGTATTTTATTAAGGCTTATATCACAAATTATTTAAATAGTTTAAAGTCAGCATTAATCATCTTAATTACACTTTCCATATATTAGGTATCTAACGGTAGACTGATTATCCAATTACCTTTACCTGTACACCCATTACATAGACAGATATGTTATTCAAATTCACTTATATTCAAAAGTATGTTACTTGCTCAAAACTTAAGTATATAGCTGTACCTGACACCATAAAAATAATTATGCAGAATTTAGGCTACTGTTTTTATTATGTAACTGCAAACTAGTGGTCCGTGTGTTCATTGTTATGGCAATATGCTGCAATATATACACAATTCCTGTAGATTAGCATGAATCAAGTGGCTCTGTGGAGCCTGGGGATAGAGGTGACCTGTTTGGACAACAGTGGCAACCATCGGCCCCTGCCAGCAGAGCAGCTGCTCTTGGGACACAAGGCAGAAGAGGAGCAGATGATGGTCTATCTTCCTGTTATCACAATGACCCTTTCTAGATCATCCACTTGCTAATGACATGTGGTGTGGCAGTTTTTGAAGGGTATACCCAGATTAATGAGAAAAAAACAAGCCAATGTTGAAATTGCCATTCTACATTGTTGGCCTGGCTACTAAGCAGTAAGTATTGAGAATTGAAGGCAGCCATCTTAGCCAACTGTTCTTTTCACTAAGTGTTTTGCCTCTAGTAATTCTTTAATTTTCCGCCAAAGGCAACATTAAACGGAGTAGACTGCTTAAAATGTATTTCTTTTCCTCAATGCAAAGTACATCATTAGACATTATTGGGGTAGGTTAAAGGAAAAGAGGTACCAAAAAAACACTTGGTCTTAAGGAGCTTACGCAGAGTTGTGGTAAACCAGGATGCAGCATCTATATTTTGTCAGTTAAAATTCTCCAGCAGAACAGAAAATGAAGAATTGATAGAGTTTTGCTTAAAGTGTTTATTATTTTCTACTACTGGACAGAAGTACGATGTAAATATGAAAAAAGACCTGAAAGAAATGAAACTGAATCAGTAAGCCCAATACTCAGTGCCAGGACAGCCGGGGGAAAGGCAGCCAGGATAAAATACCTTAAAGTCAGGAACTGGGTGCGCACCAAGGCAAGACAGAACTTCCATGATACCATATAAACACAACCTATATTCAATTAACATTCATTAGAAATATTTCAACTGTCTACTTTTAAATATATTTGTATTACCTTAAAATATCATTTTCCTTTTATTTGTTGACAATGGAAAAAACACCTCTTAATATAGTTTGGTCATCGAGTTCAGCTTCACACCACAGAATGCTACCATCGAGATTATAGTCAATATATTTGGCATCACAGAAACTAAATATATCAAGTTGTATATTATACTAGCTCTAAATTCCAATTATTTCTTGTTATATATTAACACTGTCATATCACACAGCCACCGGAGAAAGGTAAACATAAGGAAATGATTCGAGGAAAATGAAGTAATTTATTGTCACATAATTCAAAATGGAAGGTAAATATTCAATGCACACAGAATATATCATAGATAAAATATAAATAGAATTATGTATGCCCCACACACAAGGTAAATTCACTAAAGTGTCCTTGTTTATATGCTTTTGAAATGTCACCAATTCTGAACTAAAAAAGAAAATCTGAAATAATATTAGTAAAAGGCAGTATTTACTGAGTGTTTACTATTTTGCTAAGCACTGTGCTATAAATGGTTCATCTCATTTAATTATTACAACAGTGCTGTGAAGAGTGTTATTACCCCCCACCTCTCCTTCATTGTGCAGATGTGGAAGGTGAGGCTTTGCACAAAGCTACACACTATGTGGTGGATTCAGAATTTACATACAACCAACCTGACTTCAGAGCCTATACTCTAAACCATCTCTCTGAAGGAAAAGATTAAGAACTTCCTGGGTACTATACACCCAGTTTTATGGATTCTTTTTCTCTACTATCTAAGACAATCTAAATCTTTGCTGTGCTTCATAAGAGTGGAAGAAAAAAGGCAGAGTCTTTCTGAAATCTGCAGACACAGAGAAGCACTTAGTTGCTGTATATGAGAGTTCTACCTCTTACTAGTAAAAGAATTGCACGTTCCAATTGTTATCGGTTGAACTGGGTCCCCAAAAAGATATACCGAAGTCCTACCCTCCCAATACCTCAGAATGTGACTTTATTTGGAAATACAGTCAGTACAGATGTATTAAGTTAAGATGATGTCAAACTGGAGTAGAATGAGCCCTTGTTCCAATATGCCTGGTATCCTTTTAAGATGTGAAGATAGGCAGAGATGGAAATTATGTTGCCGAATGCCAAGAATGCCTGGTGCTACCAGAAGCTGGAAAATACAAGGACGGATCTTCCCTTAGAGTTTAGGAAGGAACATAGCTGTGCCAACACCTTGATGTTGGACTTCTAGCCTCCAGAGCTATGAGAGAATAAATTTCTGTTGTTTTAAATTCCCCAGTTTGTAGTACTTTGTTATGGTAGTTCTAAGAACTAATATACTAATTATATACAATGTGCTGTTTAAATAGCTCTAGGTCAAATGGCTAAATTCTATTTTTATTTTGCCGCTGTTTAGATTGCAGTAGAATTATGAAATTACCTCCACATTTAATAGAGCATCCTTGGTCTCCTTTAGGCTGTCTTTAGTCAAGTCAAGCTCATTCTGAAGCCTTTCCTGGGAGTCCTGAAGACTAGCAATAAGTCCTTCTGCAGAGCCAAGACCTTGTTCACTTTTCCTTACCATATCTTGGAGGTGGCCAATCTGTAAGTAAATAGAGTACTTTTAATATATTTCATTGTAATAGAATAGCAAAATAGTCTTACAATTTCTTCCTAAAGTTTTTTATTTAGTTGTAATTTTACTGAATGGATGATTTCCTGATTAATTTGGAAAAAGCACTCAAATAACCATGACAGCTTTCTTCTGCTGTGTTTTGAAAAGACTTTCACATTTAAGATCTTCTTTTTTCATGACAACCATGTAAAGGAATAGATATACCTTTGTTTAACAAAGAGAATTCCTAGTTCCACCATATAATAAAATACCTATAAGAAGCTGAAGCAAGATAAAGATTATATAAAAGAGTAAAACAAAATTTTAGATAAAAATATCTTAAAAACCATCCTTTAAAATTTAATCACATATTTCATTTGAGTCCATATCTCCTGCTATTTGCAAAGGGGATAAATTTAGGTCAATATTGATAAGCTGGTAAATGTATTATAAACTAGAGTAAGTTATGATTCCTGTGTTTCCATACAAAATTTCTCATTAAATCTTTAAGAGTTGAATTTATACACTCGAAATTAGAAGCTAATAGATAATTGCTGATTAAGCATATCCCTACCATAAAGTTATGAATACTAAAATACATACATGAAATATTTCAAATTATTTAGGACAATGCTATAAAGTAAAAACCGCATTCTTATAAAATGGCCAAGCCTATGAAATTTCTACAAAAGTTGAAATTGGTAATTTAAAAATAATACCTATTTTTCCTTGTAAATACAGACATTACAAAAAAAAAATACAAAAATTCTCCTTCAATCCTTCTCTGACCCACAATTCCCTCCCCAAGTGCACGGCCTTCCTGTCCCCTCTCTATGCAGGTATATGCTCTGCAATACTGGTGGTGGTAGTATTTTATCTTGGTGGTGTCTCTAAAGGAATGCTAATCTCATAAGATAATTAGGGGAGCTACACATCTTTTCTGTGCTCTGAAATATTTTCACAGCAAAAGAATTACCTGTTTTTTAAAAGTTTGGTAAAATTCTTCCATTAAATAAATTATAAAGAATAGTATTCTAGGGCTGGGCGCGGTGGCTTATGCCTGTAATCCCAGCACTTTGGGAGGCCGAGGCAGGCTGATCACCTGAGGTCAGGAGTTCAAGACCAGCCTGGCCAACATGGCGAAACCCCGTCTCTACTAAAAATACAAAAAGTAGCCGGGTGTGGTGGCGCGCGACTGTAATCCCAGCTACCTGAGAGGCTGAGGCAGGGGAATTGCTTGCACCTGGGAGGCAGAGGTTGCAGTGAGCGAGATTGTGCCACTGCATTCCAGCCTGGCAACAGAGCAAGACTCTGCCTCAAGAAAAAAAAAAAACAGTATTCTAGTAACAATGTAAAGAATTCAAAGAGAAGGTCTATTAAGGCAATTACAAATCTAGAGATAGAATATTTAAATAGGCAAAAACTTCAAACTTCTGCAAAGTTAAATGTAATAAAATATAAAAAGCAAATAAGTGTTGAACATAACTGATCAGTTTGTTTTCTTAAATACAATAAAAATGGATACATGGGGAAAACACCTATTGTCTCCCAATAACAAAATCTCCTTATGGCATTTGGGGCATCTACTCGCCTTCTCTATCGGTCCATGTGGTCTTAGTAAGCGCTCAACTTAAACTCCAGAATGAAGTGCTTCATTGAAACGTAAACCAATAAGGTCATCTCATTTTGTTTGTATGTGGATTGGTTCAGGGGCAGGCACATGGTTTAAGCTTATCTAGTCACAGTGATCTCAGGACTTTAAAAGGAGCTCCCAGAAAAGGTTTTTTGCCAGCTCCACGTATACCTCAGGGAATATGTGATTGAAGCATGAAGTCAACACAAGAACAAACCCAATTTAAGAGAAAAAGAAAAGCTGGGTTCCATTGTCACAATTTCAGTTCTGAATCTAGTCTTGCCTGATGCTAACATTATCCTTGGACTTTACAGTCACATGAGTCAATAAATTTTTTTTTCTTTAGGCTAGTTTGAGGTAGGATTTCTGTCATTTGCAATAGAAATAAATACTCAGATTCTCCATATTAATGTACAAACTGAGGGAATACAGTAAGTAGAAACCTCCTCCCTGAAATATCCGTCTACCTCTATTTGTTCTTCTCTAATCCACTCTCCTTGCAACACTACAGTGAGTTTTTTATAAATTACAAATATGGACACGAGCATAAGCCCCATCCACTGCACAAGCATCCACATATTTATACTTATCATCTTTCAACTGTTTTTCACTGCCCTTAGGATAACTTTCAAAATCTTTCATGGGGCTTACAAGACCTCCACAACATAGCCCCTGCTGAAATCTCCAACCTCAGCATGGCATCCCTTCTTCTTGGTCTTTATATACTAATTGAGAGAAAGAGTAGGGTTAAGAATTGAGTTCTGAAAGCACACTACCTGAAATGGAATTCTGGCTTTACCTACTTATTATGTGCTGACTTGGGCAAGTTATTTTAACTTTTCTATGCTTTAGTAACTGGTACCTACTGCACAGGGTTGCTGTGAGGATTAAAGGAGAGAACAGTATAAAGAGGCTATATAAAACAAAGTCTGGGACTCAGTAAGCACTAAATAAATATTATTATAGTTGCTATCACACTCCGTTTTTTCTGGTGATATGGTTTGGCTGTGTCCCCACCCAAATCTCATCTTGAATTGTAACTCCCACAATTCCCATATGTTGAGGGAGGAACCCAGTAGGAGGTGACTGAATTATGGGGTGGGTCTTTCCTGCGCTGTTCTTGTGATAGTGAATGAGTCTCATGAGATCTGATGGTTTTTAAAAAATGGGAGTTTCTCTGCACAAGCTCTCTCTTTGCCTGCTGCCATCCATGTAAGATGTGACTTGCTCCTCCTTGTCTTCCACCATGTTCGTGAGGCCTCCCTAGCCATGTGGAACTGTGAGTCCAATTAAACCTCTTTCTTTTGTAAATTAACCAGTCTTAGGTATGTCTTTATCAGCAGCATGAAACAGACTAATACCACTGGTATTCTTACAATTCCTAGAAATTTCTCATGCCTCAGAGCGTTTGCATAAGCTTTCCTAAATTTATTATTTTGACGAGCCCTTGTTAATTACTTACCACCCTTTGTAATATGCCTCAGACTTGTGTTTACTTGTTTTTGTGTCTGTCTGTCCATAGTAGTAGGGACCATGTCTGACTGACTTATCACTGAAACCGCAGTGTGTAACAGTGCTTTGGTACCTAATAGGCATTCCATATTTATTAAATAAATGAATGAGTCACTTACAGAAAAACTTCGTATATACTTACTAGCAATTAAGAATAAAATCTCTTTAACATCTCAGAATGAAAGTATTTAACTCCTAGAAGGACCCTAAATGCCTTCACTTTCTTGACCTTGTATTGTACCAAGGCAGCTGCTAGGCCATGTGTGCCTCTAAGCAGGAAAAAGGCAATACCCCTCAGTGTGGAAGCAGCCCCAGAACATGGAAAGAGAAGCAAACAAAACTTGTGTGAACTGGGAGAAGACTCCCTTTCTTCCAGGCAGCAGACTTCAGAGAAAATTTAAGTTTTTCTATACTTCTT